>NC_000008.11:26526769-26829799 GCF_000001405.40 Homo sapiens | reverse complement strand
TTGCTGATTTTTTTTTCCAGGTTTCAATTTTCTACTGGGTTGTCCTTCTGAATTCCATTGCAGCCTTTCTGCCTATATTTATAATAAACTCCAAATACAGGGAGTGCTCCTTGTTTCCAGATGTGGAATCCAGGATTATGTAACTTGGAGCTGTATTTCTTTGAGAGGTGATTAAGCATGTTATCATATTATCATATTACCGACTATTCACTTGTTATTTTTCCTTTCGTCATTCATTCAATCATCCTTCTTTTTCCTAACTATATTTTTTCCTAAGGGTAAAATTTATAATCTAATTTTAAGTACCAAGGAAAATTCTATTAGAATGACATATTTATTAAAAATATGAGATGGATTGGGATCTTTGCCATATCTTTGCTTTAAGGAGCACACATAGCTTATTGTTTCCTCACTTTTGAGAAAGTTCCCCAGGCACCATCTTGTTTTTTGATTGTTCCTTTCCCAGGGCAGTTCTGTTTTATACACGCCACCAGTAGCCACTTGAATTTGCCTTGCTTTGTAGCCACTTTTTGTCAGCCTATATTTCTCTCTCTCTTTATATGGTCTTGTGTCAAGCAGGATTTATCTAGACCCTGGCTTTGGCATTAGGTGAGTCTCCCGAGCATTGTGAGTGGAGGTTCAGTGCCTGCTCTGGTGACAACTGGAAGGCACCACTGCTCCTAGTGTGTTTCCCAGCTCCCAGCAGTCATGTATGTCATGTGGCTCTGATGTACTGCCATGTGACGCTTTTACAAAATTATCACACACCAGCCACTATACACTTGATGGGCACCATCTCATGCATAAAACCTTATAAAGCAGGTACTGTGCTTTTTAAAATTATAAAGAAGAAACAAAAGAATCCTAAGATTAAGCGATTTGGCTCACAGGGCAGGTATTTGGGAAAGGCAGGGTTGGAATGAGGTCCTGGGCTCTTACCCAGAATTCCTGCATGTGGTTATCACGTGTCCCTAGCAAATAGCCATAGGCATGATGATTGTTTTCAGTGTTCAGGTCAATTGAATACTAGATCACTGACCACAAAGGCTTGAAATAATTGAAATATTCACCCTGTGACTTCATTTAATCAAGGAGAGTTCGACAGAGAATGTGATCCTCTAAAATCCAGAAAATGTTGTCATATTATGCGAATGCCAGTATCACAGAAAAATAAAATTAACAGAAACAAAATCAGTCCTCGGCATCACAGACCTGTGCCTCTGCCCTACATTCTTAAACCCTCCCTTCTTTCCCCAGCTGATAGAGCTTGCTCTCTGGAGACAAGAAGCACATTTAGGTTAAGGTGTTAATGACTGAGGAAGGACTCATGTATTATCCTTCTAGGTGTGTAGTGTTTTTTATTTTAACAGGGATAGGGAAAAGGGAAGGGAGCTAGCATTCTTGAGCCTAACACCAAAGTTTGTCTCTAATGAGGACTTGAAGCTTTCGTAACCATGGATGAGTAGGAGGTATTTGTTTAGACAGTCATCTTTATTCTCGACAAAAGAAAAAAAAGAAAAGGCAGACTGGTGTCAAGCACTCCAAGAACAGTTTCTTAATACTTGTGAAGTAAGTGGTATTATTATCTGATTTTACAAATAAGAAAGGCCAGGTGCAGTGGCTCATACCTGTAATCTTAGCACCCTGGGAGGCCCAGGTAGGTAGATCGCTTGAGCTCAGGAGTTTGAGACCAGCCTGGGCAGCATGGTAAAACCCTGTCTCTACCAAAAATATAAAAATTATCCAGGCATGGTGGCACATGCCTGTGGTCCCAGCTACTCAGGAGGTTGAGGTGGGAGGGTTGCTGGAGCCCAGAAAGTTGAGGGGGCAGTGAGCCATGATCACGCCACTGCACCCCAGCCTGGGTGAAAGAGTGAGACCCTGTCTCAAAAAAATAATAATAAAATAAAGTAAAATAAAAACAAGTAAGAAGACAGAGTCTCAGTGCTATGATCTGAATGTTTGTGTCCACCCCTCCCCAAATTTGTATGTTGAAACCTAATCACCAATGTAATAGTACTAGGAAGTGAGACCTTTGGGAAGTGAGTAGGTCACAAGGGCAGAGCGCTGATGTTTGGGATTCGTGTCTTTATGGAAAAAGCCCAAGACTGGGCATTCCTGTTGCTAAGAAAAAATAAATAAATTGAGCATTCTTGTTGCTAAAAAAGAAAAAAAAAAGAAAGAAAAGAAAGAAAAACCCCAGAGCGCTGTCTTGTCCCTTCCACCTTGTGAGGACACGGATAGAAGGAGCCTTCTATGAACCAGAAAGTGGACCTCACCAGACACCGCAACTGCTGGTACCTGGATCTTGGACTTCCTGGCATCTAGAACTATCAGAAATATGTTTCTGTTTTTTATATGCCAGCTAGTTTAGGACATCTTGTTATAGCAGCCCAAACAGACTAAGACACTCAGAGAAATTAAGTAAGTATCACATGTCACTAAGCTGGCAAGTGGCAAAGCTGAGATTTAAATCCACATCTGTCTTTAACATTTCCATTCAACCTCAACATTTCCCATAAACAAGTTTTGGCTGCAATGAGACATTATGATTATAGCTATGTTATCATCTTGTGGCAGTTTTTAGAAAAACGCAAGTATTTCATAAATATGAATCATTGTTGTATTGTCATAATAATAAAAAGGTTAACCTTTATTTAGTGCTTACAACATGCCAGATACTATTTTAAGCACATTGCATGAATCATCTATTTTCTTCTTCACGCAGTACCATGAGGGAGATTCAGTTCTTGCCCTCCATTTTACAGATGAGGAAACTGAGGGTTAGTGATTTGCAGAACGGGCACAATCATACATAGCTGTGTCCTCCCTCAGACTGTGTAACTGTAAGTTTTTTCATTTTTCCTAAGATAGTGAAATGAAGAATGCTATAGTAATTGACTGAGGTCTTATGAGATTATCTCTTGAATCTATTTCCAGTTGGGAACTCGGTGTTTCTGGTTGGCAGATAGCTCTCCTACTGGTCAAATTCAGGAATCAGACTGGGAGACCCTCGCCCTAGGCAAGGCTTGGTGTAATGTGCTAGGGAGCTAGCAAAAGACCCAAGATCTTGCTGTCTGTCTGGGGAGGCTAACAGGAACATGCCAAGAAGGCAAAGCAAGGTGGCACATGCTGGATCCAAGGGCATAGGGTCGATGAGCACCGCAGGGGTCAGACTGGGAGGTAAGCACAGACAAAGATGAGCACAGGTCCACAAGAGTTTTAAGGCCTCATGGAAATGTTTCTATTTCTTTAAAATCAAGATAACAAAATAGACTTTTTGGCCAAAAAAATATATTTATATACAATGTAGTCATCTTTATACCAATAGAGTTATAAAATATAATTTTTAATTTTTTGCATGGAAGAAGGAGCCCATGAAGGCAAGAGTCACTGGAGCCATAAAAGTCATAATGTGACCCTGCCATTGCCCTCTGGATGCAGGTCACTCCAAGGCCTTTGCAGGTGGCAGAGCCACAAGTGGAAGGAGCCTGGGTCCCTGAATTTGGTCTGCAGGAGAATTGCTTGCCAGTCAGAAACACCCAACTATCCACTGGAAATAGATGCAAGAGATCACTCATGAGACTTTCATTAATTACTGTAGCATTCTTCTTTTCATTGTCTTAGGGAAAAAAATGAAGAAACTTAAGGTTCCATGGCCTGAGGAAGGCCACAGAAGGAAACTCACTTTGAGCTGAGCTTTGAGGGGCAGGAAGTACTAGCTCAGCTGGAATGCACCCTCTGTTCATGATCTCCATGACGAAAATGAACTCATTGTGTAAGTGAGCTGGCCATCTTCTCAGGAAGAAGAGGTAAGCACTCTCTGGACAGAATGTGTTTATGTGTTTTTGGCATGGCCAGTGCCCAGCTCAGCACTTGGGACATTGTAGGAATTCAAGGAATGGGGCTCATGTCCTCATGCAAACACCAGTGCGCAGAACTTGGAAGTCGATTTTCTGTTTTAAGCAGGTATCAAACAGGCAATCAACACTGTGCCTAGTATCGAACCAGAATGCCCGCAGGATACAAGGGAGACTGTTCCTTAAGGATTGTTAAATCAGGAGGGAGAGTATAAATTAGCGTGCATGTGCAATTCATATATCATTACAAGCTAAATTTTGATTTTTCCTAAAGAATGACAGTTGCTCTGTGAAGGCTGACATAGTTGAAAAAGACTTTTTGGAGGAAGTGAAGCTTGATCTGGGATTAGTGAATAAGTGGGATATAAGTATCAAAATTAGGAAATTTTGACAAGGATAGCTGACAACTAGAAGTTGGGGTAATATGGCCTTTAGGGGATGAGAAGCCCCACGATGACCAGTGAAAAGTGTTCCTGGTCCCCTTATAGGAAACGAAGTAGGGCGGAATTAGAAAACAAAGAAACTCCATCTTCCTCCCTACCCACCCTCCCCATTTTTTGTCAAACAACCAAACTCTCCCACTTGAGTGTTTCATGGAAGAATGGTTAAAGGCAGGAAGAAGAGAGAAGAAAAGAAAAGGAGCTGAGCTACAATCAGAAAGAAGAAAACAAGCTAGAGAGTGAAGATATCTCTATGACCCCCATTCCCTAAAGAAGGAACTGTCTCCTCTCTCCCAACACAGATGTGGGGACCGAGGCCCTGGAAGGCCTAGCAAGCTCAGGGTGGGACATGTGGGGGCTGGGGGTCTCTCTGGAGCATGCAGGCATTGTTTTATGCCATGCTTGAATTCTGAACAACCAAACGCTGTCAGAAGGAAGCTGGCATGTTGCTCCACTGGTAACTCAATTCCACACTGCAGATCTGCCGGCTAGTTCAAGAAGAACTACGATGCCATCAAAATCCAATGTTCAATCAGAGAAGGAAGCTGCCTTCTCTTTCTGCAGATGATTAAGAGGCAGACATACTCATGCATTGGAGAGTCTTGCTGTCTTTTCTTCCAGGAATAAAGATGGGCTCATTTAACATGATTTCTACCTGTTCTCCTGCAATTAGTGTTTAAGTGACTGTCTCTGGGTATTAGTCACTCTGAGGAAATGAAATGATGCTATGGTAATTGGCCATGTGTGTGTTTTTTCTTTTCTTTTCACTTCCCTAGGGATTTCACTTGGCTCAGAAAGCATTTTTTAACATAGGCCCTGTCTGCACTCTTTATTTAGCTAATTAGAGAGCTTAAGGGAGCATGCTGGCATTGAGCAAAAAGGGAGGAAGGGGGAGGGGCAGCGTGTTCTACTGGGAAGAGCACTCGATTGAACAGGAATATCTGGGTTCTAGCCCAAACTCATCAATTTTCTCTTCTATTAAGCTCTTAAATTTTGGTCAGCTGTGTGACAGGCATTACCTTGTTCGATCCTCACAATAACCTTACAATGTTGGTATCATGGCCTCCTTTCAGAGATGCAAAAAACGAAGTTTGAAGGAGGCTGCCTTGACCGTGGCTTCCCGGCGGGCATGCAACAGGGCTGACACGGAGACTCTAGTTGGCCTTAATTCCTATGCTTTGCCATCCTTTATTAGTTTTTGCTTACTAGATAGACCCCTGTTACCCAGGATGAGTCACTTCACTTCTCTGTCCTTGCTTGCTTAAACTGTTCGTGATTCTGTAAAAATGCTGGCTCTTCTGAAGTTCTAAGTGCCTTTCTTTCTGAACAGATGGAAAAATATTATATATCCTTTCTATTACCTTTCTAATACCTTTCTCTTTCCTTGCCCCCTACCTATTTTGTTCTGCTTTTCTTCTCTCTCCTACTACATCCAGACAGTGGCCAGTACAGCAGGTGTGGGGGCTGAGCAAGAAGAGGCAGGGGGAGGAGAAAGAAGCAGCTCTATTCATTGGGCACTCCATTTTCCAGCCCAGGGCAATACTTTCTTCTAAATGAGCCCAGAGTAACATAGCGTGGAACAAAGACCCAAAGAAAGGCTTGGAGTATGAAGATTTCATTTCCAATTCTGCCGCTGTCTTACTATATTGTGGGGTTTTGACCAAGCCATAGTCTTATGGTACCTCGGGTTCTTCACCTTGACAACTATAATTATAACACACATCAGAGAGTGGTTGTGCCCTTGAAGTTGCAAGAATATGAGGTGTCAAGTATGAGTGATGAAATGATGGTCCTGGTAGGGGTCCTAGGCCAACTAGTCCTGATCCTCTGTCTTATAGGAAAAAGGAAGGTGGGCTTCCTGGTGCCACTTAGATAGGTGGTGACACAAATATGTTGATAGCCCAAGCAGCCTGATCCTTAGCCCAGCGCTCCCCGAACCAGTGCATTTGTCCCAACTTCCAAGATGGAGGAAAGGTTTTGTTCTTCATAGAATTCAGTTTTTATGAGAGAACAATAATTACCTGTCAATGAAACACCTCTGCTTTCTCTAGCTAACATTTTAGAAGGTATCAGAGATACGGCTCACCAGGGACAAAGATATTACACTGGTGTGCATTCCCATTCATGACCTATCTTGATGATGAATTCTGTGAGGCTGTGCTCCATGAGGAAGCAGATGGAAGTCACCGCCCATGCCCAGCCCCCAGCACGTGACAGTGTGGAAGGCAGACACTATACCATGTGGCCAAAGAAGCATGTGTCACAGACAAGAGCACACTTTGCAGAAAGGCTAGCCACATATTTTGCTTCATGACACTGCCCTCCCCCATTTTTTGTTCATTTCTTGCTGGTGTTTGTTCTTCTGTTAATGCCTATAACAAAAAATTACAGTTCACAGTTGGAAAGGAGAGAAAAACTTTCTTGGCCTGTGATATGGTTTGGATCTGTGTCCCCACCCAAATCTCATGTCAAATTGTAATCCCTAATGCTGGAAGTGGGGCCTGGTGGGAGGTGACTGACTCAAAGGGTGGTTTCTCATAGTTTGACACCATCTTCCCTTGGTGCTGTCATCATGATAGTGAGCTGTCATGAGATTTGTTTATTAAAAGTGTGTGGCACCTCCTCCCACCACTTTCTTGCTTCTGCTCCAGCTATGTGCCTCCTTCCCCTTCACCTTCCACCACGATTGTAAGTTTCCTGAGATCTCCCCAGAAGCGGAAGTCACCATGCTTCCTGCATGGCCTGCAGAACCATGAGCCAGTTAAACTTCTTTTCTTTATAAATTACCCAGTCTCAGGCATTCCTTTGTAGCAATGTGAGAACAGACTAATACAGCCTGTATCTAAACCATCCTTGAGTAAGTTATTGTCTATAAATAGCACCTTAGGTTGTATACTACAATGTCTTTCATGCAGTTTTCTTTTGCATTTTTCTTCATTCTGCATCAACCTTGTGAGGATTATTGTAATCTTCATTTTGTAAGAATGTAAATCTGTGCTGTCTGATATAGTAGCCACTAGCCATGTATGGCTATTTTAATTTAAGTGACTTAAAATTGAGTAAATGAAAAGCTTCACTTCCTCAATGATCCTGGCCACATTTCAAGTTCTGAGTAGTTGCATGCTAAGAACTTGTTTGTATAATCCCTTTTAGCCCTCAGACAATTTAACAAAACATTTTATGAAGTAGGCATAGCTTTATAGACAAAGAAGCTGAGTCTTGGAGAGATTTGCTCTCATATCAAGACACATACAACTCAAAAGTGGTGGATATCTCTTGGTTTGGCTCCACAGTTTTCTCTCTCAACCACGATACCATACTTTGGAAAGACTTTCACAAATTCTTAAAAATATGAACATGCAATTACCATTCAACCCAGTAGTTGTTCTTCTGGCCACATATTCTAGAGAGATGAAAATTTATGGTCACACAAAAAACTTGTACAGGAGTTTTTACAGCAGCTTTATTTGTAATAGCCCCAAACTGGAAACAATCCAGATATTCATCAGTGAATGAAGGGTTAAGCAAATGGTAATACACCCCTACTTAGCAATAAAAAATAGCAAGCTATTGATATGTGCAACATTCTCTAGATGAAGTACCAGAGAATAATGCTAAGTGGAAAAAGCCAATCCCAAAATGATTGCATACTGTATGACTCTATTTACATAACATTCTTGAAATGACAAAATTATAGAAATAGAGAACAGATTAGTGATTTCCAGGAGTGAAGATCGGGGTGGGGCAGAAGGGAAGTGGGTATGGCTATAAAAGGACTATTTGAGAGCTCCTTGCCAGGATGGAACTATTCTGTATCTTGACTGTATCGTTGTCAATATCCTGGTTGTGATATTGTACCGTAGTTTTGCAAGATGTTGCCATTGGATGAAACCTGGTAATGTGGTTTGAATGTTTGCCCCCTCCAAATCTCGTGTTGAAATGTGATTCCCAATGTTGGAGGTGGGGCCTGGTGGGAGGTGATTGGATCAGGGAGTTGGCTTCCTCATGAATGGCTTAACACCATCTCCGTGGTGAAAAGTGAGTTCTCAGTTCACTCGAGGTCTGCTTGTTTAAAAGTCTGAGGCCTCCCCACTCCCTTGCTCTGTCTTGCTCCCACTCTCACCATGTGATATTTCCTGCTCTCCCTTAGCCTTCCACCATGACTGTATGCTTCCTGAGGCCCTCACCAGAAGCAAATGCTAGAGCCATGTTTGTACAGCCTGCAGCAACATGAGCCAATTAAACCTCTTTCTTTATAACTCATCCAGCCTCGGGTATTTCTTCATAGCAACACTAAAATGGCCTAATGTGGCCAGGCGTGGTGGCTCATGCCTGTAATCCCAGCACTTTGCGAGGCCAAGGTGGGTGGATCACCTGAGGTCAGGAGTTTGAGACCACCTGGCTAACATGGCAAAACCCCATCTCTACTAAAAATACAAAAATTAGCCAGGTGTGGTGGCACCTGCCTGTAATCCTAGCTACTCTAGGAGGCTGAGGCAGGAGAATCGCTTGAACCCAGGAGGTGGAAGTTGCAGTGAGCTAAGATGGCACCACTGCTCTCCAGCCTGGGCGACAGAGTGAGACTCTGTCTCAACAACAACAACAACAACAACAAAATGGCCTAATGCATATGGTAAAGGTTACACTAAATCTGTCTGTATTATTTCTTACAACCATATATGAATCTACAATTAACTCAAAATAAATTCTATTTTTTTAAATGTGACTAGATATATATGCTCATTACCTATAGAAGCTGCATTTTCCCAGAATCTCAGTGTCATCAAGCCGATTCTGTCTAACAATGCTCGCATATTGGCATAGGCATGTGGGCATATGGTGCATGTGCCCACAAATACATGGATTTGTAAGGTGAGAAAGTGTAAGGTGCAAAGAGCCAGAAAATGCTCAGTCTATGTCATGGGGAAGGTGGTGAAAAGTCTACACTGAGAAGAGAATGGCTGTACTATCCAGCCAAAGAGAGACAAAGTAAACCTGTGGTGATCAATGATGTTTAGTCAAGAAAGTATCCCTGGGGCTGAGATTTAGATGTACACTTTTTTTCCAGCACTATTGAGGTAATAATTGACAATAATTGTGGTCAAAAAATGACTTGATATGATTTCAATTTTCTTAAATGTGTTAAGACTTGTCTGTGGTCCAGTATATGATCTATCCTGGAGAATGTTCCACCTACAATTGAGAAAAACATATATTATGCTGCTGTTGGATGAAATATTCTGTACGTCTGTTAGCATTTGGTATGTAGTATAATTCAAGTCTGGTATTTCTTTATTGATTTTTCATCTGTATGATCTATCCATTCTTGACAGTGGGGTACTGAAGTTCACTACTATTATTATATTGCTCTCTATTTCTCTTTTCAGTTTTGGTAATATTTGCTTCATATATTTGGGTGCTGTAGTGTTGGGTGCACTTACAGTTATATCTTCATGGTTAATTGACCCCTTTATCATTATATAACGACCTTTTTTTCTGTGGTGACAGATTTTTACTTCAAGTCCATTTTGTCTGGTGTAAGTATAGCTACCCCTGCTCTCTTTTGGTTACCACTTACATGCAATATCTTTTTTCCATCACTTCCCTTTCAGATGTGTCTTTAAAGCTAAAGTTAGTCTTTTCTAGGCAGCATGTTTTTGGATCTTGTTTTTTAAACCCATTCAGGTGCTCTGTGTCTTTTTATTGAAGAATTTAATCCATTTATATTTAAAGTAATTATTGATAGATAGCTACTTACTATTGCCAATTTATTAATTTTTATGACTGTTGTGTAGTTCCTTTTTTCCTATATTACAATGTTTCTTTATGATATTTTGTAGTAGTATGCTTTGATTTCTTTCTTTATCTTCTGTGTATCTACTAAAGGTTTTTGCTTTGTGATTACCATGAAGCTTACATCAAACATCTTATAGTTGTAACAATCTATTTTAAGCTAATAGCAATTTAAATTCAATTGCATACAAAAACTTACCCTCTAATTTCTCTCCCCCAACACACGTTTGATTTATTGATATCACAATTTACATCTTTTTGTATTGTTTATTTATTAATTATTGTAGCTATATTTTAATACTTTTGTATTTTAACTTTTATACTAGAGTAAAAGTGAGTTTTATATTTTCATATGATTTTAAATTACTTATTAGTATCCCTTTATTTCAACTTGAATAACTCCCTTTATCATTTCTTATAAGGCAGTTTCATGGTGAAGAATTCCCACAGCTTTTGTTTCTCTGGGAAAGTCTTTCTCTCTCCTTCAATTCTGGAGGACAGCTTTGTTGGCAGTCTTTTTCTTTCAGCATTTTTAATATATCACTCCCCTCCTGGCCAGCAAGGTTTCTCCTGTGAAATCCACTGATAGCCTCATGGAATTTTCCTGCTTTTCTCTTGCTGCTTTTGGAATCCTCTTTGTCTTTGACTTTTAATAATTTGATTATAATGTGTCTCTGTGTAATCATCTTTGAGTTGATCTTTTGGTGGAAGTCTGAACATCAAAAGTCTGGATGTCCACATCCTTTCTAAGTTTTGGAAAGTTTTCAACCATTCTTTCTTGAAACAAGCTTTCTGCCGCTTTCTCTCTCTCTCTCTTTTCCTCTTAAATTCTTCATTATGCATGTATTATTTTACCTGATAACATTTCATAAATCCTGGAGTCTTTCTTCACTTTTTTTATTTTAATTTTTTTACTTTTTCTTCTCTGGATAACTTCAAATTACTGGCCTTTTTATTCACAGATTCTTTCTTCTCCTTGATCAAGTCTGCTGTTGACGCTCTGTACCTCATTTCCAGAGGTATTAATGTATTATCCAGCTCCAGAATCTCTCTTTGGTTCTTTTTTAATGTATTATTCAGCTCCAGAATTTCTGTTTGGTTCTTTTTATTTATAGTCATATAAAACGAACTAGGAAAATTTTGCCCCTTTTCCTATGTATTATACTTTGAGATAGTTAAGCCATCAATTCCTTGAATGTTTGGTAAAACTCATCTGTAAAGTTTTCTGGGTCTATTGTTCACGTGTAGGAAGCAGCAAGTGCAGTTTTTTAAAAATGATTTCAGAAAATTTTACAAACAAAAAAATGTTAATAAGGTTGTCTTTGGATAGTGACATACCATGGAATTCTTTTTGACTTAATATTATTTCATTTTTAATATTAAGATTTCATTTATATAGACTAAAATTTATCTTTGTAGTGTCCAGTTCTGTGAGTCAAATTTCTGCAGTCACATGCCATGACCATAAAAAAGACAGAAAAGTTCTATTACCCACAGAAATTTTCTCATGTCTGTTTATAGTCAAACCGTCTGTCCACCCCCATCCTTGGCAACCACTGAGTTTTCTTTCTCTATAGTGTTGTCTTTGTAAAAATGTCATATAAATGGAGTCATACAGTTTGTAGCCTTTGGAGTCAGGCATCTTTTACTCAGCGTAATGTGTTTGAGATTCATCCATATGTTGGGATGTTCCTTCCTGTTGCTGAGTAACATTCCACTATGTGGATACACCACAGTGTATTCATCAATCCCCAGCTGAAGGATGTATGTCTGTGTTGATTCCAGATTTTGGCTCTTGTAACTAAAGCCACTGTAAACATTCACATACAGATTTTAAATGAACAAGTTTTTATTTAACTTGGGTTAACATCAGCAAATGAATTTCTGGGTGGTAGGATAAGCCTATTTTGTTTTTGTTTTTGTTTACCTGAGATAAGGTCTCGCTCTGTCACCCAGGCTGGAGTACAGAGACAAAATCACAGCTCACTGCAGCCTCAACCTCCCAGGCTCAATCAATCCTCCAATGTCAGCCTCCCTAGTGGTTGGGTCTACAGGCATCTGCCACCATGCCCAGCTAATTTTTGTATTTTTTGTAGAGGCAGCATTTTTCATGTTTCCCAGCCTGGTCTCAAACTCCTGAACTCAAAGGATCCACCTGCCTTGTCCTCCCAAAGTGCTGGGATTACAGGTATGGGCCACAGTGCCCGGCTCGTATGTTTAACTTTATAAGAAATCACCAAGCTGTTTTCCAAAGTGGTTGTATCATTTTGCATTCTTTTAAGCAATATATGAACAATCCAGTACACAAAATTGTCAGGATGTTCTTGTTTTCGTTTTGGTTTTAGCCATCCTAATACATGTAAAATGGTATCTCATTGTTGCTTTAGTTTTCATTTTCCTAAAGACTAATGATGTTGAGCATCTTTTCATTTGCTTATTTGACATTTGCTTATCTTTTTGGTGAAGTATGTGTCCCAATATTTATTTCAATTCTATTTTTATTGAATTGTCTGTTTTCTTATTACTTCGTTTGATGGTTTTGTATATTCTGAATACAAGTCATTTATCAGATATATGGTTTGTAAATATTTTTATCCTAGTATATGGCTTGCCTTTCATTCTCTCAGCACAGACTTCTTAAATAACAGTTTTTCATTTTGATGAAGCCCAATTTATCTTCTTTCTTTTATGGGTCATGCTTTTGGAGTTGTAGTTAAGAAATCTTTAACCCCAGAATCCTTGACTAACTCCAGATGACAAAGATTTTTCTACTACATTTTCTTCTAGATGTTTTACAGTTTGGAGTTTTACATTTGAGTCTATGACATGTTTGAGTTAGTTTGTTGCAAAGAGTGAGAGGGAGGTTCAAACTCCTGTAGGATGGGGGCTGGCATGCCAGGGGCTTTCATAGGGTCTTCTCCATATTCCGCTTTAGGTCTTCCCATTGTGCTACAAGAAGTGTGTGTGGACAAGGTACTGAGCAGCTGGTGGGCGCTGAGGTGCCACATGGAGGTGTGAGTGAGCCAGTGTCCACTCGAGTGTTTGTGTGACCGCACAGGTGCTCTGGTCTGGGTGCCATGCAGGCTGCCTCAGTGTGTTAGGCGTGTGCACATGAGCGTGTGCACACAATGTGGATGCACACACACACACACACACACACACACACACACACATACACCATGAGCACCTCTCTTGTTGTTTTTGCCCTTCTCCCAGCCATAGACCACTGTTACTTGTTACTCAATGTATGCTACACTGGTTCCAGGGGCAGCACATGGGTGGGCTCTGATGCTCTGGTTAAGTCTCTGTCCTTGGCAGGCACTGCATCCTTGGGTCTCAGGAGAGGAGTCCCTCAGTGATTTGCTTTGATCCCAATCAATAGGTCTGAACCCAGCAAGTTTATCCCACCTTCATGGAATACGGTTTTTCTCATGCCCTTCCCCAGTTTCAGTGGATTTTCTCCAATTCCTTGAAGGTGACAGGGTTTGTGTCCTTCCCACACCAATTTAAGGCTTTTGTTCCAAAGGAAATATAGGAAAGACAGATCCAGGTGGGATTTTACATCTATCCTGTAGGGCTGCTCCTCCCCACGCCCTCAGGCCTACACTAAGAGGGACGACTCCTCGGGATGCTGCTGTGAGGCACTGTTTCTGTGTCTTGCCTTTCTGGAGATCCCAAAGAGTGACCAAATGGGTACAGCTGCCATGGAACCAGCGACTTTTCAAGGCTCATGATAAAGCAACCAGCAGCACCTGGACACGCCCCCTCCCTTGCTTCTCATCCTGCCCTGTCTCATTTCCCTTTTCTCTCATTCCTTCTGCCCTGGAACCTCTCCAGAGAAGCATTAGCACTTAATCACTCACTGCCTTACCCTTTGTTTTATAGGGAACACAGACAGCTACTTTGCTCATTAATTTTCAGCCTTCTTCTTCTCTGATAGAAATATTTGAGGCTGCACATTTCCAATTATTGCTTTGGCTGCATTCTACAAGTTTTGGTATGCTTTATTTTTATTCTTGTTCAGTACTCAACAGAGACCTTTCTCTCCCACAAACAGTATCCAGGCTGAGACTGATCAGGTTCCTAGTCATCTACCTTTCACTAAAGGCCTAGCTCTGTGAGGGTTCAAGCTTGCATGTAGGGATCTCTGTTTATTTTCCTTCCAATTTTATGTAAGCCCAAGGCCTCATCTTCTGTCCTGATGTGGTTTATGCAACCCACATCACTTGATTGTCAAGACCAACAAATCCCATAAGGTAGCTTGAAATCAGTGTTACATTAATACTTAGGTTTTTGCTACCTCTTGTTTTAGTGCTTTGGATAATTTTTTGCTCCCTTGGAAAAATTTTACTATCTTGCAAACCTAACCATGCATGTAAAAGAAAGCTTATCAACTTTTTCCACTCTGTCTAGGTGTTCTCTGGCAAAATAGTTTTCAGTATTCTAGAATGCCCTATTTCCAGAAAAGGAAATCTGCATGTGATTTCAAGTATCTATTTAAGACTGTTATCCTATTATAGTTTACCACAAGATTTAACCCAGTAAGTCTTGGTGAGGATTTGGTAGTGGAAATTTTTGATACTTTGGCCCATGCGTCTAAATTATATTGACCAATAAAAGAAATAAAACATGTTTTTCTAAATTACTACAGTGAGTTAAATACATAAGGATTGATATCAGGGGAGAAGCCTGTCTAATAAGGAAGCTCAAATTTTCACATTTTTCTTGTTACCTGAAAAAGGGCATTCACCATTAATTTAGATCTCACTTAATCACATCCATTAAAGGTTCAGTTCAAGAGATAAAAGAAGAGAGACATATTTTAATTTTAAAGGACTTCTTAAATGACAAGGACTAATGTTATATAAAAATGAAATATGTTGAGTACTAAAAATTCAGCACAGCAAAATACAAAATAGAAAGTTAAAGGTCATCTAAAATTCCACCATCCTAAAGTAACCACCATTATCATTTGGCCAACACAAATCTAGACATCTCTCTAGATGGAAGGGTAGATGGATGAGTAAATAGATGGAGAGAAAGAAAATTATAAAACAGATGATATATATTTCTTTATTTTAAAGAAGTGTTAAATTTAAATTATTTAACAGAAGTAAAATTAAAGCTAAATGAAAGGAATCACTTGGCCAGGCACAGTGGCACATAGCTGTAATCCTTGGCCTTTGGGAGGCCAAGGTGATAGGATTCCTTGAGGCCAGGAGTTTAAGACCAGCCTGGGCAACATAGCAAGACCCCATCTCTACAAATACTTTTTAAAATTAGGCAGGTGTGGTGGCTCACACCTGAAGTCTCAGCTATTCTGCAGTCCCTACTACTCAGGAGGCTGAGGTGGGAAGATTGCTTAAACCCAGGAGTTTCAAGCTGGAGTAATCTATGATCATATCACTGCACTCCAGCCTGGGCGACAGAGCAAGACCCTGTCTCTAGAAACATAAATAAATGAAAAATTTTAGAAAGGAATCATTTAATTCTAGGAAGTATGTTTTTTTTTTTCACCATAGGAGATAGTAATCACTAAAACCACTCCTTTAAAGCTAAGAAAAAAACTTTATAAAAATAAATAAGCACCCTCTTTTTGTTAGGATCAGCCAGACTCAAATTTTATGTGAAACAGTCTAATTTTAAAACTTGGCAACTAACTCATTATTTTAAAAATATTGTGCTAGCTAAACAAACCACATCTGTGGGCCCCAAGTTACAAAGCTTGGCCTGACCTGAGGATCACTGGTTTGGCTTGGCAGGTCCATGTCACTTGTAGAGAAATCTTTCACCTGCTCCAAGTCAGATAGAAAAATGTTAGCTGTCAACATCATCCTTCACTGTGTCCAGGTTTTTGAGCCTAGTCTAAAAAGACATTTACATATGAAATTGCTTTTTGTTTTTAATATCCTATTTTCCCAGTGTTTGGAAAAAAAAGCTTAAAAAAATGGGAAATAAAATAATGAGAAAAAATGCCACCTTATCAAAACTAGCTATTGATTACTTTCTAATTAGGCAACTTTGTTACCTTGTCAGAACTGAGCTGGCTGCTTGGCTTGTATGAATTCCATATCACTGGAAACACTCAAGCATAGGATGGATGTCCACAGTGTAACCCACCAGCCTGGGATCCAGGCCAAGCACCTGAGGGATGGTTGACTGGATTAATAGGTGGATGGATGGATGGATGGATGGATGGATGGATGGATGGATGGATAGATGCAAGAGGAATTAAGATCCCTTTTAACCACAGGTTTTCTTGCAAGTAGGGTCTTAATTAATTCATTTATTTGTAAGAAGGAAGCTCAATGAGGCAGAAAGTTAGATGAGTGGGTTAAGAAAGAAAAAACAAAAGGATACCTTATAGTTGTTTTGCCTTCTTCTCAATCCTGCTTTAAAAAGCCTAGCCCCACGATGTCACTGAAAATGATTTTAACTGCTCCTTTGGTGACTTAGGTTAGGTTGGTCTGCTGTGTTTGTAATAGAAGGAAGCAAATATTTAGTTTCCACTCTCATAGCAACTGAACAACTTTCTGAAACTGTAACTGAAAAACTTTTCCCTAGTATGTTTTACTATTAATGCAAGTGTAGTCTTTTATTACCTGTCCCTTAGCTTTCAATTGACAGGAAGGGTATGAGTGAAAAATTGTAGTTAGACGATAGCGCAACTCTGAGAATTATATATCAAACTAGAGGTCTTTATCAGCATTTTTAAAAAATTAAATGTATTATAAAAAGGCAGGCCGGGCGTGGTAGCTCAAGCCTGTAATCCCAGCACTTTGGGAGGCCAAGGTGGGCGGATCACAAGGTCAGGAGATCGAGACCATCCTGGCTAACACGGTGAAACTCCAGTCTCTACTAAAAATACAGAAAAATTAGCCTGGCGTGGTGGCGGGCGCCTGTAATCCCAGCTACTCGGGAGGCTGAGGCAGGAGAATGGCGTGAACCCGGGAGGCGGAGCTTGCAGTGAGCCGAGACCGCGCCACTGCACTCCAGCCTGGGTGACAGAGTGAGACCCCATCTCAAAAAAATAATAATAATAAAGAAAATAAATAAATAAATAAATAAATAAATAAAAATAAAAAGGCAACTCCCTTTTTTGGATGTATTAAGAACTGGCTTCACAAGAAAGATGCTCATTTATGATTTTCTGGTACTGAAAATCAGTTTTACCCACTCAAAAACTATCTCCTGAACTTTACTGACTTCTAAAATTTCTCCACAGAGATAGATCCCTGTTTCCTGTAAATAAGCATATATCCTTAAGAAAGTAGTGTCATTATTATTTAAACCTATTAGTTATTTGATTATTCAGGAGAGTAGTGTAACCATTATTTTAACCTGAGTATCAGTTATTCGATATTAAATTTTCTGAGTGGTTATGAGTTGACAGAATATGGAGATAGTATGAGAAAAGCCTCAGAAGAAAAATAGGTCACCAGGAGTTGCCACTGCTAAGAGTGGGAGCAGAGGAGGAGGAAGAAGCAGGCATGAGAATGTCGAAGAAGGAAAAAACATGGTTTTTGCACAGATTACGTCTGGATGCATCTAATCAGGTCCAGTTTTCTCAGCCTCTCATTTCATTAGATCTCATTGTCTTCGTCTTCCAAGCTAGAAAACATATAATTTATTAAATTAGAAATTTTGATTTCTTTAGAAAAGACATATCAGCCCAAAGATATTTGTAAGAATGTTTTTGGCTGCTTTATTTGTAATATTTACCTATTCCAGTGCCCATCACCTGTGGAATAGGTAAATAAATTGTGTTATATTCCTACTATAAATAAAAAGGAACAAAGCACTGATGCATATAACAATGTGAATGAATCACGCAGAGGTAATGCTGAGTAAACAAAGTCAGGCACAAATAGTACGTTCCACGTGACGACATTTACGTCAAGTTCAAAAGCAGATCGAACTAAGCTGTAGTGTCAGAGATTGGAATAGTTGTTACCTTTATAGGGAGGGAGCATGAGGGAGCCTTCTGAGGTGCTGGAAATGTTCTATATCTGAAGATTTGGAACTTTACAAATCTTAAGTTATATCCATCTAAAACATAGAAGAAATTTAAGAGTGATCGCAAAATCTCAAACTTTATGCTCCCATCAGTTGAGAAAGGTTTTCTGAGTGGGCTCTAGTGGACTGGAGTTTAGTGGCAGTGACAAGGAGAGATTGGTGTAAATACCAGTTTGTCTTTAGAAAGCTAGACAGTGAGGGCCAGACGCGGTGGCTCACGCCTGTAATCCCAGCACTTTGGGAGGCCGAGGTGGGTGGATCACGAGGTCAGGAGACCGAGACCATCCTGGCTAACACGGTGAAACCCCGTCTCCACTAAAAATACAAAAAATTCTCCGAGGGTGGTGGCAGGCGCCTGTAGTCCCAGCTACTCAGGAGGCTGAGGCAGGAGAATGGCGTGAGCCTGGAAGGCAGAGCTTGCAGCGAGCCGAGATCGCGCCACTGCACTCCAGCCTGTGCGACAGAGCGAGACTCCGTCTCAACAAAAAAAAAAAAGAAAAGAAAGAAAGCTAGACAGTGAGACCCAAATGGACAGAATCCAGCCTTCATTTCTATTTCTCACCCTAGGGCCTCACACAAAAATGATGATAAAGAAATGCACCCAAGGTTCATCTATGTTTGCTAGTGAACTGTTTGATAAACCATGTCTTGTATGGATTCAAAGCAGTTCCTTCATCTTTTTCTATTAATTTACTTCCAAAGCTGGTTGAACACAGGAGCACAAATGTGGGAAATGATGAAAGACTAAAAAGTCATGCGAAGTGAATCTTGGATTTTTTTTTGTCAGGTAATTGATTTTTCAACTAATTGATTAATCATAGTTGAAATTAGGGCAATTCTCTTTATTTTACTTACAAACTATTTCGGGTCAGTTGAGTAGGAAGCATGCTCATTAAGAATAACTGCAAACGTGCCATCCAAGGAACAAAGATGTGTTGGTCATATATGATTCTATGGGAGTGGGCATGCTGAGGTTGAAGAGTGAGACCTGAAAAAATGAGTCCAGGTCTCCTCTAAAGTCCTGTGCCAGCTCTCCAGTGAGCTAGCTAATATTTTACAATCAAATCACTAGCCATATTTTAAGCTGGACCATGCCAGAGCTGCCTCACTAGTGTGACATAGCAGTGGGATATTGTTACTTAAAGCTGGCTTTCTTATTTGAATTGTTTTAGGTCATCCCGTAAATACTGTTACCTTCAACTAAGACCCTTGAACAATTCTCCATTTTATTCTCCATTATCACACTGCTGCAAGATTCTAGCAGATGGTTTCATTCCAGGTACACATGCAATCTCTCTCCCCAGTGAAATAGAATGGCTGTTTCAGGCTTGTTGCCTGTCACCAAGTCTTAGGACGGATCAAGGGAAAAAACC
The DNA here is from genome assembly GCF_000001405.40 of Homo sapiens. NCBI lineage: Eukaryota > Metazoa > Chordata > Mammalia > Primates > Hominidae > Homo > Homo sapiens. The sequence continues at coordinate 26,810,317 of NC_000008.11, read as the reverse complement.
CATAGTCATGATGACATTCTGTAGAAACTGCTTTGGGAATTCAGAAATGCAGCATGAAATTAACCCAACGTGGAATTTGCCCTAAATTACTAGAAATTGAATGGTGACCCTTTTGTAAAAATTTACTTTGGTACTTGTGTTGACCACAATTGGTCAAAAATCTTGGCTTTATTGATTCGACCTCTGAGTTTATTAAAGCATTCATGGTTAACAAAAATTATGTGTCTGAGCCAGTGGAGCTCAGTTAAAAGAAAGGCAGGAAGTAATAAGGGCAGCCGGTTTTCAAGGGCAGATCTCCCTCTTAGAACTAGAGTTCCTCTGCTGGGATAAAAATTGCAAACTGAGACACAGAACAGGGTATAATAATCTAAGAAGAAAGTTCCATGAACAATCTAGGAAGTCTAAGGACCAAATTGTTCAAGGAACTTTGCCAAAATTATATAGCGAGCTATTTAGAGAGGTAAGCCATGTCCATGATTGTAACCCTTTTATCTTCGTGTGAGTAGATGACATCCTTCTGCATTTATTGAGGCTAAATCAATAGATTCAATAAGGCCACAGCTTTCTCTTACTCAGCGCTTTGTGGGAAGAAACCATTCCATTTGTAGCACATTGCTCAGTGTATAGTAGAGGTAGGAGTTTAATACATGTTTATTTAATTGAATAGAAATGCACTACATACTTCACTACAGTTTATAAGATTTTGTGCTTTTATAAATGATTACTAATTCCATCATTCCATGGGATCCTCCCTATTATCCAATAAAGTTGTAAGACAAGTATCATTCTGGCCTCCAAGGCAGGATGTCATGGCTCACTGGGAAATAGAATGTGCAGTTCTGGATCTTAGAGTCTCTACTCTTTCTAGGCTCATGAGAGCTGAGAAATCAGGGTTCTGGTTCCATTTCCTCTACTGAGGAAGTTGCTTTCTTTTGGGCCTCGGTGGTTTCAGGGTAATCAGATAGAACTTCTCAGAGGTGCTGGGCCTTGGAAACTGTTGGCTTTTCAGTACCTGAACAGAGTAACACATAGAGACAGAGGAAGAATATTCTAGGCAGAGAGAATGGCATAATCCAAGTCATGAAAGTTAAATAGTATATCTGGACAATAGTTCAAATTAGCTTTGGCAGTAAAGTTTGTTTAGGGGAATAATGGGAGATAAGATTGGAAATGCCCGTTGAAATTGTATTGCAGAGATAAATTCAACAATTTTTTACTGAACACATACCTTATGCCCAGCATCATGGCAGGTGGTAAGGGTATTGTAGTAAATAAGGCAGGTGTCTACTCCTAAAGAGCTCACTCATCAATAAAGAGAAAGCAAGTTTCTCATTACAAACAGCAATGTACACTTTCTTCATTAGGCATTGGGATACCTCTAATGGCAGAAAAATGATCCCACCCAAGTTGTGAGATGTTTCCTACCAAAGCTGTCTAGATTATTGCAGAAGACATGTAAGAGAAAAGTGGAAAAATCAGTTATTTATGACAATAAGAATAAAAAGAAAGGACATATGTCCAAAATGTTATGCAAGAAAACAATGTGTTTGTTACACCCAATGGATGTAGAGTTCAAGGCAGAGAAGAAATCACAGGCAACTGAAGTTTCTTATCTTAGTGAGTAGGAGAGAGAATGTGACATCTCAGTGTATACTTTTCACTAGGAAAACCTCCTAAGCAAAGGAGGAGAAAATGAGGTCAAGTTTAGAGTTGCTGTTGATTGTAATAGATCAGGAAGGCAGCTAGAAGCAGGAAAGGGGATGCACACCGCAATGGGGCTTTGTCATCAGCATAGAAGTGATCTATAGAGTCCTAAGAATTGCCAAGATCACCAAAGAAGAAAAGGCATCAACAATCAGGTAAAAGGCTAAGTTAAAAAAACTGTTCAAAATTTTAGTTATTCATTTCCACAGTGTATATAATGAAAAAAATCCAGCACTAGAAGATTAGTTGAATAAACTATGCTAAATACATACAATGGAATACTACACAGCTATAAAAAAGGATGAAGATCTTTACACATTGATAGGGAAAAGAGGACCAGGTTGTATTAAGTGGAAAAAGCAATATGTAGAAGTATATGTAGTATGCAATCTTTTGTGTAGGAAACATAAGTAAATAATATATAGACATACTTCTTATATTTGCATAAAACACTGGAAGAATAAAAAAGAAACTAATTAAAAGGATTATGTCTAGGGATTGAAGGGGGATAGGGGAAATAAAGTCAAGGGTATAACACCTTAGGGTATAATTTGTTACAGTGTTCTCATTTTTGAGCCACGTAAATGTATTACTTATTCAAAGTATGAACTTAGAAAAAATAAGTGCAGAATGCATTGCCCTGTGTCTAGTATAAAGAGCTTGGGAACTGTGGTTCCTTTTCCAAAGAGGAGCAGGAGGTGATGGTGTAGAGAGGGAGCCACATTGTGAGGCTTGGACCTTGCAAAGGAGGAGGGGAGCAGAATTTATAGGTGAGGAGATAAGGTGGATGGGTCCTGGCCTCTTTGGTGTGTCTCTTGCTCAGTACTCCTCAATTCCTGTTTTCCACCCACGCTGCCCTCTCCTGTCTTTTCCTGGACATTCTAAGTAACTTCCTAGTTTGCATCATGCTACATTCCCACCAAAAGAAACACCCTTCCCAATGTTTTCCATTATTCCAAATCTTCACTCATTCTTTTATTCAATAAACATCCAAGCACCTTTATGCACTACATGCTATAATGAGACCTGAACATGCTATGGTCCTCCCCACTTTGAAGGTTCACTGTCTATTAAGAGAGACAGATACCAAAATTAACAATGCAACATGATCTTTGAGAACAGCTTCTCTGAGAGATGACATTTACTCCAAATAATAAAAATTGACCAGCAGAGGGGTTCCCTCCAGTTCTCATACACTCTTTCTAACTTAGTGGTGCCAAACATTTGTATTGCTTTGATTTCTTCAGTTAATATTTTTAGCCACCCATGTGCTTGTCACCCTTCTTGATTCTTGTACCTTCTTATTATTTAATTATCAAAAGAAGCAGCCCTGTGAAAATCTGAAAATCAGTATGATCACCCTCATGACATTGATAAAGAAGGGGAGACTAGCAGAGCTCAGTGGCTTGCCCAGGGCCCAAAGCTAATTCCTTTTAGGAGGCTATGCTTAATGGAAAGGGGTTAGATTTGTGATTCTTATGAAGGGTAATAGTTACTTGCTGTGAAAAGTATTACAAGGCTTCTTTTTGTGTCGTTTCTACTTGATACAAGAAACTTGATAAGCCAAGAGTTACTGGAATTTTAGTAAGCTCGTTCAGTGAACATGTTTATTTTTATAGCACTTTACCCCCGACATAAGTTTGACATTATTAACAGAGCCAAAGCCAAGCCACTTTGGCCCTTGGTAAAGACCCAGCTTATCAGAGTTTGGGTCCAGCTCCCTCTAGGCATCTTCTCTCATTATCACAGATGCCAGCCCCCTCCCCACCCACTCTGGGAAGCTGAGGGTGTGGCTGGTTCTCCTTTTCTAGGATGTTCCATGAGGCCACTTCTAGCAGCAGCCACTGCACGTGCTCTTCCTATTTCCTCCTTCCAGGCATGTGGCAGCTTTATGTAATGACCGAACTCTCGGTTAAGCCAGAGTAAAGAGACTTAGGGAGAAACCTCGGACTCTCTGGCGATTAGAGAGGTTCCATTCTAAGCTATAGGCCATTTCATTTACTCCCCAGTGTGAGGCATGACATCTTCCCACTAATTAATGGTGGCCCTCCTTAGTGATGAGTTGCTATCTGGATTCCCACACCATCTGGAGAGGAGTCTGGACACTGGAGTTTCTATTTTTACCAGGCTCTGGCATTGCACTTACATTCCATTTCAACTGAGCCAGAGGCCACAGAAAACTTGAATCATGCTCTTTTTTTTTCCTTACCTAAGGCCACTATTAACAGGATAAAGGGCTTTTTGCACCCTGCTATCTGTTATACAGTAAGGGAAGAGCAAAACAGAAGGCAGCTTTCGAAAAAAAAAAAAAAATCTTTGGTGTAAACACCCAGCTTCTGGGGCCAGTTCCACCTTGTCTGAAGGAAGGCTGTAGGGAAGTGATTTTGCAGTTAGGAGGCTGCATGAATTGCAACCCAGTTAAAAACAGGGCAGTGCTAATAACCCATAATGGGTCATTCTTGGAGTAAGGGGAAAAGAGAGGCAGGACAGAATGGGAACATTCGGGAGTTCGGTCATTAGGTAAAGCTGCCACATGCCTGGAAGGATAAAATAGGAAGAGCAAGCACATTGGCGGCTGCCACAAGTGGCCTCAGGGAATGTCCTAGAAAAGGAGAACCAGCCACAACCCTCAGCTTTCCAGAGTGGGTGTGGAGGGGGCCTGCACCTGCAACAGTGATAGAAGATGCCTAGGGGGAAGGGGGCACAGGCTCTGATAAGCTGTGTCTTTATCAAGGGCCAACGTCACTTGGCTTTGGCTCTGTTAATAATGCCAAATCTATGTGGGGGGGAAAATGGTTAAAAATAAATGTGTTCAAGTAATGAGCTTACTGAAGTTCCAGTAACTCTTGGCTCATCAAGATTCTTGTACCAGGTAGAAGCAACACAAAAAAGAAAGCCTTGTAATACTTTTCATAGCAAGTAATTATTACCCACCAGCTCTGGAGCTGGGGTACCAGAGTTCAAATCCAGTTCCATCTCTCACTTGTTCCATGGCCTTGGGCAAGTTACTTAGCCTCTCATGCCTGTTTCGTAATCTGTAATAACACTAATGTCTTGGTATCCTCCTAGCATTTTTGGAAAATTAAATGAGCTAATATATGGAAAGCGTTTCGAAAGTACTGGGCATAGAGTGGACACGCAGTAAGTATTCAGTCTTGTATTACCCAGAGTCTTGGTCTCCCTTCTCTAAGACAATGTTGTAGCGTAGTAGACAAGTGATTTGCTTCATCTTTAAAGTGGGAATAATTCCCACCTTGTAGATCCAAACCAGAAATATTAATTCAATGTTAACTTACTGTCTAGCTCATAACACTCAAAATGTAAGAAAGCACAATTAATAACCATACTGAGGCAATAGGTGTAAATTGAGAGTGGACAAATGAGGAAGGCGACTTCACGTGAAGAGCCAGGTAGGCAGAGGTGAGAGCCCCATTCTTGGTCGTCACAGTGGGACACAATATAACTGACGTTTTAGGATTTGATTCCTAGTCTAGAATTAGCATGCAAACAACCAACAGCATTAGAAACAAAATTCAGAGCCATACTCTTTATCTCCAGAAATAATGTCTATGAAACCTGAGTGGTGTATGTTTGTGTGTGTGCATGCATACGAGCATGTGTGTATGTGTGTATGCATGTGAGAGAGAGAGACTGACTCCGAAGCTTATTTTGATGCAAATCCTTCATTGCCCTCACTGATGAGCTATGAAATTATAATTTCAGGCTTATCTCTAGCTATTAATAACAAACAATAAGAATAAATTAAATTTATATCAGATCTTATAATTACTATTATTTTTCACACACCATCTCATTTGCTCTCTGACATAACCATCCTCGAAGCATCATATGTTCTTCCAATGAGACACACAGAGGTTACTGGTGTTATTCTGGAGTTAGATCCCAAACTCTTAGTTTAGAGGTTGATTTTTCACTTTATATGATCATTTGTCCATCAAATAGTGATATATGTCAGATAAGTCAGAGCACAACTCTGACACCCATGGAATCCATGGAGTTACGGATTCTGTCCCCAGGCAAATACTGATCTGTTTACCATCACTGTAGATTATCTTGCAATTTCTAGACTCCTACAATGAAGAAAATCATGCAGTATGAATCTTCTTGGCCTCTTTTCTTTCATTCATGATAATGATTTTGAGATGCATGTCACATGTATCAATAGTCTATTCTTTTTTATTCTAGAGTAATAGGTATAATTTTTTATACTTTCACATATCGATGAAATTTGGACTGTTTCCACTTTGGGGCTATTCCAAATAAAGCCTCTTTGAACACTCATAGACAAGCCTGCATGTGGATGTGTTTTCATGTCTCCTGGGTAAGCATTAAGGAGAGTAATGGGTCCTAAGACAGATACACATTTAACTTCTCAAGAAATTCATGGCTTATTCCCATAACCCCACCACTTTGGGGGGCCAAGGCAGGAGGATCACTTGACCCTTGAGTTTGAGACCAGCCTGGACAACATAGCAAGACCCCGACTCTAAAAAAAATTTAAAAATTAACCAAGTGTGGTGGCACACACCTGCGGCCTCAGCTACTTGGGATGCTGTGGTGGAAGGATCTCTTGAGCCCAGGAATTCAAGGTTGCAGTGAGCTATGATCTTGCCACTGCACTCCAGCCTAAGCAACAGAGTGAAATCATCTCAAAAAAAAAAAAAAAAAAAAAAGGAAACTTCCAAAATATTCTTTTGCAGAGTGATTGTAGTAGGTATGTGGTAGTATCTCATTACGCTTTTCATTTGCATGTCCCTGATGACTGGCGATGCTGAGCATCTTTTCCTGTGCTCATCAGCTATTTGTATATCTTCCTATGTCAAGTGTCTATTCTAGTCTTTCATCTGTTTTTAACTGGACTTTTAAAATTATTGAGTTGTAGCATTTCTGCATATATTCTGGATACAAGTACTTTGTTAGAAATTTATATTGTCTGTATTGTCTCGTAGGCTGTGTTTTGTCTATTTTGTTAATGCCATCTTTTGATGAGCAGAAGTTTGCATTTTGATCAAGCTTATTTATCTACTTTTACATTTATCACTTTCCAAGTCTTATCCAGGAAATATTTCACTACTCTAGGATCACAAAGGTATTTTTCGATGTTTTCTTCTTAAAGCTTTATAGGTTTAGCTTTTATGTTTATGTTCAGACTCCATACAAATTAATTTTTGTGCACAGTATAAGTATAGTTCAAGAGTCATCTTTTTTCATTTTTAATTTTTATGGATACATAGTAGGATACATTTATGGAGTACATGACATATTTTGATACAGTCATATACTGTGTAATAATCGTATCAGAATAAATGAGGTTTTCATCACCTCTAGCATTCATCATTTCTTGTTTTACAAACATTCCAATTGTACTCCCTCAGTTATTCTACAATATAAAACAAATTATTGCTGACTGTAGTCACTCTGTTATGCTATCAAATACTAGATATCATTCTTCATATCTAACTATATTTTTAGATTAACCATCCCCATTTCCCATCTTCACCCTCCCACTACGCTTCCCAGTCACTGCTAACCATCATTCTACTCTCTGTCTCCATGAGTCAGATTGTTTTAATTTTGAGCTCCCCAAAATAGATGACAACATGAGAAGTTTGTCTTTCCTTGCCTGGCTTATTTCACTTAACAAAATGTCCTCCAGTTCCATCCATGTTGTTGCAAACGACAGAACCTCATTCTTTCTTATGGCTGAATAGTATTCCATTGTGTATATGTACCACATTTGTATTATTCATTGAGCTGTTGATGGATACTTAGATTGCTTTCAAATCTTGGCTATTGTGAATAGTGTTGCCAAAAACATGGGAATGCAGATGTCTCCTCAATATATTGATTTCCTTTATTTTAGGTATATACCTAGCAGTAGGATCGCTGGATCATATGGTAGCTCTATTTTTAGCTTTTTGAGGAGCCCCCATTCTGTTCTCCATAGTGGCTGTAGTAATTCACACTCCCACCAACGGTGTATGAGAGTTCTCTTTTCTCCACATCCTCACCAGCATTTGTCATTGCCTGTCTTTTGAATAAAAGCCATTTTTACTGGGGTGAGATAACTCATTGTAGTTTTGATTTGCATTTCTCTGATGATAAATAATGTTAAGCACATTTTCATATGCCTGTTTGCCATTTGTATGTCTTCTTCTGAGAAATGTCTATTCATATCTTTCACCCATTTTTAATCAGATTATTGTATGTTTTCTTATTGAGTTGTTTGAGCTCCTTATAAATTTCGGTTATTAGTTTCTTTTTAGATGGATAGTTTGCAAAGATTTTCTCACATTCTGTGGATTGTGTCTTCACTTTGTAGATTGTTTCCTTTGCTGTGCAAAAGCTTGTTAACTTGATGTGATCCCATTTGTCCGTTTTTTTTGCTTTGGTTGCCTGTGCTTTGGGATATTACTCAATAAATGTATGCCAGCCCAACGTCCTGGAGAGTTTCTCTGATGTTTTGTTTTAGTAGTTTCATAGTCTTTAATCAACTTTCATTTGATTTTTGTATATTGCAAGAGATAAGGGTCTGGTTTAATTCTTCTGCATATGGATATCTGGTTTCCCCAGCACCATTCACTGACGAGAGTGTTCGTTCCCCAGTGTATATTCGTGGCACCTTTGTCAAAAATGAGTTCACTGTAGATGTATGAATTTATTTCTGGGTTCTTCATTCAGTTTTGTTTGTCTGTATGTCTGTTTTTATGCCGGTACCATGTTGTTATGGTTACCATAGCTCTATAGTATAATTTGAAGTCAGGTAGTGTGATTCCTCCAGTTTTGATCTTTTTGCTCTGGATACCTTTGGCTATTCTGGTTTTTTGTGGTTCCATATAAATTTTATTTATTTTATTTCATTGGTATTTCGATAGGGATTGCACTGAATCTGTAGATTGCTTTGTGTTTATGAACATTTTAATAGTATTGATTCTTCCAATCCATGAACATAGAATATCTCCACTTTTTGTGTGTCTTCTTCAATTTCTTTCGTCAGTATTCTACAGTTTTCATTGTAGAAATCTTTCACTTCTTTGGTTAAGTTTATTCCTAGGTATTTTATTTTATTTGTAGCTATTGTAAATAGAATTACTTTTTAAATATCTTTTTCAAACTGTTTGCTGTTGGCATATAGAAATGCTGCTGATTTTTGTATCCTGCAATTTTACTGAATTTTTAAATCAGTACTAATAGCTTTTCAGTGTGGTCTTTAGATTTTTTTCAAACATAAGATTATATCATCTGCAAACAAGGATAATTTGACTTCTTCCTTTCCAATTTGGATGCCTTTACTTTCTTTCTCTTGTCTGATTGATCTAGTTAGGACTCCCAGTACCATGTTAAATAACGGCAGTGAAAGTGAACATGCTTGTCTTGTTCTAGAACTTAGAGGAAAGGCTTTCACTTTTTCCAATTCAGTTTAATACTAGCTGTGGGTCTGTCATATATGGCTTTTATTGTGTTGGAATATGTTCTTTCTATACCCAATTTTTTGAGGCTTTTTATCATGAAGCGATGTTGAATTTTATCAAATGCTTTTTCAGCAACAATTGAAATAATCATACAGTTTTTGTCCTTCATTCTATTGATATGCTGTATCACACTGATTGATATGAATATGTTGAACCATCCTTGCATCCCTAGAATGAATCTCAGTTGGTCATGATGAATAATCTTTTTAATATGTTGTTGAATTTGGACTACAAGTGTTTTGCTGAGGGTTTTTGCATCAATGGTCATCAGAGATATTATCCTGTAATTTTGTTTTGGGGTTTTTTATGTCTCTTTTTGATGATTTTTCATGTGTTTTGGTAGCAAGGTAATACTGGCCCCATACAATGAGTATTTGGAAGCATTCCCTCTTCTTCTATTTTTTGAAATAGTTTGAGTAGGATTCGTATTAGTTCTTCTTTGAATATTTGGTAGAATTCAGCAATAAAACCATTGATTGGGTTCCAGGATTTTCTTTGCTAGGAAACTTTTTATTATGGCTTTGATATTATTACTTGTTATTGGTCTATTCAGATTTTTGATTGCTTATTGATTCAGTCTTGGTAGGTTGTATGTGTCTGGGAATATGTCCATTTCTTCTAGGTTCAAGGATGGTCATTTTGGCATATAGGTATTCAATTACTCTTACACCATTTGTTGAAAAGACTTTCCCCCATTGAGCTACCTTCCTCCATTGAATTATTTTTATACTGTTTTTGAAAAATCATTTTTCACATCTTGGCCTGTTCCTAGAGTTTCTGTTCTCTTCTATTCATCTATTAGTCTGTCTTTAATGCTAATGTAATATTGTTTTGATGATGATCATTTTTTCTCTTTTTTTTTGAGACCGAGTCTCACTCTGTAACCCAGGCTAGGGTGCAGTGGCACGATCTCAGCTCACTGCAACCTCTGCCTCCTAGGTTCAAGCAATTCTCTTGCCTCAGCCTCCCAAGTAGCTGGAATTACAGGCATGCGCCAACATGCCTGGCTAAGTTTTGTATTTTTAGTAGAGACAGGGTTTCACAATGATGATCAGGCTGGTCTCAAACTCCTGACCTCAAGTGATCCACAATCCTCAGCCTCCCACAGTGCTGGGATTACAGGCATGAGCTACCAAGCCCAGCAGATGATAATCTTTTTAATACATCATGAAGTCAAGTAACATAACTCCTCCAACTTTATTTTTTTCACATTGAATTGGCAATTCTAGATTACGTGCATTTCCATGTAAATTGATTTATTCAAATGTTCTTTCTTCTTAAATCACTTTTGAAAATTTGTGTACCTCAAGAAATTTGTTCAATTCATTTAGTTTGTTTAATTTACTGGCATACAGTCTAAAATATTCACTTATTGTCCCAGAGAGCTGCAAACTCAACAGAGACTCCAGATGTCATACATGACACATTGAAGGTGAAACAAGCTACAGTAGAGAGCTTGTTCCATAATCTGGGATCAGCTGAGACCCCAGAAAAGTATATCTTAGATCAGCATTGCTCTAGCCTTAAAAGTAATGGCAAAGCTTAAGGCCATGCCTCAAAGAATCAAATGAACCCACCTACTGGTATTCTTGTAGGCAATTACCCTGTGCTGGCACTGGGTATATTTGACCACAGATTCAAATATTTGGCTGTAGTTTAACTGAGAACCAGCACACAGATTCACTGGAAGTCACTGCACAGCTCTCTCCTCTGTGGCACCTTGCCTTGCAAATTTCACCCATCTCAGTTTCCCTGGGTGACAACCTCTGTTTTCTCCACCCAGAGATCAGTTTCATTAGGGCACAACTTCTCTGTGCCACAATTTAGAAAATGCCCTGAAGGAGAAAGAGTAACATTGAGCTCATCTCATGTGTTTACTTCTCCAGAGGATCAAAATCCTAAATGCTTAAAAACAAGGACTTCATATATTGTAATCAATTACATCTTTTTTTTTACAGCAGAAGAGTATATCATACCCATTACTGTGTCATAACTGGACCCCATTAATGAACTTTTGAACAACTATATACATTAAATAAACAAATGCAATCTTGACAACATCCGGGGCTTTTTTAGTTCATTAAATTCAACATCCATTATTGAAACTTGCTAGATAGAATGTACCATGTAAGGGATTGTTGGAAATCAAATGGGAATAAAGCAAAATACCTGCTCTGCAAGATATCCCTGGGCAGAGAGAGAAAAAAGAAAGAAATGTAACAAACTGTCATACATCAGAGATGTTGGTAATACTATAGAGGAAAATGGTAGTACTCGTGGGAGCACAAGGAGAGTGTTTAATTTTGTCATGGGGATGGTGGTAGGTGAGTGGTGTTTTAAAGTGTTTCTTATAGAAATAATCTTATTTGGGTATTTAATAATGGTAACCTACATAACCCCCAAAATCCTCTTTTTGTAAACTTTAGTATATTCTCTAAACTTTGTGTCTTTTTCACAGGCAGATACCATTCTAGTTCTATTTTTCACTAGACTCCTGATAGTCAAATGACTTGGCTTCCCATGCACATGCATTAAATGAACATCAAGATACTGAATTATCATCTCTGTCTGGGGAAATAATTTAGGAATAAAAAAATGTCCTTTGAACAAAAGTAAATGAGAATAAGCAGGAGGTAGGTGAGAGCTGACACAGTTTATGACTTGTGTAAGCAAAGGGATAAGTATATTCGGATCTGCTTAACATATTGAGTCCTTTTGAGAAAGCATTTTTTCTTTATGGGTTAAAAAAGCCATGCTTTTCTGAGTGAGATTTAGAATCTCGCCCATCTAATTCTCTGAAAGAGCAAATCACTTGGAACATCACTAGAAGTTATTCAAGACTAGCCAGGTACAGTGGCTCACACTTGTAATCCCAGCACTTTGGCAGGCTGAGGTGGGAGGATCACTTGAGGTCAGGAGTTCAAGACCAGCCTTGCCAACATGGCAAAACCCTGTCTCTACTAAAAATACAAAAAGTAGATAGGTGTGGTGGCAAGCACCTGTAATCCCAGCTACTCAGGAGGCTGAGGCAGGAGAATCACTTGAGCCTGGGAGGCGGAGGTTGCAGTGAGCAGAGATGGTGCCACTGAACTCCAGCCTGGGTGACAAGTGAGATTCCATCCCAAAAAAAAAAGACTAACTTACTGTCGATGCAGATGAGAATTTGTATCTGAATCAAACAGACCTCCACCTTGACCACCTGAAGACACCTTGTGTCCTTCTACTTCATGTTTAAGACCTTGGACTTTATGAGCACTTAACAATTATGTACTGACGTAAACACCATGTCATGATCACTTTTCCTTTGCAATTCCTCTTGAATCCCCCTTCTCCATAGCCTCAATAAACACTCAAATGTAGGAATTCCCAGACCTGTTGGTCTTAAGACCCCTCTACACTCTTAAAATTATATAGGACATTAAAGAGTTTTTGTGTATGTAGACTCTGTTGATATTTACAATATTCAAAATTAAAACTGAGAAATTTAAAAAATATATTAATTTCTTTAAAATAACAATAATAGGTCAGGCATGATGGCTCACACCTGTAATCTCAGCACTTTGGGACGCCAACGCTGGAGGATCACTTGAGTTCAGGAGTTTGTGCCCAGCCTAGGCAACATAATGAGACCCCATCTTCACAAAAAAAATCAAAAAATTAGCCAGGCATGGTGGCTCATGCCTATAGTCCCAGCTATTCAGGAGGCTAAGTCAGGGGGATTGCTTAAGCCCAGGAGTTGAAGGCTACCGTGAACTGTGATCGCACCACTGCATTCCAGCCTGGGCGACAGAGCGAGACGCTGTTTTAAATATAAATAAAATAAAATAAAATAAAAATAATAAACCCATTACATATTAACATAAATAACATACTTTTGTTAAAACAAACTGGATTTTCCAAATTTAAAACAGTGAGGGGGTAATATTGTTCTACATTTTTGCAAGTGTCTTTGATGTCAGGCTATAAATGATAGCTAAATCCTCATATCTGCTCTTCATTTAATCTGTTACAATAACACACATCATTTCATCTCTGAAACATTTCACTCCACTCTCACAACAGAATGATAGTGGCAAAGGCAAATACTGCCTTAGTATCGTTGTGAACATATTGTTCACCTTGCAGACCCTTTGGAGGAGAACGCTGAGAGAACTCATGCTCTAATACGACTCCCTTCATTTCACTCTCAATTCCAGTCTCATCTCTATAAAAATTTGCGCAGTGAGGGAATAAACCTCTCCAATATGTCCTGAACATATCTGCCTTTAAAACAAAGCCATATGCAAAAGCTTCCTGTGGTCACACATTACAGAGGCTGCCTGATAATCATGGTATCAAATCTATGTGCCTGTGCCCGATTTCAGGGGTGTCCCTTCATCTTGTACCCCCCTTTCGAAATTAATCATCTCTCTATCCACTTTTACACTGACCCTCCTTTAGCATCATTCCCCTTCATTTAAAATACCCTCCACTCCACTGTCTCATATGTCCCCATGGTGTCTGTTCTCTGCGGCCACGTGTAGGATACATTTGTCCTCGAATCTTTCCTCCTTGTCTTCACGGTACTGTAGGCTGTGAATTACCATAGGATTTCTACCAGTCTTTGTTCATTCATAATGAATCCAGGAGGCTGGGAACAAAATCCCACCTCTTTGTGTCCTTCACAGCCCTGAATGCATTTGGCTTTCAAGCAGGATGAATTAAAAAGCAAACTTATTTATGAAAGCTATTTAAAAAAACTTGGAAATGCAGATGAAGGTAGCGAAATGTTGTAGGTAATCAGTGAGTTATTTTTTAGTTATGTGCTTTTATTCTTTTTTAATATTTTAAGTATTTATTATGGATATTATCAAATGCATACAAAAGTAGAGACAATCATGTAATGAAGCTGATGTACCTATAACCCAATTTTAATAATTGTAAACTAATTCATAGGCAGTTTTATTTTATTCAGATTTCTCACTCCACTCAGGTTCTTTGGAAGCAAATTCTAGAGAGCATGTCATTTCATCTGTAAATATTTTACTATTTACTTCTAAACATTACTCTTTTTTTGAAATGTATAACAATAATACTATTATATCTAAACAAAAGCTGACAATAATTTTATATTATCATATATCTTCAATTTTCTTAGGACACTTTTAGAACTTTTTTATTTGAATTGAGATCCAAATCAGGTCCATATAGTATGAATGGTTTATAAGTCTAAGTTTATTTCCTGTACAAGTTCTCCCTTACGCTTTCTTTTTCTTGGAATTTCTATTTAATTTTCCTTTGAATAAACAATTTTCCGTAGCCTGAATTTTGCTGACTTCATCACAGTGGTGTCATTTAATATATTCTCCTCCTTATGGTTCCTGCAAGTTGGCTATTAGACTTAGAAGGATGTATCACTTTGTCTGTTTGTTTGTGGTAAAACTAATGCTTAGATGGTATATACTTCCATCAGGAGGTAAAAAATGTTTTATTGTTTTTTTCAAAATATTGCTAATTATAGTAATTGCCTAAATTTATTAATTTGTTTTATTTTTAGGGTTGCAAAGTGGCGATATTCTATCATTCCACTTTCATTTATTAGTTTGAAAACACATAGATGGAGCAACTTCTGCTCATCAACCATTTGATTAACTGAGGTGTAGATTTTACAAGAAAGGTGGGATAAACGCCTGGTTCTTTACTTATCAGTTTTCAAAATAATAAGGCAGTTATTAGTTTCCTTCAAAGGTAATAAATAAAGGTTTATTTTCCCCCAGCATCGAGATTTTACTAATTGAAACTCATTATTAATCCTTGCAGCGATTTTTAATCCTTTGTGAATGCTTATCGAGTCTCACATTGTCTCATCATTGGCCAATGGTTGTTCATTTAAGTTAGTTCCTTAGCTCTTTTGACACGATACTGCAGTCTCTTGTGGCCACCTGACCAGTAGCAATAAGTCTGTTCTTGTATGTTTCCTGGCCAGACCTGGAATCAGCCATTTCTCCAGGAAGTCTTGGTCCTTTTTAGTAGGAGATGGTGTTTGAAGGACACAATCTAATGGAATATTCATTGCAACTGCCCTGATCATTGTTTCTTAGTTTTTTTAGAATTCAAAGTTAGGAAAAAAGATTTTTTAAAAAATACAACGTTTGTTTTCCAGGTAACAAATTATTATAGTACACAGGATACACATCTTAATAAGTTGCCTTTTCCATTATTTATATCTGCTTTCTTTTCTTCTCTCATTAAATTGACTTAATCTTCTAGAACATTGTTCATTAATTGTAATTTTAGACATCTCTTTCTTGTTCATAATAATATTCTTAATAATCAAAGGGCAGAAGAAACACTTTTGTTCTTAATTCCCTTTAAAGTGAGGGATAAATCCTACCTTAGATGTTAGCTAACTAGAGCTCATAGGTCAAATCCAACCTGCCTCCTTTTTTTTGGTATGGCCACATGAATTAAATACAATTTTTTCATTTTTAAATAATTTTTAACAATCAAACAAAGAATTTATTTTGTGACACAGGAAAATTATATGAAATTCAAATTTTAGTGTTCACAAATAAAGTTTTGTTAAAACACAGTCACACACATTCATTTACCTAATGACTATGGTTGCATTCAAGCTACAGTGGCAGAACTGAATAATAGAAACAGAGACCATACAGCTAGCAAGGCCTAAAATATTTACTATCTGGCCCTGTATCCCAAAATTCATGCAAGATTCATGAACCACAATTCTGAGGCCAGAAGAACCACACAGACTATCTATTACCAGAGATAGCAGGCTTCTTTCCTCCTAAATTTCACTTTTTCTCTTAATTTATTCTGACAACAATGAAGAGACAGATAAAGTTGCATGAAAATGATGCAGAATCTAATGGTGTATCACTGAATACAAAAAGAGCCACCTCAGGTAACAACTTCAATCCTTGAAATGAAAGTGTTCCCTTCCTGTTAATTATTCCATTATTCCCTAATGTTTTTAATAATAAAACTTAAAAAGTTTGCCACTTCCTGCCCTACTTGATCATGGTTTGTTTTTACTTAATAGACTGGTAGATATAATCGACAACTTTCATTGTATTTCAACTTCATTTCTAAATGATACAAGTCTGTGGGATTGTTTGTTTTGTGGTGACAGTGGGTTGTTCATATTTACTTTTTATTTGTTTTCTTTTGATTTGGCTCTATTTCTCAGTTTTGAGATCAAGATTATGCTAGCTTTGAAAGTGAATTAGGAAGCATTTTTACATACTTAAAGACTCTGAAAATACTTATATAGCATGAATATAAATTATTTGGATCCAACAGTTTCTAAGGATAAATTTTGTCAATTTTTGTGTCTTCTATAATCATTATAGTTTTCATATATTATTTCTCCTTGAATAAAATTAGACAAATATCTTCAAATTTATCAAAATTCTTCATGTTATCTGCATACGGTTTTTTACTTGAAATTGCTTTCACTTTTTTCAGCATCTGAAAATATATTATTTCTTATTACTGATGGACAATTATACTCTTCCTCTTACTTTCTAGTCAGGCTTGTCAGAGGCATGTCCAGTTTAAAGTCTTTTCAATGAATCAGCTTAAATGTACTAATTAATTCTAATGATTTTCTGCTTTTTAATTCATTAATTTTTGCTTCCTTTGTTTTAATTTGTAGTTCTTTTCCAACTTATTTACTCTAATGCCCAAATTAAGCTATTTGTGTCTTTCTTGTTTAAATATAACCATCTAAGACTTCACAGAGGAGAATAACTTTGGCTTCTTGCATGAAGCTCTCATTTTCAGTATTTTCTAAGTTGTCATTGATTTACTCTTAAACTGAAAACTTGATACATATTTTGTTGTCTGTATCTTAGTCATCTACTTCAAGTAAAATTTTATCAATTTTTAAGCATTTTAAAAATATACATACATATACCTATGTATTTGCTATCTCTTGGTACATAAAATTTAATAAATATGGCTCTATTGGTAAGCATGACTTTTATCAACCTAAAATAATCCTGTCTATTCCATGAAATGCTTTATGTCATGGAGTCTGCTTTGTTTAATACTAATATTACCGTCTCAGTTTATTTTTTTTACCTAGGCTTAGTATATATTTCCAAACCATATTATTTTTGTAACCATGTCTTTTGTGTCTTTCATAACAGTATATATTCAATTTTTTTCTTAATTCAGTGTGAGAGGCTTTATTTTTTAACACAGCACTTTAATCCATTTACATTTATTTTTGTAATTCACATATTTGAACATGTTCATACTTAATTTTACTCATGAAAGGGTGAGCATGGATGTACTAAAAATGTAAGCAATAATTAATGAATGGTTACAAACTCATTATTTTACTTGTTTATGTTATATAGTGGTAATAACAATAATCACCAACGTATATGACCTTACTATGTGCCAGACACTGATCTATATATTCCTGTCTACATTAATTCATTTGATGCTTACAAAGTAAACATTTACTACATAAAGAACCTAAGGCAAAGCATGAGTGAGAAAGTACTGAGTTAAATGTCTATGTTTTTGGTAGTTCTTTGTGAAATATTGTGATGGAACTTACAGGTCTTCTTTGTGCTACTAAGAGAATGTCCTTCCAGTCTATATGCATTAAAATGATTTTATCCAGAATTGGTGATGAATTCTACTTAATGTCTTTCTACATCTATCAAATTAATCATGTATTCTTCTTTTCTACCTGTTTTCTTACCTGGCAAGGATATATTTAGAGGTCTAATACAAATATTGATAAATACAAAAAATGAGAAAAGATGACTAACTAATGGAAAAAATGGGCAGAGGTAATTAACAAAAGCAGAAATACAAATAACTAATAAAATATTAAAATATATCATATTTTACCTATCAAATTGGCAAAGAGCAAATAAATACATACTGCTGCTGAGGGTGGGATAGGAGACATCCTCTGTAGATTGCAATGATTAAAGCAAGATTCAAAAGCGCACTTGGGTTCCAATCCTGATGGCTGCTTTGTAGCTTTCCTTTCATATGGGCATTTATTCATCAGCCAGCAAGCATGTATTGTATTCCTACTGTTTACCAGCCTCCATTCTAGTGCTCCTTGTCCTTAGGGAAATTACATTTCATAAGTGAAACAGACAATTTTTAAATGTTTCAGAAAAGGACAAGAGCCATTAAAGAAATACAGTGGGCTGATGTGATAGGGAGGCTGGTGTTAGGGATATTGGGAAGTAGGGACAGAAGTATCCTTTAGATTACATGTTTAGAAAATGCATCTTTGTGGCACCCAGCCTCACTGAACAGCCTCTGAGCTGAGACATAAAAGAGAAAGGTCTAGACCTGCAAACCCAAGGGAAGAACATCTCAAGAAGAGGGAACATGAATGAATACAAAAGCTTTGTTAGGAAAATCTGGGCAGTTTAAGAAGTAAAAAGCACTTTGGCATGGCTGTTAAATGTTTTCTTACCAAATGGCAGAGGCCAGGTCAGGCAGACCCTTGTAGTCTTTGGCAAGAATGTCTTTCTTAGTTCCTATGCAGATAAAACCTGCCTATATAAAACAGGCTTCGTGGCACCCAACCTCACTGAACACATGGGAAAATTAGATCAGCTGCTGCATGTGAAGCTCTAGGAGTTTAGCACCCAGTGGGCACTCATAATTTACTGCCATCATCATCGCCATACTGTCATTACTTTTCACTGCTGGATAAGTATAAGTAGGTATAGCCTCTCCAGAGAGCAATTTGGCAATACGGATCAAAAACCTTATGAAATTTATATTATATGACCCAGAATTCTTTCTCTAGAAATGTAACTTAAGAAAATACTCCAAATCTATCCACACAAATATTTATTTCATAGTTATTTATAATAGAGGAAACTGGAAATAACCAAAATATTCAAATTAGCAGAAGTAGATAAATTTTGTTATATTCATGCAATGAAATACTAAGATGCCATGAAAAATTGTGTTCTATAATAAAAATAAAATAGCAAAATGTTCATGACATATTACATAAAGGCTGGTAAAAAGCATGTGCTCTAAATACAATCATAGTTGTTTAAAATCTGGTCTTATTTCTAGATTGTAGCATCATGGTTGATTTTTGTATTGTGTGTGTGTGAGTGTGTGTATGTGTGTGTACACATGCACCTATATGTGCATGGGAGGCATACCAATTGTGGATACCACAGATTGTAAAAATTTAGCATATATTAATTTTGTATCTTAAAAGACACAGTAATTTTTAAACATGGTTGCTATGACCTTCTTCAAACTGTTTTGGTGCCTGAATATAGATCAAACTTATTCCAAAGAGAAAGTCACTATAATTTCTATGTTAGGAAGTTTTTAACAATTTATTTTTATTTTATTTCTTTAATTGACACAAAATAACCATACATATTATATTTATGGGGCACATAGTGATGTTTTGATATATATAATGTATAGTGGTCAAATTAGAGTGATTAACATATCCATCACTTCAAACATTTATAAGATCATTTCTTTGTGTTGGAAACATTCAAACTGTTCTAGCCATCCAACAATATATCACAACTTTTTAACTATAGTCATCTTATAGTGCTATAGAACACTAGAACTTATTCCTCCTATCTAGCTGTAATTTTGTATCCTTTACCCAATCTCTCCCTATCCCCCTCCCCACGATTCTTCCCAGCCTTCAGTAACCACTATTCTAATCTCTGCTTCTACGAGACCAACTTTTTTAGCTTCTGCATATGAGTGAGAACATGTGGTATTTATCTTTCTGTTCCTGGCTTATTTCACCTAACACAGTGTCCTCCAGGCTCATCCATGTTGCCACAAATGACAGAATTTCATTCTTTTTTAGGGCTGAGTAGTATTCTATTGTGTATATATACCACATTTCTGTTATCCATTCATCTTTTGATAAATACTTAGGTTGATTCCATATATTGGCTATCGTGAATAGCATTGCAATAAACACAGAAGTGCAGAGATCCCTTAAAGGTACTGATTTCCTTTCCTTTGGCTATATACCCAGTAGCTGGATTGCTGGATCATGGTAGTTCTACTTGTATTTGGTTTTTTGAGGAACCACCATAATGTTCTTTACAATGGCTGTACTAGTTTACATTCCCACCAACAGTGTATAATAGTTCCCTTTTCTTCCCATCCTCACCAGCATTTGTTATGTTTTTTCTTTTTGATGAAGACATTTTTACTGGGGTAAGAAGATATCTCATTGTGGTTTGGATTTGCATATACCTGATGATTCGTGATATTTTTATATATTGGTTAGCCATTTGTATGTCTTCTTTTGAGAAATATCTGTTCAGATTATTTTCCCTTTTTAATTGGATTATCACATTTTTCACTGTTTAATAGTTTAAATTCCGTTTATATTCTGGATATTAATCTGTTGTCAGATGCATAGCTTGTTTCCTTTGCTGTGCAGAAGGTTTTTAGTTTGATATAATCCCGTTTGTCTATTTTTGCTTTTGTTTCCTGTGCTTTTGAGGTCTTGTTTATTAAATTTTTCCCAGACCAATGTCCTGAAGCATTTCCCTTATATTTTCTTCTAGTATATTTATAGTTTTTGGTCTTACATTTAAGTTTTGAAACTGTTTTGGTGAATTTTTATATAAGGGGAGAGATAGGAGTTTAGAAGTTTCATTCTTCTGCATATGGATATCCAATTTTCCCAGCACCATTTATCAAAAATACTATCCTTGCCCCACTGTATGTTCTTGGCAGCTTTGTTGAAAATCAGTTAGCTGCAAATGCATGGATTGATTTCTGGATTCTCTATTCTATTCCATTGGTCTATGTGTCTATTTTTACATCAGTACCATGCTGTTTTGATCACTGTAGCTTCACAACATATTTTGAAGGCATGTAGTGTGTTGCCTCTAGCTTTGTTCTTTTTGCTCAGGATTGCTTTGGCCATTTGGGGTCTTTTGTGGTTCCATATGAATTTTACCCTTTTTAAAAACAATTTAGGGGAACATCACACCTGGAGGCCTGTCAGGGGTGGGGGGAAAAGGGGAATGGGGGCATTAAGACATAGGTCTAATGCATGTGGGGCTTGGAACCTGGATGACGTGTTGGTGCATGCAGCAGGCCACCATTGCACATGTATGTCTGTGTAACAAATGTGCACGTTCCGCACATGTATCCCAGAACTTAAAGTAAAATTTTAAAAATATATATTTTTAACCATAAAATTTCTTAATAATTGATTCAAATTGCTTTGTTTTGTTGTCTAAATCAGGATCTGATTTTGCCAGTGAAAATTTGGCAATAAGCACACAGCACTATACAGCAGTAGAGAAACCAGGCAGTGGGTTGTAGCGCATTCGGTGTTAGCAGGTACAGGACAGGGTCTGGAGCCAGGCAAGCATGGGTTTGAACCCAGCTTCACTCTTATTGGCTGATTGTTTTTTGGCAAATTATTAAACTCCCCGAGTCTCATTTTCCTCATTTGTAAAATGGGGATAAACAATGCCTACCTTACATGGTTGATATGAGGAGATGAGGTGGTGCATGAAAAGTACTTAGCACATTGCTGGACAGTTGAAATTACTAATAAATTACATCTACTGTTATAATTACTATTATTAGTGCCACCATCATCACCCTCATGGTGCTAGGAAGAACTCTCCACATGGGTTATGAGATCATGAAACTTAAAAACTTCTCTAACTCTTTTTCAAAAATTATGTCTAATTTCTGGGAGGCTTTTTCTCTAAAAGTGACAAAAAGAAGAAACAAAGTGCCAGATGTGATAGAAAGCCCAGGTATCCATGGAAGAAATTCCAGCAAGAAATCCTATGTAATAAACATATGGCCTCAGCTCTAGAGTAGACTTAGCACAACTTGTAGAAACACACCTATTATTTACCTGATTAGATTCAACTTAGCCTTGAAAAAAATCCCAAATAAATAAAATTATACCTTATCTTTCTGTAGCCACAATTAGGTAATATTGGACAACAGGCTATGCAAGAAATGTGAGCACATTTCTCTGTGAATATGTCTTTTCCCCAGCACTCTGAATAAGAGAAATTCTCTTGAAATACTTGGGGATTCTCAGAGCAGCTGACAGGTGTGGCATCTGGGTAACCATTGTGTAAACCAGAACCACACATCCAGGGGCATCTCTGCAGGAAGATGTACTCAATGTCCGGTTTCTGACCTTGGAAATTATCCCCAAATGTTAAAAAAAAAAAAATAGACAAGATAGCACTAATGACTGAGAAGATACCCTGAAAGTAGATGCAGAGCTGCTACATGCAGAGGAAGGAAACTGATCATAGCTCTGGGATAGCAAATGAGCAAATGCTTACAGCCAGACACTGAACTTACGTGTGCCAGGAAACTGAGGCACAGAAAAGGGAACAATCTTGCCCTCATCCCTGAACTACCAAGTGAGCTGTCGGGATTTCCTCCCTGGGGAACAAGTACTAAGAACTAAGAAGTCTGTGTCAGGCATTGATATTTTTATGCAGCACACGAGATGGTAACTATTTCTGTTATCATCTCTCCTTCACTTTTCCCTTCTCTCCATATCCAAGAACTACAGATGACAGTTCTCCTTTTATTCCTACACTTTCACCCAGATTTTGTCATACATAACAGATCATACTTTCTGACCAATCTTACCTGATTGTTTTTTAGGCGTACTTTATTAGTTGCATTTTGTCAAAGTCTTTTCAGACAGAATATAGTATGTGTGGGTTTTTTTTCCATGTCCAAACATGTCTATTCTGAACAAACCTAATTATTAACATTCGAGAATTTTATTTTTGTATTAATAATTTGAATTACACATGTCTCTGCTTTCTGAAAAAATAGGACATGGAATGTGTGATTAATTTTCTTGGCTATTCTGATGATTGTCTTTGTTTTGAACTTCAAGTACTATGGCTCTGTGCACTATTTTCACTATAAAGCCAGCAAAGCAGTGACAGATTCGCAGATAGCATCATCTAGAAATTTAAAACATGAGTTTGGGCATGAAGCCTGAATTTGAATCTGAGCTCAGCTATTTTCCTTAGTTGCAAATTAAACTCCTTAAGCCTCAGTTTCCTCATCTGTAAGATGAGGTTGGTAATACAGTCACATCATGTTCTTGGGAGAATTAAATGGGATAATGTTTGTGTAATATTTTGCATGATGTCTGCCACATAATGAGTGCTCTATAAATATTTTATCCATGAACGAATACTTATTTAACAACTACAATGTACCAGGCACAAATCCTATCTTTATGAAATTTACATAGGGAGATATGTTGAACAAATCATCACCCACATAATCAAATAAGAACAATTGCTTGAGCTATGAAGAAAAAGTTTAGGATGCTTTGATAACATTTAATGAGAGACCCCCCCCCCCAACCCAGCATGGAGTCTGAGGTATATGGATGGGTGGAAGGGGATCAAAGATCTTTCCCCTGAGGAAGGGTGATTTAAGCTAAGATATAAATGGTGAGTGGAGGGGACAGAGGTTGAGAGGACACTCCATGCAAGGAGAAGAGCAGAAGTGAAGGGCCTGGTGCAGAGAAGTATTCCATAGATCAAGAGATCAGGTTGTGTAATCCCAGCACTTTGGGAGGCTGAGGCTGAGGCACGTGGATCATTTGAGGTCAGGAGATGTACTCAATGGAGTACATCTCTTGCAATAATGAGTCTTATTATTCAACATGGTGAAACCCTGTCTCTACTAAAAATACAAAAATTAACTGGGCTATAGTAGCGTGCACCTGTAATCCCAGCTACTCGGGAGGCTGAGGCAGGAGAATTGCTTGAGCCTGGGAGGCGAAGGTTGCAGTGAGCCAAGACTGCGCCACTACACTCCAGCCTGGGTGAGAGAGTGAGACCTTATCTCAAAAAAAAAAAATTTAAAAATAAAAATAAAAAAGAGGTCAGGGTGGCCAGAGCAGGGGATAGGGAAGAGAGTGAAAGGCAGGCCAGGAGCGGAAGGCAAGAGCAGATCATATGGCCCTATGGCCCATGCTATGGACGTTGGGCTTCATCTAAGAGTACTGGAAAGTGTTTGAGGCCTTTAAGTGGAAATGTCACCGAATTAGAGTTGTATTCCATAAAGGTCATCCTAGGGAAAAGGGAAGGTGACCCAGGCATGCAGGAGATCAACAAGAAGGCACTTACAGGTGACAGGTGTTGTGGCTGAGTAGGGCCTGACAATGGAGATGGAGAGACGTGGAAAGACTGGGGCAATACTAGGAGTTCTGATCTACTGAAGACGTCAAGAAGACATCAGGACTGATTGTCACTTTTTCTTAACAGTGAGTGAATACCAAATATAATTTATAAAGATGGGAAATGCCAGAATCAAGCAGACTAGCATGTGTCATTTTGAACACATTAACCCTGAGGTTTCTGTGAGACATTTACATGAAGAGGCATGTATGAATCATGAGCTGAAATAAGCAAGGACTGAAGCCACTCGCTTGATGGCTGAATGCTAGCTGCAGATACTCAGCTTGAATGTATTCATGTTTTTTTAGAGTAGGGTTTCTGAGAGCCCCCAAATAATTGGAGGATATTTCTACTCTTGCAATTGAAAAAAAAATCAATGTGTCAATTAAAAGAAAGATTTCTAAACTGGAAATCTGAAGAACAGAGTTTTTAACCTAGTCGTTTTGCTCACTGGCTGTGTAACCCTGAGCAAGTTCCTGATCTTTTCTGAATGTTGACATCCTTGCGTATTTGTAGTCCAGACGTCAGCTCAGCTCTTGTTGCCTTAAGTGTTTATATGAGGTGATTATAAATGGCTTCAACAACAAATTAGATCAAAATGTGTGTAATGAATGCTAAATGGAGAAAATTTAGGAGTTATTGAAATACATATAGACTAGTCTCATTCTCAGAAACAGATAAATCATGCTAAATAAGTTGTCATGTCCAATAATATATCCATATTCTTATATATATATGCCCCTTAAAATGCTTCTAATGTACACCTTATTGCAATATTAAAAGGGAAGCAAGACATTCAATTTTTTCATTCATTCAACATTCATTCATTCAACATTCAAAAAACAATCAACTTTCTCTCCACCAATAATTTTTGCTTTCTCAATAAGTTGTAAAATTTCAGGATTTAAATGTCCCCTAAAGAGTATTTTAATAGGATGCTGTGTGGTACTTAACTCCCCAGTCTCTGGCCTCAGTGAGTGGGTATCCCGCCTATTCTGAGATACTTTTCATGTATCATTGATGGTAAAGCCAAGTTCCAGGGCAGCCCAAATCAGTCTTCCTATAGCTTTCAGCCATCGGTTAGAGCTCTGACCCCAAACCAATATGCTAGCCTCCTGGTTGGTCTCCCTAGCAGCCTTCTTCTTTAGTTATTCTTAGATAGTATAAGCCTTATGAAAAACTTAGGAAAATAGAGTCATGCCAGATCCCCAGGTTCTAACACATTCTGAAGGCAGTCACTTGCTAACACCAATTCCTATCTTGAGATAGAAACTCTTCTAACTCTCCAAAATCAAATCTGAATAAACAACAATAGTGAGTCTCATTATTTTCATTTTGACGAACTGTGTCAGCTTTCTTTTCTTCTCATGAACATTTTTCTGTGAGTGAGAGAGAGAGAAATTGATAACTACAGTTGAGTAAAAGTTTTACTGCTTCCACACCCACCTGGGGAATTAGTACATCTGTGCTGAGATTGCTGACCAACACTATTGTTCTCTAACAGCACATCCAGAAACTATTATTGGTGGTGATCTGATATGTTCTGAATTAATCACCTAATTGGAGCAGATATTGGGTGAGCATTTCAGAGGGGAATCCCGACAGCGGGAAACGACTTTTTCTTAGAAACATGGCTGGTGTGAGGTCACAGAAAATCACAACGGGTACCAGGGATTAGTCCTTCTGAGACAGCCTCAAATGCACTTGTTTCTTTGTTTGACTATTTTTCTTCAACTTTTATTTTAAGTTCCGGGGTACATGTTGCAGGATGTGCAGATTTGTTACATAGGTAAACTTGTGCCATGGTGGTTTGCTGCACAGATCAACCCATCACTTAAGTATTGAGCCCAGCATCCATTAGCTATTCTTCTTGATGCTCTCATTCACCACACCCCCCAAACAGGCCCCAGTGTATGTTGTTCCCCCCATTGTGTCCCTGTGTTCATTCAGCTCCCACTTATAAGTGAGAACATGTGGTGTCTGGTTTTCTGTTCCTGCGTTAGTTTGCTGATGATAACAGGTTCCAACTCCAACCATGTCCCTGCAAAGGACATGATCTCATTCCTTTTTATGGCTGCATAGTATTCAATGGTATATATGTACCACATTTTCTTTATCCAGTCTATCATTGATGGGCATTTGGGTTGATTCCATGTCTTTGACATTGTGAATAGTGCTGCAATGAACATACACACGCATGTATCTTTGAAATAGAATGATTTATATTCCTTTGGATATATACCCAGTAATGGGATTGCTATGTCAAATGGTATTTTTACCACTTCCCATGTTGATCCTTCAGGTATTTTTATGCCTGTCTTGGGTCTTCCAGGTTTTACAAAACTTTCTGAATCATTGTCACCACTATCTCTGGAACAGTTGGAAACTCATTCTGAATATTCTTTGGCCTTCGGAAGAGTTTTTTAGTGGACACACTGCCTTATAGGAGACGTATATTTATTTCTTAAAATTAAATTCTGATATCTCAACCACTATAACCCTAACCTACATCCTAGTGAACAAAAGATGCCACATCGCTCAGCTGAGTTAACAGTCACGCAAATGATCACATCCTGGAGGATGTAATTCTCTGCTCTTCTATGACACTGACTAGAGTCTCTGGGTGGGCACTTGGATTACCATGCTCTACTACCTACTTATCCAGCCAAGTGAATTTTCAGTCTCCCGGGCCTAATAAGTTTTCATATATAACTCATACTTCATCTTTAATTCAGTAAAGAATCATTGAAATGACTTACTCAAGGGAGGGATAGTGTCATGTTTGCTTTCTCAGAATCTCTCTGGCAAGAGTGTGAGAAATGGGTTGGAAGCAGATAAGACCAGAAGCAGGAAGCCCAGTTAGAAAACTGATATGAGGTTCTAGCTAGACGTGGTGGTGGCCAGAACTGGAATGGACAATAACAAGTGAATACAGGTTTCGTAGTCAGGGCTGGGTGATTGGATGTTGTGGAAGAGGTTGGAGAGTGGACGGTTGAGGATGACAGTGGGTTTCTGGCTTGGACAAGTGAGAGGAAGGCTGCCCAAAGTGAAGCAGAGAAGCAAGAGTCGGTTTTGTGAGAGATGGTGAATTCAGTTTGATGATGTTAAGGATGAGATAGTTTGGAAACATCAGGAGGGATGTCTGGTAATAGTTGTGTGTGCAGGACGGAGCTCAGGTGGCAGAGATGGTCTAGGCATAGAGATTTGCAAGTCATAGGGAAAAGAAAGAAACTAAAGGTATGAAATGAATGAGCTGCCCTGACCTTGATCTTCCCCCTGAAAGTACCAGCCAGTTCTCAGATGAGAATGCAGAAGGCTTCATTAAGTTTGAAAAGAGCAAGGATGTCTCTTGCAAGCAAAGCTGAGATTTCTAAATGTGACATTTATATGAAAGAGGAAGGCATGGCCAATTCCTATTTTCAAAAATGTCTATAATCAAAACAGTACCATACTCTATTGCCTTTTAAAATTAAAGAGGAAATTGCCCCAATCCCTTTCTGCGTGTTAAAATTTGGTCTGCCCAGCTATACTTAGAAGCCATATTATAGCTTCCAAAAAGACATCCTGCATGTTTTAAATGAGCTATTAAAATTCCTATATATATGTATTATGTCCATTTGAATACAGGACCCATGACTGATAGAGGTCAGGCCCTGGTCAGGTGTTCTAGTCCAGATGGAGCCTAGGACTGTTTACCCAAGTGGCTGGGGAGAAAGAGCAGAGACCTATAGCCAATCTTCATCCCTAGCTTAATCCAGGCAGGGGAGGGAGCTGCACAGGAGCTGGGAGTGAAGAGCAAGGGTTTATTCATATTCCTGCTTCGCACAAAGCTAGAAGATGCTGTTGGAAGATGCAAGGGCCATGCCTCTGGGTGAGCCAGTGGCCTGGGAGAGGACCCGGAACTGTCCAGAGCACTCAGATTAAGCATCTTTGCAGCAGTCCGGAAGCAAAAACCCATTTTCCTGCTCCCCTGTTCACCTGTGACTATTCAAGCATCAGCCAACTCACCTGTGTCCTTTCTGGCAAGGATCAGGACCTAAACCTGCTTTAGCCTTTAAGCTGAATATGAAGGGACACAGTCCTGAAAAAGCCTCACACTTCCTCCTTGGGAGATCAGTTTTGGTTGTTTGTGTCACTGCTTCAGATGTGTGGTGTTTGGCCTTGGACTTGAATCCCACAAATATGAGAGGAGATGATGACTATCACATCTGAATTATAGGCTTCAACCCTTCTTCCAGGACCCTATAAAATGTTTTTATAAGTACTGGAAGTAATCATTTTATGAAGTGCCTGCAACTTAGCTGTATAAAACTACTTGGAGAATGGTCTTGTTTTCACATAAATGTGAGTGTCTTGAAGATCTGAAAGATCTCCTTGGAATGTGAGTTAAGACAGGCTCTGTTTCTGCATTTGAGAATCTATCTCCAGCTGTGAGTAATTGAAGCAGGAGCTGTGTTCAAAATGTTGTTTTCTTCCATCAACCAATGTCATCTATTGGCTCAAAAGCATTCATTGAGAATCATGTTGATCACTTAGAGAGACACGAATGAAGGATAAGAAGGAGGGTGTATCTTTAAGGAGACTAAAACCAGGAGGATTGAATGTGTCATTCATTCAGCAATATTGTTGGGAGCCTACTAAATGCTGTACACCATTATGAGTGTTGAGGATACAGCAGTAAATTAAAAAGACAGGAAGCTCTTCCTTCAAGGGAGTTTATAGTCAAGAAAAGCAACCAAAAATAGAAATAAGTAAAGCACAGAAAATGGTGATAAGGGCTATAGAGCAGTGTTCCCCAATCTTTTTGGCACAAGGGACTGGTTTCATGGCAGACAAATTTTTCATGGGCCTGGAGATGGGAGGATGGTTTCAGGATGATTCAAGCGCATTGCATTTATTGTGCACTTTATTTCTATTCTTATTACATTGTAATATATAATGAAATAATTATACAACTCACCATAATGTAGAATCAGTGGGAGCCCTGAGCTTGTTTTCCTGCAACTAGGCAGTCCCATCTGGGGGTGATGGAGACAGCAACAGATCATCAGGCATTAGATTCTCATAAGGAGCACAGAACCCAGATCCCTGACATGTGCAGTTCACGATAGGGTTGGTGCTCCTATTGGAATCTAATGCCACTGCTGATCTGACAGGTAATGTGAGCAATGGAGAGAGGCTGTAAATTTTAAATACAGATGAAGCTTCACTGGCCCACCACACACCTCCTGCCATACAGCCTGGTTTCTAACAGGCCACAGACTGGTACTGGTCTGTGGCCCAGGGGTTTCCCTGCTATAAAGAAAAGAAACTGGTGCTAAATCCACAGGGGAAATGGCAAGAAAGCAAGCTATACTGTAACAAAGAAGGGCTCGTGGATGAGTGGGATTTTGAAAACAGCCTTGAAGACAGAGAGAATTGGACAAATTCAAGTTTGAGTAGATACAGGGGAGAGAGGTCACTGAGTGAAGAGCAGAAGAGTGCAGCAGAAAACAGCCACAGGAGCTGAGGTCACAGTCACCTCGTGAACTAACAAAGTTAGAGTGAAAAGTCTACTGCGGCAGGAAGAAAGCCTTGGTGTTGGAAACTCATAATTCCTTTGTTGGAACAACAAATGCCTCCAACATAGGCATTTGTTGGAGACACTCATAGAAGGTAAACACCTTTGCATGTTCCTGACCATTCTACCTCCAGTATCTATGGAAGTGCCTGGCCTGAGCAGGTGCTAAGTAAATTATGTGTTAAGTGAATGAGGAATGAAGAAGGTTGTGTAGGGCTGGTGGAACCAAATAATAAAGGGGCCTTGAATGACAGAGTGAGGAGCTTGGACTTGATCTTATCAGCAACAAAAAGATAATGCATAACACATGTCTTGGCAGATACCCCATTATGAGGTTCCCTTAGCTACAATACTGAGCCCCTTGATAAGCCTCCCCTCCCTTTAGTTATTTCTGGGAATTTTCCCCCATGGTTTCTTCCCTTTCCATCCTATCTCCTTGGAAAGGACCAGATGAGCACAGCCTTAGCCTCCCAGGCCTCAGATGTGGAGGTGTGTGGCCCGTGTATTATTAAGAAGCTCACAAGTTCTGACGCGACCAGCAGCCCAAACCGTGCTGTGCTCCAAGCAGGAATAGAGCTAATTCCATTCCCGCTTCATGCAATCAGAATTGCCTGGGCCCCTATGCAGACGCACTGCATGACAGCAGCCTTTGAATTCTCCTCCCACCCCTCCTTTCCGTGATCTCAAAGTAAACCTCTAGGATAGACATGAGGGTGTCCTCCCAAAGCCTTCCCCAAAACCTCAGTTTCCCCTCTTCCTTCCAAAGCCTGCCCTCTTCCCTTCTGGCCATCTCTCCACCACGTTCCTTCATCATCCTGCTTGTCATGGGCTGTTTTCCCCTTTTGACTGTTTCCATTTGCCTAGAAGCATCTGCTCTTACAGATAGGAAGGGGTAGCATCAATTACTGTTCTAAGTCTTTACTTTTACAGATGAGGAAACTGAGGCCCAAGAAGGAAAAAATGACTCACCCAGCTTTAAACAACCAGTTCACCATGCAGCAGTGCTGGGGTTGGAGGTGATGGAGAAGGAAAATTTGGAAGGTGTTTCAAGGAAAGACACCTGTGGGGTTTGGTGACCAGTTGGAATGTAAGAGGCAAAAAAAAGGGAGAAGGAACTAGATACATATTCTTCTGGCAGGAACTGTTAATTGGGTTCCTGCTCCCATCTTGCACTACAGTGAGAGAGATAACCTGGTCTCCTACCATTGGAAAGCATATCATCTGTGCTCTGGAGGATGAGACAATCAAAGAAAACAAGTAAATAAGAAAACTTAAAAACTGTGATATGTACCGTGAAATAAATAAGCCATTCAGCAGGTGTGAGTTTGAAGATTACTCTTCTTTAGACTGGGTGGTCTCAGGGAGAGATTTTGTGCAGAGACAATTAAAAAAATTTATATATATATATATTTTTTTTATTATACTTTAAGTTCTAGGGTACATGTGCAGAACATGCAGGTTTGTTACATATGTATACATGTGCCATGTTGGTGTGCTGCACCCATTAACTCGTCATTTACATTAGGTATATCTCCTAATGCTATCCTTCCCCCCTCCCCCCACCCCACAACAGGCCCCAGTGTGTGATGTTCCCCTTCCTGTGTCCAAGTATAGTCATTGTTCAATTCCCACTTATGAGTGAGAACATGCGGTGTTTGGTTTTTTGTCCTTGCGATAGTTTGCTGAGAATGATGGTTTCCAGCTTCATCCATGTCCCTACAAAGGACATGAACTCATCCTTTTTTATGGCTGCATAGTATTCCACAGTGTATATGTGCCACATTTTCTCAATCCAGTCTATCATTGTTGGACATTTGGTTTGGTTATTATATTATAAAAATGTTTTAAATGGAAGACTCATGAAACAATGGTGACCTTAGTAAAATTGACAAGGCTTGGAAAATACACTGGCTTATGAAAGGAGATCTGCTTTTAAGGAAGCAGCCCATAAAAGCACATGATGACTTCCTTATTGCTAGCTTTTTCCTGAACAAATAATCTTTTAAATAAAGGGAGTGGGGTAGAGAATCTTGCTATCTTCTGAGAGTGTTTCAAATCAAATTATTTATTGGACACAAGGAGGTCTTCTAGGGAGAAATGTCTACATGTGGGGTCCCCTATTACTCTTTCCAGCGTTCTTATGGGCGTTGGGGTCCAAATCATGCATTTGGGTGGACCTGCTCCTTTTTCCTAAAAGGAGAAATGCTTCTTAGGCTTTGTTAACTGGTGAGACGAACCATTTGACAAGTTTTAATTCCAGCAGCTCAGACTCATCCAGGATGAAATTCCTGATTCCTCAGAGCTCTCCTTGGCCAGCCAGACAGATCCTGTCAAGAGAACTTTAGCTGCCACTTGCAGAAGTTTGAGGGATGAGAGGACATCTCCCCAAGTGACCTCTTTCCTTGCCTGGATTGGAAGGAGCAATGGTTTTTCACAGTAACCATAGACCAACGTGCCTCAGTCCCTGGAAAAGTGGGCAGCACTTCCATCCCACACTGGGCAGGCCCCCAGGGTGCCCTGAGCCTGTCTCCTTCGGGGATGTGTGCCCAGCACAGTGTGCCCGGTTCCCCTTACTCACTGTACCCTCCCATGCCATGCTCCCATGCTTTGCCCCATGCAAGAGGAGAGCTAATTCCATTCCTGCTCAGTGCCACCTTCCTCACTTTACCAACCACTCAAGTTTTCTGCCAGAAAGTTCAGAAAAGACTCCACATGCCAACACTCTCAAGTGAGCATACACATGACTTTACTCAGATACATGAATGGAGAGCTGTACAATTTCAGGCCCCAGTTAAATAGGGGAAAAAAAGACTAGCGAAGTCCTTCCAAAGAGGCACCGAAATCACATCTGCTTGCTCTGTTGGTAAGCTAGATTCTATCATTAGGACATACAGGCTAAGTGAGGTTCCCCAGCCAGGGTACAGCTTGTCCTCTCTACCTGGGATCCAGGCTGAACCATCTTTACCATCACCAGAGAGCACTGCGAGAAGCTAATACAAGCTAAGGACTCTTCCCAGGAAAATGTATCTCTGGACATACACATTTCATGTCAGTCATGGGAAGTCTGTCTGTGAACCTGAGGTTGCAAGCCTAAGGTTACTGTCCATGGTTATTCTGACCACCTTCTTAGAGAGCCCTGGTCACCATCTAAGGTAGATAATCTAAAAACTTCTTGCTGACTGAGAGCTGCCCAAGTGGCCCCACATAAACCCCAGGAGGGTTCAGGCCAAAGTAGTTCAGCACAAAGGCATCTGGTAGACTCTGGTCTGCTCTTAAACTTTGACTCTATAGCTTGTCTCTGGGGTTTAATTTGATGGGGCAGTTTTCTTCCTGGTAAGAAGGAGCCATTGGGTCTGGCCTGAATGTTACTGGCACTGGAGCTCCTTGGCCTGTTGGTGTGGCAGCCTGTCTCTCTCCTCTGCTCATTGGATGTGTACCAGGCACATCGGAGAGACCACTCGCTGAACAAGGAGAAACAATTAAAGATTATTTTCTCCCATGGTCATGTAACATTAGCTTCTTCTTTGGAGTCCACATTTTTTTAAATTGAGATCATTCAAACTTCATTTCTCAGAATGTAAGGCCCTGCTGACAAACCCTTCTGAACAGCACACTCTGACTTTTAAAATAATGCAATTATTGAGGATACTACTCCCCTCTCTTCTTTCTCCTTATCTCTGCAAAACCTGTTGTCATTCAGTGAAAGCTGGACATACTGCCATTAACACTTCCATGTCATCGTAGGGTTGCTAAACGGCACACAAAGATCAGGAGTGGAAATGGGTGAGGTGGAGCCGAGTTTGGGTCCAGCTGTGTGATTTGGGGGAACTACTCGCGTCTTCAGCCTTGCTGTCTTCACATATAAAGGACAGGTTGACAGCTCTGATCTCTAAGTGCCTGCCAGTCTTCACATTTTAGCCTTATGCAACTCCAGCTAAGTAGGGTTTACCATAGCCCAGTGTCTCTCAAGGTTGTCATTAAGATGTCAAGTTTTCCAGGGGGTAAAATGAAGCGCAGAAGCTGGAGGCTGGAACCAAGAAGACTGACTCACAGCTTTCAGCTTCCATATCAAGTCACCCTCATTCTGAGAG
This sequence comes from Homo sapiens, assembly GCF_000001405.40. NCBI lineage: Eukaryota > Metazoa > Chordata > Mammalia > Primates > Hominidae > Homo > Homo sapiens. The sequence continues at coordinate 26,776,269 of NC_000008.11, read as the reverse complement.
AAACAGTTGAACTAAGGAGGAACCCCCTAATGACCAGTGCTGGATAGGAATTCGAGAACTCAGTTCCTACTCTCACCAACTTTTGAAGCTAACCATAGCACTCACCGGTGTATCAAATTCATGGAGGAGACCAGCATGGGCAGGAAAAAATGGTTTTATCTTGTATTGGAGCCATTGAGGCAAATGTTGCTGTAATTTTATAACTGTAAAAGGTGACTCTAGTCGCCAAGCCTTTACTGGGATGCCTCCTAGTGCCCCCTCATAAGCCTATTAGATGAGCCCCAGTTCAAAAATGAAGTCAGATTTTCCCAATGGATATAGCATTCAGTGGAAAGACATAGAGGCAACATTTTAAATTATTCGTTTCAATTTCTTCTTGGCATCTAGAGGCCTTTACAGTGGAAGTGAGGATTCTGAATCTCCATGAATGAGAATGTTGATGGTGTTTGGCCATAAACTCCTGTTCTATCCACCTCAGTCTGACCGGCGTAAGTTGGTCAGGGTGTCCAGAGGGTCAGGAAAGAGGCAGAAATTCTGCAGCAGACCAAATGGTGGAAAGAAACTCAGTGACAGGAAGAATCCTTAGGCTGTGGGGATTTTCCAAAGCCCAAGAATTAAACCAGGCAAATTCACATGCAAAGGATGGCTTGAGCTGCAGGGCAAGGTGTTCAGGGGATTAAGTCAGGAGCTGTTGGCTCTTCTTGAAGCAGAGATTGTTGAGGAGAAAACCATAGCTACGGTGACCAAAGAAGTAGGAGCCCCTATTCTCATGTGGGTGATTTGGAAGTCTGGCTCTTCCTATGAAGCATCATGAGAAAAACTAGAGGGTCTGATGCCAGATGATAGAGCAAGGAAAAAATGGTAGTAAAATAACATTACAAAAAAACCAAATGACTGAACTGAAATGGTGGGCAAAAAAAAGAAGAATGAGACAGCAGAAAGAAGTCAGGGTTGGGAGATAATATGAGGCTACAGCCATCACGCAGAAAAGAAAACCAAGCCACACTGTGAAGAAGAACCATGGCAAGAACACAGAGACACAGCCATTCATTCATTCAGTCAGTCAGTCCATCCGTCTGTCAGAAGGTCGGCCATTCATGCAGCAAAAACTAGGAGAATGCCTTCAAGACTCTAGCATTTTACTGGATTCTGGAGCTCCGTGAGTGAGCAAAGCCGGCCGGATGGCTGCTCGAATGGACTTCCCCACAGAGTGACTGGGTCAGAGGCACCCACCCCTGAACCAGGCTGGTTCAGCCCTGACCCTCTAGGTCCTGATGGCTGGAGGCCAGGAACAAGCATTCTCCAGCTGTCTTCCCACCCTAAAAACATAGCCAGTCCTCAGGAAGAAAGAGATTTGGGAAGAATGGAGGCTGAGGATAGAACTAATGCAGAGTTCAGAGAAAATAGAACCAGACGGGGAAGGTTTGGGCAGAGAAAGAGAGAGCAGGAGGAGGGTTTGGGGCCATGCAGCTGCTTTCCAAGCCCAATTCCAGCCCCATCTCTCCTTTCTAGGAGAGGAAAAATAAAGGAAGAAATACGTGGATGGGAATAATGTCAATAAGGAGAGGAGCAGTTCTTTTGCTGTCCTTTTTTTTTTTTTTTAGACAGGGGTTCACTCCCGTTGCCCATGCTGGACTGCAGTGGTGCGCATTAGCTCACTACAACTTCTACCTCCCGGGCTCAAGCAATCCTCCTACCTCAGCCTCCTGAGTAACTGGAACTACAGGCACATGCCACCACACCCAGCTAATTTTTGTATTTTTAGTAAAGATGGGGTTTCACCATGTTGCCCAGGCTGGTCTCAAACTCCTGGTGTCAAGTGATCTGCCCACCTTGGCCTCCCAAAGTGCAGTGATTACAGGCGTGAGCCACCATGCCTAGCCCTTTTGCTGTCTTTTCTCACTCTTTGGAAAGTTCTTGAAGGAAGCATAGCTATGAGTCTCTCATCTAACCCCAGCCAGTCAGCAGCTGCTCAAAGAAAATCACATGGCTCCCAGCACCTGTTCCCCATCACAAGGGAAGAATACTCCAAGCATGAGAATGGATCCTGCAACCTGCCCCTGGTGGAACTATCAGTTTGGGAGCATGCAAATCCGTGCTAGGCTTACACACATCTGGCTGCTGTCACACACTTAATAGGATAAACCAAACATTGTCATTTACAGGAAGGTCTCTGGTCTGGAAGCATAAGCCAAAATCTAGAGATTTGCTTGGATTAAAAAGAAAATATTCCTGGGGTTAGGCCTAGAGATTATCTGACATTCAGATCTTAGTGTAAATTAGTTTTAATCAACTCTCTTTCTCACCCTATACCTATACCTGAGCCATGTTGAAGAAATGAGTGTTTTGAGTGGGGTACAGAGAGGGGGAGGCCAGGATTCACCTGTGAAGACTGGAACACAGCAAGAGACTAGAGAGAGGGCCCAAGAGCTTGGCTCTGGGTCAGCCATACCTGGAATTAAGAGCAGGGCCACGCAAGGAAAGAAGGGATGGGAAGGAAGTGACTAAAAGGAAATGTTGAGATTTACGAGTGCAAAACTGGGTTCTGTAAGCAGAATGAGTGTAATTGAAGGAATTATGGGAAATTCCAAGACTCTCAAACCATATTTATTAGCATTCACATTCATAGTGCATATTTTTTTTTCTTTTTTAAAAATTGAAATTCTTCAAATAAGGAAACGACCCTCCCCTCCCTCGCTGATTTACAGAGTAGTGACATTCCCAGACAAGGTGGGTTTCAGTGTGCTCAGCTCAGACATTCTTGTAGTCATTAAGCACAGGCCCAGGCAGGTCTTTGTGAAATGGGTTTCCTTAATCACATCACTGTCACTATTAGTAGGAAATATTGGACAATATATAGGTTTCATAATGTAAGACAAATTTTTTTCTGGAACTGACCGCATTTGCACAAAACCATCAGTCATGTTGGCATTAGCCATTTTTTCCATCACAGATGAGGTTCGAAAAAGCATTTTTCCAATTCAGCTTCCCCCAGCTGCACACTTTATCACTCCCCATCAGCTATCCTCCTAAGAGATGTATTATTGCAGTATATTTGGAGATTCCACAAAGGAGCATGGGCCCTGAAATCAATCACACTGCCTAATTTCAAACCTACCAGTAACTATGTGAGTGACCTCGGTTGAGCTACTCAAACTCATTAAGCCACAGTTTCTTCATTTGTAAAATAGGGAAGAGTCACATAACTCTTCATGTTACTAACGATGATTAAATCATATGGAAAGTGTTCAGCACAGTGCCTTGCCTGTTTCAAATCAGGCATTCAAAGACTGTAAACTTTATTATAATTATAGGACAACATGAAAAGCTTTAGAGCTAAAGAATAAAACTTTCTCACTTTACATGTTTTCCAAATAAACACCCATTGTGTGTGTGTGTGTGTGTGTGTGAATTTGAGACACATGGAACTTAGCAGGGAGTGTGCTTCAGAGGTAATAAATGCTCCCATCAACAACCACACTATTGTGTCTTCTTTGGGTTCTTCAGTATTTAAGTTTACTCTTTGTTTATATTGATGAGCTTTTTGACTTAATTTCAGAGCACTGTTTGCCAGAGTGGATTTTAATAGCACCAGCAATTTGTCACGGCTCTGATAGGTCCACAGAGCAGAGAGGAAAAGAAAGACATAAAATCAAGACCTTAGGTTTGAAACAACAGCAACAAAAAAATTGTTCAGGGCCATTAGGAATCATCCATTCAACATACTCCTTTTTCAGATAAGAAAACTGGAGGCCCAAAGGCATCATAGGAGTTTCCCAAAGCCATTCTACCAACTGTACACGAAGCTGTGACTAAAAGCCCGCGGAGAAGGAAAAGGAGCTTGGGAGCCAAGAAAGAAAAGAAAGGAGGTGGAAGGAAAGTCAAGATGTTATTTTGCAATTTCTCTGAAAGGAGTGAAGAGGGACGTTTGGGATTTCATAATTCATAAAGCTCCTTTAGCAAAAGCCCTTGGAAGTCTGAGAATCAGAGAATAAAGAACATTGGATTGGGAGTCCCATACCCTTTATCCATCACTCTTATCAGTATTGTAGCTATGAGGTTTGTGACAATCTCTTTAATAAGCATTTTTAAGAGTTCAGCTTTTTATTGAACGTGTTATAAAATAGGTTTACTCAAAAAAAAAAAAAAAAAGCCCATATTATCATCAGACTCCAGATTCTTCTTTCTTTGCTTCCACCTTCTTCTTCTCGGCCTAGGCCACAGTGACAGAAGGGCAGGACCTCCCGCAGGTACACCACCAGCTGCTGAGCAGGTCTTCCCACCCCGCCCCTCCACTGCAGAGGAGGCTCCCGAAGTTGACGATGGCCAGGGCCTTGGCAGACAAGCCAGGCCAAAAGCCGTCATCATTTACCCCAGCTGCTTTAGAAACGACATTGACCTTATCCTATGTGATGATCCCCTCAGCGTTATACAGAATGAGGGCTGAGTCAGTGCAGGCGAGCTCTGAGATGGAGTCCGTGGTGTGGACAAGTGCAAGGCTGGGCTGCCCGGAGTAGTGCTAGTGCTGGATGCAGTGAGGGCCTGACCCCAACGCAGCCTCAGCTCAGAAGGGCAGAGCATCTTGGCGGCAGCTGGGAAAAGGCTAAATAAGCATTTTTTAAATTTGTAAATTGAGTAATTGGAGGAGATAATCCTTAAGGTTGTTCCATTTTAAGACTTCACAGTTTTGTTCTTCTGCTGCGAAATGCCCTGTGGCAGTCTCTGCGCAGGATGTGACGGGTCCTGAGGCCTGGTTCCTGCCGTGCACATCAACGGGTAGGGTTTGGGTAGGTAGAGAAGGTGGAAAAGGGCATCAAGGACACAGTGGCCCAACTTGAGAGGACAAAAAAAATGATCAATGACCTGGAGAAAAAGTGTAGTGAGTCTGGCTAGAGAAAAAATAGCAACTAGTCATATTAGAAAGCTGGTTAGACCAGAGGCTGTGGAGGACTCCGAATGTGAAGCAAAGACACACATTTGGGAGACATCGAGGGATATTGACAAAGGGAGCTAACGGTGACATCAAAAGACATCATCTAGGAAAAGTGATTGAGAATCACTGGCCCAACTTTGGCAAGGCCAATATTGTGTAAAGTTGAGATTCTCATCAAAATCCATAATTCTAACATTTGGGAGGGGAGGAATTCATAAACACTGAGGCTGTGTCTGTTGCATAACACTGCATCAGAGAATAAAGGGCATGTTCAGATAACCGAATTTTAATATGGATTACTTGCATGGATTCCAACTTACTTTTCAATTTAGGCAAAACAATTTACATATGTGGACTCAGTCTGAGTTTCACATTTTCATTTGGTAAAACTTCACAGCAGCTGTTGGTCACTGAGAGCCAGTGCAACCCTACCCACTGGGCCTGCTCCTGTAATTAATGACACACGCGGACCAAGTAGGAATGGTCTTTGAAGATATTGCAAAAGGGTGACAGTCATAGGAGCTAGTCAGTCAAATGTGAGAAACTCATATGTGTTTGGGATCATTTTAACCGTTTAAAAATACAGAAAGATGTCTGTTTGATTGTTTTCCTAGCCAATTGGCTTGCTGGCTTTCAAATAATATGTATAAATCTGTGTGTTTTCTTCCAGGGTCTTTCTTCCCTGATTTCAAGCCCTCTGAAACAGTTTTTAAAATAGTATTTTGGCTCGGATATCTAAACAGCTGCATCAACCCCATCATATACCCATGCTCCAGCCAAGAGTTCAAAAAGGCCTTTCAGAATGTCTTGAGAATCCAGTGTCTCTGCAGAAAGCAGTCTTCCAAACATGCCCTGGGCTACACCCTGCACCCGCCCAGCCAGGCCGTGGAAGGGCAACACAAGGACATGGTGCGCATCCCCGTGGGATCAAGAGAGACCTTCTACAGGATCTCCAAGACGGATGGCGTTTGTGAATGGAAATTTTTCTCTTCCATGCCCCGTGGATCTGCCAGGATTACAGTGTCCAAAGACCAATCCTCCTGTACCACAGCCCGGGTGAGAAGTAAAAGCTTTTTGCAGGTCTGCTGCTGTGTAGGGCCCTCAACCCCCAGCCTTGACAAGAACCATCAAGTTCCAACCATTAAGGTCCACACCATCTCCCTCAGTGAGAACGGGGAGGAAGTCTAGGACAGGAAAGATGCAGAGGAAAGGGGAATAATCTTAGGTACCCACCCCACTTCCTTCTCGGAAGGCCAGCTCTTCTTGGAGGACAAGACAGGACCAATCAAAGAGGGGACCTGCTGGGAATGGGGTGGGTGGTAGACCCAACTCATCAGGCAGCGGGTAGGGCACAGGGAAGAGGGAGGGTGTCTCACAACCAACCAGTTCAGAATGATACGGAACAGCATTTCCCTGCAGCTAATGCTTTCTTGGTCACTCTGTGCCCACTTCAACGAAAACCACCATGGGAAACAGAATTTCATGCACAATCCAAAAGACTATAAATATAGGATTATGATTTCATCATGAATATTTTGAGCACACACTCTAAGTTTGGAGCTATTTCTTGATGGAAGTGAGGGGATTTTATTTTCAGGCTCAACCTACTGACAGCCACATTTGACATTTATGGGGAGAGGGCCTAGAGAGGAAGAGCATTAAGATGGTGGCCGAGATCCAGACACATTATTTTTAGAGCAAGTCCTGAAACTCCACCCTTTCTGATACATCCAATTTCTCAGCTTGAGGGAAACTTGGCAGTGAGGTTTACCTTTGACTGCACTTTGAATGGATGCTGCTCCTCATTTCCCAAAGATGAGAGTGAGGGGCACTCATGATGTCTTGGAATGTAGTGTTCTCTATCCTTGGGTCAGGAGAGGGTTGAAAGAACCAACCAGGGTGGTATGGCTTTTCCCAAGAGAAAACAATAGACCTGAGCATCATTCTTTCAATTTAACTACTAGAGAGAAAATCCATTAAACAGTTCCAAGATCAGATGATGATAGGCTTTCTCTCTAATATCTTTAAAGAGCAAGAGGTTGGTGTGGCTGTTAATTTCTTGCAAAGATAGAGGCTGTTCACTTACTGCACAGCCATTTCAACATGGCTTACAAAAGCCTTTCTTGACAAATCACTTACCTGTTCCAGAACTCTGTTATGAAAATCCAGAGCTTATAATATTTTGAAAGGCAAAAGATTGTCTCCCATTACTTCTTATCTGCTTCACTATTGCATAATGAATGAGCTTCACCTGTGGCATGTTGGAATGAGCCTTATGATCCAAGTACATTATTCCCGAACTTTGAAAAATACTAATGCTTAGCTTCAGACAATACTGATGGATCACCAAAGAACTGTCTAACGCAGGAGTTTGCAAACATTTTTTGATAGAAGGCCATTTGTTCTGGTAAAAGATCCAGTAGTCAACTCAACTTCATCTATTCCTACTTTTCTGCAAGAGCTTGGGGAACATGCTATATTTTGCTTTATGTATACCAAATTTTGGTAAACCATAATAACTCAGTACAGAACTTGTGTATCTCTTTTCTGAAATGCCTGGAACCAGAAGTGTTTCAGATTACAGATTTTTTCAAATTTTGAAATACTTGCATATACATAATCAAATATCTCTGGGATGGGACCCAAGTCTAAACACAAAATTCATTTATGTTTCATATACACCTCATATGCATAGCCTGAGGGTAATTTTATACAATATTTTTAATTGACTGTTTTTGACTGCAACCCATAGACATGAGGTCAGGTGTGGAATTCCCCACCTGTGGCGTCATGTCGGTGCTCAAACAATCTCGGATCTTAGAGCATTTCGGATTTCAGATTTTCGGATTAGGGCTGCTCAAGCTATAGATTACTAAGGATGAAGATGGTAACTATAAGTAAAAATTAAAATATGGCTGTCTTTTCACAATAAGGATTTAAAATAGAATTTAAGTTTTTGGAATAATTCTCGACAACAATCAGTGGTCTAAAACTAAAGACCATTTGCCTGGCCTCTTTCCTCTATTAGGGTAATTTCCTCTAACAAATTCAAAGCAGCTGTAACCTTCACAGCAAGAGTAGCGGCCTCAACATCTTTTTCTTCTTCTCTTGCAGCAAAATGATAATTTCCTTAAATTCTTCTTAAAACCAAATCTCTTTCCACATTGCAATGGAGGGTATGTTTGCATGTGGATTTGGGTTTTGTTATAGGTTGTATTTAGACCTGGAGTGTGACTGTTTTTTCAGCCTTTTTCTGAAGAGTGTCTTCTTACTGGCCAGATACATATTCAGCCTTGTGTTCAGAACTTGGATTCTGGCACTGAGATGTTGGCCGGATTTTTAGACTCTTCTGTTCTCTCTCTGTGTCCCATAAGAGCTCTGCCAGATGTGAATGTCCTATTATAGAGGCAGGCATCTATGAAGAACTTGAATATGCAAACCCTTGCTTCTCTTTGGCCTTGATAGGAAAGATCAGTTTCATTGTTGACAAGAGCTTGGTCCAGGATCTGAATAAGAAAATCACTTGCCCCACTCCCCCTTACAGGAAGAGCGTCCCAACAGGAAGAATGATTATCGTTTTTCTTCAACAAATTATGGTTCCATGTTTGAGATGATCCTTTAAACACCTTTACAGACATATTAAATTTTAGATACGGGAAAGCTTAGAAATACAGGAAATCTGGCCCTAATGCCACATCTAATCAAAATAAACAACTAGAGAATCTTTCAGTCAACGGATTAAAACCATGACAATTGTATCCATGTAAAACTATCCGTAAATAATTTTCTGCTACACTCTTCTCCAGCCCCCTCTCTCCAGGGAGGTAAACTTTTAACATTTTTTTCCTTTCCCATAGCATGATACACCAAATTTACAAGAAATTGATAACGTCACCCAAAACTTAGTCAAAGTGGGGTAAAGAATATATGAGTTGAATTACTTTTCGCTCATTCCCCCTAAATCTCTGTACCTTTAAGCATGCCAAAAAATATCTAAAATTGTTGCAGTTTAGCAAATGATTGTCATATTTATACTCACATGTTTACTGCTTCTATTTGGAGTTTGAGGAATTTACCCAGAGTAACGATGTCTTCTCTAATGTGTTATAAAAAGTAGTTGCTTTGGGATTGTCTAAACATCACAAAAATCAACGTGACATTATGGGATAGGGCAAGTTTGAGTTTATTCTGACATTATGGGACAGGGAAAATTTGAGTTTATTCTGCAACTCAAACTGCATGCATTATGAGAGACCCTGAATCTCATTATTCAAAAATTTCCCCAGATTATGTCAAGGATTTCAGAAAAGCATTTTACTCATCAGTTTTCTTTCCTTTGCCTCTCTCATGTCTTATCCAAGAGGGTTTCTGCTTGTCGTCACATAGCATATCTAACACTCTCCAAAATATTCAAAAATAAATATTCCATGGTAGACAGTAGTGTTTGGGTAAATAAATATTCTCTTAAGATTTTTGTTAGGTCCTACAGTGTGCCAGGCATCTTCAGGGAATTTTGCACCCATTGCCTCTAAACTCCTTGGAAACTCTGCTACCCCTATTTTACAGATAAAAATCTGATCATTGTAAGAGGTTAAGGACTTGCCCAAGGCCAAGGGGAACCATGATTTAAACCTGGGTCTCCCTATTCTCAACCTGCACATTTTCCATAGCCCCCCTTCCTCAAGAGAATGGGGGTAAACGTTTTCCCATTTGGATTAGGTGTGCTGAGGATGCCAAGCCATATCCAAACTTTTTAATGTTCTGTTTCCTTGAGATTTGCCTCCAAATTAACCATGGCAAACATGCTGCCAAATCTCCAGCCCAGTCAAACCCAAGAGCAGGGCATCTGTGGAAGAATTTGGTGTCTGCACTTCTATCAGACTGCATCACATTTTTAGGAGTTAATGGCCTGGAATGTGATTAAGGCCTTGCAAGGAGGACATACTATGGCACGCTGGGGGAAGATGGGCATAGAAGAGTATGCAGAAGGGGCCACATTGGCCAAGAACAGTAAAATGCAGTTGCTGACAGGACACATATCGGGTGTTGTATTGAAGTTATTGATGACCAACCACAGTTCATAGAAACACTTTTGGGAAGTACATCCCTTTTAAAAATAAATGAAAGCAAATACGACATAACTCACTCTCACTCACCTGTATTCCAACTTTTTTTTTGTTTGGACAGAGGGGAATGGATTGTAGATATTTCACCAAGAATTGCAGAGAGCATATCAAGCATGTGAATTTTATGATGCCACCGTGGAGAAAGGGTTCAGAATGCTGATCTCCAGGTAGCTGGAGACCTAGGCAGTCTGCAAATGAGGAGTCAGCTGGAAGCTATGGCTATGTATTATGTGACATCGCTTGTTCCTAAGTGAAAACTGGATATCCCAACCTTCTGGCCCAGTAGGTTTCATGGTTAAGACCTGGTAGTGAGAACATTTTAGGAACTATTTGCTTGGGCAGGCAATTTTTCACTCTGATCACAGCTACTTAATCAGAGCTTGACAAACTTTCTCAATTGCTTCTGGGGCTGGTCTGCTCAGGTCCTTTGGCCAAAAAAGATGCTGCCTCTGTGTGTGAATACTTGTTGACTTAATTAAAGAAAGAGCTCTGCTCATTAGCAAAGGGCACTGAAGCAGATGGGAGGTAAACTCTCCAAGGAAAAACCAAGTGAAAAGAAAGCAGAGGAGGCAAATATGGAGACATCAGAGGTATGCCTACCAGTTACTCTGATTTTTTTACACTACTAGGACTTTTAACTATGAAACCACCTGCGCACAGCTCCAGTGGAGCCCAGTTGGAACACTGTTTGCACCTGCCCCGTATCTGCAGACTGTGCTGGGGAGCTGGGCTGAGCCAGGCTGCTGTGGTGCCAACCATCTTCAGAAAGCAATGGCAGCTGTGGCCTCCTGGCCCTCCAGAACCCCTGGGAGCAGAATGAGTGGAGATGATCACTGTGGGGCTAGGCTGACAAAAGCAAGTTAGAATTTCAGTGGAGGACACCAGCCCTGCTCCCATCAGCATTAGCTCATTCACGCTCCCCAGACCCAAATGTGGAGGAGGGGTTGAGAATTGGCCTTATCTGCTCTATTCAGGAAATTGTCATTTCTGCTTTGCTGCTGCAACATGGATTACTGGTTCTCCCACCTAAAAGGAAGGTTGTGGGGTTTGGGGTTAGAGGGGTTTAGGAGCAGGAAGATTTACCATAGACGTCGCTTAAAGCAGGATGGTTGAGTCATGGCTTGCTGCAACTGATAAGCAAGGAACTGCCCTAAAGATTGTGGCTTATTCATTTCAAAAGACAAAATAATTGCCTTTCCTTTTCGTGTGGCTCAGGAGTTATTACTTTACTTTTTCTCTCTCTGTATCATATTCAGTGCAGCCACGTTATAAACTGGAAATGATTATTACTAAACTATAAAAACTACAGACTTAATTAGGCAGAAAATCTAAGAGCAAATGTACACTGTATTTTGAGAAAAAAATGACGGCACTGGCTTCTTCAAAAGCCGGATCCTGTAGGTGCATTCAAACGCAGTAGAGAGAAAGCTAAGACAGAAAAATCCCAACTTGAGTTTAATATTTCTGTCCGTTTATATAGCACTTTATGTTTGTCAAAGTAATTGTGCCTATCTTAAGTCATCCCTGTGCAGTAGAAGGAGAAGGAAGAGATTATTACCTACACTTTAGCATATAAAGAAAAGAGGAGGTGGGAGATTTAAGGGTTTCTTTGAATATCCCCAAATCCAGCCTCCGACTCCTTTTTCCATGACACCTCCATGTTTCCCAGGTCCACTGTGTTTCTCGACACTCTTGACGTTCATATCTCACTCATTTGTCCCTGACCTATAATTCCAGCTCTATTGGCACTTTCTCTCCTGCCTTATCTCTGCCATGGCTGGGCAGCATGTCACTGTTCTAGGGGCCGAGGGCAAATTTGTCTATGCTTCTGTCATTGACTGACAGACAAGCACATGTGATTCTGTTGTTTCTCCCTAGATGGCAGCAGCAGAGCCAAGGAAATAGGCAGGGCAGGAGGCTCTTGGTTTGCTCCACAGGGTGACATGTAAGGCAGTGATTGCCACCTTAATGTCCTCAGGAACGTAGAGGTCCCAAAGGGAGTTTGGGAAATAATTCTTTTCCCGGTCAGCCTGTGGGTCATTGCATACCCACTGGTCATCAGCAGCAGCAAACAACCTCTCCTGCACCCCGCCCTGCACTTGGCATGAAAAACACAGAGAGGCACAGAGAGTCCCCAGCTTACAAGCTGGATAGAGTTCAAGTTCATCTGTTTCAAAGTCAAGAATGCATTTTTCCAAGAGGCATTGTTATAAATGGGGGAGGGGGAGGATGTTCCCAGATTAACCAAAAAATAAAAATCTATTTAATGTATATTAGGAGTTTGCAAACCTTTTCTGTATGTGACTAGATAGTAAATATTTTAGGCATTGTGGGGTCATACAGTCTCTATCACACATTCTTATCTGTTTTGACTTTTTGCAGGGAGGGGGACAACCCTCTAAAATGTAAAAACCCTTCTTCTCTCAAACAAAACAAAACAAACAAAAAAACAGGCTGCAGGCCGGAGTGAGCTCATGGGCCGTAATTTGCCGTCATGATCTATGCCGTTACTAGCTAACAGTGTAGTACAGATGATGCTAAACAATAGGTTTCGGTGTTCCACATACAAATATTTTTTTCATATGCCATTGACACAACTCCACTTGGCTAACCTGCATGAGTCATTGGATAAAGTGGCAAGTCCATATTCAAAGTGGCCCCACTCCATGAATTGTTGTGACCTTCCAAGCAGGTATCAGGATAAGAGGTGAGCATCCGCCACCCCCACTGCTGTCATCTGTAGAGCAGAAAGGTCCACTGGGGCCCAGGTAGCCTCAATATCATTCAGCTCCTCACCTCATCAGGGAAACCCCCACAGCACAATCTGGCTGACCCTAAGAGTAGCAACAATAAATACACACCTCCTGACCAAGGCCAACCTGAAATTTCTCCCAGACCCTTGGGACCTGCCCAAGTGGAAGTCCCCAGAGGACCCCAAGAGAATTTCAGGGCCACACTTGGCTCCTTGGGAAGGCCTCCTGGACATGGCACCCCACACCAGGGCATTTGAGGGCCTGCCTGGAGCTCACCAAGGAGAGCCATGGGGTTCAGAAAGCATGCTGGGTATGAGGGGCATTTCCAAATGACAGATAGGATGCAGAATTTCTCTCCTCCTTTTTCTCTTCTTCCTCCTCCTCCTCCTCCTCTACTTCTTCCTTCTTTTCTTATTTTTCCTTTTCCTTTGACTAACTGGAATAGAAATGATATTACTATGGGGAAGCATATTTAGCCCTCCCCTAAGAATACCAGATTCATGTTTCCCTGAGCTGACACACTTGTTGGAGGGACCTCTTGTTCCTTCCTCTCTCCAGTCCTGATGGGCAACGAGGAAGAGAAAGACTCTCCCAATCAGAAATAAGGTGCAGTTCCTGCAGCCGAGGGCACGGTGTTCACAGTGTTGAGAGAGGAGGCTCCACAGCAGAGCTCTGAGATGGGGCGTGGATGGTGGTGGGTGCAGAACTGATATGGAAGAACCTGGAAATACTGAGGCCATTAAGTAATCTGTGACCTTTGGCTGATGCTTCATGGCAGCTTTCCCTCCCTTCCCTTCTTCGTCCCCTGTTTGGTCTTGGTCCTGTGCCCTTTCATCTTTCCCATCTCCTTTCTTGATCCCATCCTCTCCATTATTCCACTCTCCCCTTCTTGCTAAACTTACAAACAGTGAAAGAAGCTGGGGTGGGTGCCCTTGCTCCAGAGGGTGCCATTTCCCATGGAATCCATGCTCCATGCATAGCTCTGAGTGATGAGATGGGGCTGCTCTCAGCAACTCCATCCTCTTCCCAGGTCAGCCTGATTCTGTGAGCTCCAGGCCCACAGCTTCCAGAGAGCCCAGGGCAGGAGACAGTGCCAGGAGGATGAGGACATTCTGAAGGCCCCCAATGACTTTTACCCTCTGCTTGCAGTGCTGCCTTCCTGTTCTTACACAATTACTTCCAAGTGAAAGGTACAAACAACGTGCAGCCACATTTTGGAAAAGAGCTGGTGGTCAGAGTGGGTGGCTGCAGTATTTCTATGAGCCTCCCTGGTGTGCACCTCTTACCACTCTCTGATGGTTCGAAAGTCTCTACTGAGCCCAGCAAAGTAACCTTCTCTTTCTCTTCTTCTGCATCTTCTGTCTCTTTCCTTTATTGTTCCTTTCTTTTTGACTTTCCCCCTTAGGAGTGCCTGAGGGTCTTCAAGGCCTTGATTAATCCCATAAAGTAAACCTGGTTTTATGTTAGCATTGAGCAATGCTTAACCCATCGGAATGTATACCCTAAGCAAAACTGTCAACCAGGCAAAGGGTGTTCTTTCTCTTCTGGCGCTCTGCTCTTCGTCCCTGTCCCCAGCAGCCCATCTGCTACTGGAACTTGTTCACAGAGTCCTTCTGCCAACTTATCATATTCTTGTTCCAGGAACTTTTCTGCTTTAAGTAAAGGATCTTCTCCCAACGAGTATGCTCCTGCATTTGCAGATACAGCACAGCTCCATGCATTTGTAGCCCTGCCATATTAGTGTCCTAGCCAATCATAACAAATGGGGTGGCTTCAAAAAGAGAAATGCATTGCCTCACCATTCTGGAGGTTGGAAAATCCAAGATTAAGGCGTTGGCTGGTTGTTTCCTGTGAGGTATCTCTCCTTGACTTGTAGATAGATATCTTCTCCCTGTGTCTTCACTTGGTCTTTCCTCTGCATTTCTCTGTCCCAATTTCTTCTTCTTATAAGGACACCGGTTTTATTGGATTTGGGTCCACCCTCATCACCTTATTTAACCACACCATGCCTTAAAAGGCACTATCGCCGAATACAGTCACATTCTGAGGTCCTGGGGACTTCAACATAGGAATCTGTAGGAGACTCATTTGAGCCCACAAGGACTCCCTCCTCACTCTCTCATTTCTGCCCATACAAAATGTTATCCATAATTCTTTTCCCAGATTAGAAGTTTAAATTCAGCCATTTCTGATCATCCCAATTTCTCTCCAAGTTCTTACAGCAATTGTCTGTAGAATGTATTTGGCAACTAATTCTGTACTCTGTTGTAATTTTTCTGTTGTTTTTTAAAGTTTATATCTATTTAAAGTATTTTAAAGGGTACCTTGTATATACTGTACTTATATAAGTTCTGTCTTCTCAACTAGAGGAGAACTCCTGGATGGCAGCAATGGTCTGTCACTTAGCATGCCCATGACAGTACTCCAGCCCCTAAGCAGGCATGGAGAGAGGGGTGCACAGCAGAACAAGTAATAAGATCCAACCACTAGTTACAGATAGCAGCTGGGAGGCCAGTCCCCAGGGACCTGGAAACATCAGAAGATCCACCCAGAAAGGCTCAAGTTGATGACCCTGAGGATTCTAAGGGACAGTAAGATCCCAGTTAGGTGTGCAGAGCACAGCAGTGGGGAACCCCAGGTCAGCAGTGGGGAATCACAGCCATCTCGAGTCAGGTGGGCATATGCTTACCCAGAGACATTTGCACCTGAGGAAGCAGAGCCCCATCATTAAATAGGACAGACCCTAGACTCCGAGAGGAGGGTGAGGCAGAACAAGATGGGATAAGAACCAACAGCAGAGCCCAATCTTGGGAACTGGGGCATTGAGGACCACATGAGAGCCCTGTGATCACCCTGGGGCACCCGTGCCAGTGATAGGTGGGTTAAGGGTATGTCAGTGCTGTCTGCCCTGTATCATGACTGGCTTGAAAAATGGGTGCCAAGGAGCCTCATGTAGTTTTCCTCTACTCTTCTCATAGTCTAAGAAAGACAGAAAAGAGGAAAGGAAGCTGCACTGTTTGGATTTGATATGAGGATGTAGACAGCCAGGCCCTGCTAAAAGCTCTCTTAATTTCGACCTTCTGAAGACCACCTCCCACTCTTAAAGCCTAAGCCTTCATGAGCACAATGAGACGGTCCTGCTGCCCTGCCACCCACTCTGCCTGGTCTCAGGGCATCCTGGCCTGCACACCTTGTGCCTCTTGAAAAATCCCATGCCATTTCCACTTAATCACCCAACCCAAGACCCTTGTATTGCCTCACAGTGTTCCCTGACAGACACAGAGTGATATATTCTCTTCTGTCCTGGTTCCTGCTGAGAAGCGAGGAGCATTTATCCTCATTTGGAAGAATCAGGACTGTTCTAACTGCATAGTACCTACTGTTGTGTTTTCTGGGCAAGACACCATGCCGCTGTGGCCTCCTATCCACCTCCTTCCTCCCTGGGGACTCTCAGGTTGCAAGTATATCTGGTTCCACAATATCAATCACATCAGAACACCCTTGCTATCTAGAGTCACGTGATGCACCAGCTTCAGTCCAATCTAGAAATGACAGGGGGAAAATCACATCAAAAGGCAAAGCCTACAAAAGTATTCTGTCTTTTCAAGCCCAAAAGCCATCCAAAACCAAGTTCGAATAAGTGTAGCAATGGCTTATTGATTTATCTTTAAAAATTGCGTTTCTTCTCCTCCCTTGTCTTCATCCCTGTTGCTAAATGCAGCCTTATCTTTCTTAAGGAAAAGAGTTCGGCTAACTGAAGTCTCAAGGGATGGGAGGGCTGTGGCCCATTAATCAAAAGCTGAGCATCGGGCAGAGTACTTCGTGCCCCACAGTGCCTCCCCGAGTCAGTCCTGGAGTCATAACAGAGGTGACAGTGGTTGTAAAGAGCAGAGAAGGAGGAGACCTTGATGAATGTGGTGCTGAATGACAGCTTGAATCTACAAATAAGGATGCCCAAATTCAATCCGACAAGTAGGAAGGCTATTAAAAAGTACTTCTGTGAAGTATTTTGAAGATCAAAGCAAGCATTACAAATATTTAAATAACAATCCATTGCTAGTTTTCTACATACTTTAAAAAAAAAGAGTCATACTTTTATTGGGAAGTAATTGAATAAAAACTGAGGTCCCTTGCTTGCTTTCATCTCCATTCCCAGCAGCTTATCTGGCCCCGTCTTCCTCTTCTGAATACCATATGCAACCCTGATACCTAAACTTCAACAAGTGAGAGCTGACATTTGTGCAACAGAAATTCTGCCTCAGTATTTAAAGCTGAATCAAAAACACATGCTTTCTTCATCAGATGTGAGAGAAAACAAACTATTTTTATCTCTGGGTATAACAAGTCACAAGCAATTCACTCTCCAGTATTAACACAGAAACTTAATCCAATATTCCTGACAACGAAATCATTTTGCTGCCTATAATGCATCCATGATGATTTACAAAGATAAAGTTTAAATAGTAAAAATTGTATTTTCAGAGTATCCACTACATGCCAAGTTTTTGCACATGATATGGTAAGGTATGAGATTTCATAGTCACATTACAAAAAAAAATTTTCCCAGAGAATAAATACAACATTATGGGTATGAGAAGAGGCAAGTAAGTCAAGTCTGCAGGGAGTTTTGAAAAAGAGAAATACTGGAAAGAGCTGCGCTCTCTTGTGTGTTCTCCTGGTGTTCTCCTGTGCTCACCTCTTAGCTTGCTAAACGTGACCTTCCCAACTCCACCCCAATGCCCATGCTAGGAAGGGCACTGGAAGGACCTGGAAAATGGTGTTGAGAGAAGACCGATGATGGACTGGGAACCACGGGCCTGGGCTTCATTGCAGTTCCCATCTCTGTACCTATTTAAGTGGCCCTGAACAAATCACGTGACCTCTCTTGAGCCATTTTCCTCACCTGTGAAATGGGATTAGCAGATACAATTGTGTACATGAAATGCCTTATGAGGTGATAAAGCTATAAAATCATAGTAGGCCCCCTATAAATGCTAGCACTCTATTCCCATCTTCATTTCCCCTCTCAAATGCCATCTGAATAAGACACAACTAAAAATTAGATCACCTTTAAAGTATCTTCAAGCACTGAAAGTGCCATGTGCAGGAAGAGAGAAAATAAGTCCTTCACTTTCCTTTGCTCTTTATCTCACTTCAGGTTTACATTTCCAGGAGCTGGTCATCCCCACCTGAAGACATTCATTTCTCTGTAATTAGAAAGCAGGTCACAAACTACCTGCTGCACCGCGGCTCAGGTCCTGTCATTCCTACATTCAAGGTGCTAGGCACTAAATCCCAACTCTCAGTTATTCCCCACACCACACTATTTTCTTTGGGTTGGAAATATCCCCACCTGGAAAATTTGTCTTAGCTTTTAAAAATCAGGCAAACTACACTACTTTGAAGATTTCCACCAAGCTCTCTGAATTGTAGACAGCCCAGAACAAGAGTATCCAAGGCTGGCGTTTGTCATCTTCCTCACATTGGCTACTTACTTAGCAATAGAAAGTATATTAAGTTATCATAGTTGTCCTATGAAAGATGCTACATAAAATGCAGTCATTATAGAAAAGGTGTGAGTGTCTGCCTGTGTGTGTGCGTGTGCTTATATAAATGATGTTATGGGAAAGAGAAGTAGTTTTGACCACTGGAAGACAGTACAGCATTTGAAGCAAAACTAAGATGTAACATCATCTAAGGAAATATGGGATGAACACCTCTTGGCGTGGGCAACTACTGGAAGTAAATGTTTACAAGCCAAAACCACAAATTCCCAATCATGAACAGAGGTCGTTTTGACTTCACTGCAAATTGAAGATCACCATAATACCCCCAAAGCCTGGCTTTCACATCATACAAAGGTCACACCTCATGCTACATTGAAGCATATGAAAGAGTGTCTGCTTGTGTTACAAACCTGATGGAGCAGAGGTGGGGGGTGGGGGAAATGGAAGCAAAAGGGACAGACTTGAAGCTGTACTTCCAGACTCTCATGGAAGCTCCAGGTCACAATCTTAGTTCTAATTTCAGGTTCTGCCAGTCGAGTCTAGACATTTCTGGGGCACCCTTTAAGTGGTCTCCAGCAGCCTTCTAGGCAGGTGGCTTCACAGGGAAGTCCACACTGCAAGCTCAGCTCACCACGACTCAGGCTGACGGGGTAGTCAGCCATGCTCGGAGGCTGAATTTGGCAGGGACTTGCTGCCATCTCCCTGCCAAATGGTCTCTCGTGACTCAGAATCTCAAACTTGTTTTAAAGAGAGGAAAAAAAGTCACTTTCGGGGATGAGGTTCTTGGCCCAACTCTGCTTTATATAAACACAGTCTATGGCTATTTCAGTCTTCTGGATTTTGAGAAGCAGCTGCAAGGATGAACGGATTGGTGTTGGCCCAAATTAAAAAGAAGAGTATTCAGTTCTTTCAGTGTTTGGAGAAAGAAGACCAAAAGCATCATCTCACAGGGAGCAGAATGTGACCAGCCTGGCTAATGAGGAAATGAGAGGGATCCTCAACTTGAGAACCCGCTCTACTGAAGTCTGAACTTGGAAAAATGGACACATTGGGTTTGGAGTAAGAATTCTTACTCTACAAAAGGATAAAATTGTGATCACATTGATGCATGATGCCTAGGATATTAAAAATGCATGATTAATTAAATGTTAGTCTACCTTGTGTTTTAAAGGGACACACACCCATGACATGAAGCCAGCTTCCCGTCCACGACTGTTGTCCTTACTGCCCAAGGAAGGGGAGCATGAAACCCACCACTGGTCCTGCGACCCACTGTCTTTGGAATCCACCCCAGGAGCCCAGGAGCCTTGCCTGACACTTGGATTTACTTCTTTATCAAGCATCCATCTGACTAAGGCACAAATCCAACATGTTACTGTTACTGATACAGGAAAAACAGTAACTTAAGGAATGATCATGAATGCAAAGGGAAAGAGGAAAAGAGCCTTCAGGGACAAATAGCTCGATTTTTTGTAAATCAGTTTCATACAACCTCCCTCCCCCATTTCATTCTTAAAAGTTAATTGAGAATCATCAGCCACGTGTAGGGTGTGAGGAATTCCATAAGGCACCCCAGTTTCTTCAATAAGTAAATGGCATTTTTAAAAGGGGAACTTTTATGGGTTAAAATATTCTTAAGAGATGTATTCATCAAGTATACTGTACAAGCCTTGTTCATTTAGATTGAAACAAAGTGTAAAAAGACATTTTTGAAGTAATTGGAGAAAATTAAGCATAGGCTGTGTCCTATTAGATGTTAGATAATTAGATCGTTATTTTAAATTTTGTTGGATGTGATAATGGCATTGTCCTTAACTGGTAAGTGCATATCGAAGTATGTTTGCAATTTGCTTTAAAGTTTTATTGCCAAAAGTGGGGAAGCAAGTGTGATAGATGAAATAAGAATGGCAGGCAAGGCCACATGCCGTTCTTCCATGTTTGTGCATGTTTGAAATTTTTCAGAATAAAATATTTTAAAAGAAAAAAAAAGTTAGGCACATTTAACTTGTAAAAGTTAGTGTCCCTCAAATTCTAGAACATTCATAGACATGAAAATCACCCTGCAAAACAAAATCCCCTTCGTTCAAAGAGAGCTGCTCTTGCAGTCTCTGCTCTCTCATTTCTTTATTCACTCTATAATATTCAGTGTGGGGTTACTGTGCTCCAGCGCCAAGTCCAGGGGGTGGAGAATAACAAGGGCAGAGACATAGTCCTTGCCCTCCAAGCACCTGTGATGGTAATACAGTGCCATGGGAGCTTGGTGAAGGGCCTCAGCCGGCTGCAGAGTTAGGCTTATCAAAAGTGGTGATCTCTACGGTGAATCCTGGAGGACACAATGGGGTGGGGAACAGAAACAGTTGTTCCAGGCAAAGAAGGGAGGAATCTGTGCCAAGGCCCAGGGGCTGGTGAACCTCAGGCGTGTGCTGGGGGTGCTGCCTCCTCCCAAATGTCGGGGCACAGGGAAGTCAGTCTCGCTTATCATGGTGGCCACTTGGCTCTACAAACCCCCATTGCCCAAGTCCCCACAGGCAAACCACACAACTGCTCTTCTTCTCACTCTTTTTTTTAAGCCAAGAAAGAACTCACTGAAACAGCCAGTCAGTCAGGGATGAGTCCAAGGCTTTCCTGACAGAGTGACCATGTTTGGCTTGGCTGAAAATCACAAAGCCTTGGTTTCCCAGTTGCGTGATTCTCTTTGTTCTCAAGGCTTAGTGCAGCATTACAGTGGGATGGCTAAACAGAGAAAAAAAAAAAAAGGAGGTCTATTTCTTTCTCTTCATACAAATAAATATTTGCCCAAGAATGGAAGTGCTTAATTCTTAAGAATAACCAAATGCTTTGGACTTCTTAACAAGCAAATCATATACAAAGCAATTCAGTGTTCCTACTAATTGAGAAATTGTTTTTAGCAAGAAGATGTTATGCAGCATGTTTTTAAAAAACAAGTTTTTCCAACAACAACAACAACAACAAAAAGAAAAAACAGAAAATAACTGAATCACTATAATATCCCCAAAGGCTGGCTTTCACACCATCCAAGGGTCACAGCTCACGCTACATTGAAGCGTATGAAAGAGTGTCTGCTTGTGTTACAAACCTGATGGAGCAGAGGTGGGGCAGGGGGGAAATGAAAGCAAAAGGGACAGACTTGAAGCTGCACTTTTGCAATCAACTAACAGTTAGGAAGGACTTGACTTGCTGGGGCTAAGGAAAACAAATCTGGAGGTTCATTTTGCCTGTGAAATTAAAATTATACTTTAGTAAATAAAGCTGACGCCATTTAACCATGAACCCGGTGACATTTCCTGGCTTGCTGCAGCGTTTCTGCTTGTCTCCTTGTTACATTTGTTTAAAATACAAACACAGCATTTCCATGTTGCCAGAGAAGCAAATGTGGGCTGACTGGCTGATTTTAGCTGCTATGGTTTTTCTGTAACCTTTAACAATTGTTGTGACAAATAAGATTCCATGTAAGGTGCAATTTCTAACTGTGCAGTGTTTGTGAACCACATCCACCTTCTCCAGGTTTGGTATTTGGTCGACTAAGTTGACGATGTCATTACCTTTCCTTCCATTTAAAAAAAAAAGTTAATCTGAATCGTGCTGAGAGTTTGGTATGCACGCTATACTATTCAAGGGAGCATTCTCTTCTGTGTCAGAATAATATATTTATGTGTGTGAATCATTATACTTGAATTTGTGGCAACATTTTGTATCAATGAATATATATGACACCCAGGCTGACTACAATGGCTTCAAAGAGTTTAATTTCTCTTAAATGGACTCAGTATCCTTGGAATGTGCTGTTTAAGTGTTTCTGAATTTTCTACACGCCATTTTTACAGGTCCATCTGTTTATGATGTGATGAGATAAACAATCACGTTGATTTTATGTTTCTTTTCAAAGAAAATGAATGTATATAGTACTAAGCAGATGAATAAATTATTGAAAAAATATACTTCATGGATCATGCCCACTGATAAAAATGAATTTATTTTATTTGTTGAACAAACTGACTGTTCAAATTATAAGAATTTATATTGTCCTTATTAATATGAATGCCATCTATTTAAGTGTTGTTCAATATTGATATGTGTTCTCTAATAAAATATTTTAAACCTCTTTCTTTAAACACATAACACCCTAGTTTTTCAATCATGGTGTGTTGTTAATGTCTCTTGAGAAATGGAGTGGGTAGTGCAAAGAAAATTGGTGTCTTCAGCGGGCTAAATGAGGTAGATTGTAATAGTTTGCAAAGTGTCTTTTGCTTTTTGGATGAATAGGTATTAAGATTTATTTTAAGACTGTCTTCATTTATCCGTTTGTAAGTAGCATTTTTTTGTGATAGAAATAACTCATTCATTATAGAAAATGTAGGAAATAAGTAAATAAGTATAGGAAGAGCAAAATATAAGGTGCCTTTAAGTTTACCTTCCAAAGACAACACTTTATTATTTTCTTCAAGAATCTCATTTTTATATCCTCACTTTAAAAAAAAATAGAAAGTATACTGCAAAACAAATAACAATAAATAGGGTAGATTGGACATAGGGTGTACAGGGGCCGCATTCAAGATACGGGCAAGGACCAGAATACACCTGGATCATCAGGTTTAGAGGCAGGTAGCAGGGGAAGGTGGTATTAGAAGTCAGGCACATGGTAATGTTGGATGTGTTCAAGACAGGACATATTAAGTTACCCATAGCCAAGGCAATAGGTTATGAGGGCCGAGGTCAGAGAAGATCACAGACAACACAGCTGTGTTTTGATGATGAGTTCTTTGATGGAGGTTCTTCTCTAGCCATGGGCTCAGAACCTGAAAGCCTCAGGGCTACCCTTTCGGCCCCACTCCCTCAGTGGGACTCCTCAGCAATGTGGTTTCCTCCTTGGGGACATGAACTCTGGAGTCAGATTGTCTGGCAGCTGTTATAGGCTCCTAATTCCCTCAACCACTCGCCACTTAGAAGATCTCAAGCCAATGTTTCAACATCTCCAAATCCTCATTTCCTCTTCTCAAAAATGAGAACAATGACTACTGTACATCATTAGAGGGCTTCTGGGCTAATGAAATAAAACCATGAAGTTAAAGATTTAAGGAAATGCCTGCCGTATAGTTAGCACTCAGCAATTACAGGTTGTTCTTTTTCTCAGTGATCTTGCTAGGGGGTTTTTGTGGCTGTCATTTTGACTATCCACAAAGCTGAGCATCTGCTTCCTGGTGAAGAGGGATCATTATTTTCCACCCAAAGTCCTTGGCATCTAAGTCAACTGATAGTAATACAGGAGCTAAAAAGAAATTATTTAGGCAGTTAGGGCAAAAGAGCTCTCAGTGGAATTTCCTTTTAATAAAAAGCAGCCCCAAAATAATTTCTTTTCTAACAAAAAGCAGCCTGAAAAATCAAGCTGCAGGCACAGATAAGCAAGCTTGAAGCTTGCATAGGTAAATGCCGGCAGCTGTACCAATAAAAAAGGGATACCTGGAAGCCAGTTATATTCAAAATGGAGGTTTTCCCTTCCCTTTTCTTTGTTGCCACATGTGCAGGTAACATGGCACAGGCCAGGTAAAGACCTCATTTGCATAATAAAAGATTAGGGTGGGATGGCCAGCCTCCTCTGGTACTATGTAAATAGCACACCTGGTCCAACCAATCCACTATGCCCCATGTAAATGAGACACCGCCTCCTCAAGCTCATCTATAAAACCAACCAATAAAAGTGGCTCACACAATAAGAAAATTGTTAATACCATTATCAATACTTTGGCCTGAAAACATGCATCTTTACCAAAATGCTCTCCAGTCAAACTGCCTGGGTTTGAATCCTATCTAGTGATTTGTTAGAATGTTTGCCAATGAGCTCTCTGGAAAAAAAAAACAAAATTGCCACATGATGTGTGGCATTTTGTCAATTTTTGTGGTGTAAATTATCCCACAATGGCCAAATTCAAGGTAGCGACATGATGTTGTTGAACACACTGTTGGGAAGAGGTGTGCACAGTCAGCTCTCAAGAGCCTGTACAAGCCAACTTCAACACTCCACTGATCCCACCCATGCCCCTTAGCAGCATGTGACCTAAGCCAACCTGAGTGTTCATTTCCTTACCTGTAAAACGAGATAATAATAGAAGCTTCCTCATTGGACCGATACATGTAAAGAATGTCTGTGTAGTTCATAATAAACATTCAATGAGTCTTAGGTGTTGTTGTTGCAATTGCTGTTATTGTTAACACAATACTGATGCCTATTGGCACAGATCACAGACATCTCAGAACAGCAAAAGTGTCCATCCACACACATTCCCTAGTAGATCAACTTTTCTGAGATATGTGTGGCAGTATTACAATCCTTTTTTTGGTCATTACATAGCACTTACTCCTTACACTCACCCATACTGAATTTGTTAAGTCTCTGCTTCAGACACCAAAGCTTTGGGGTTAACTCTGTTCCTTTACTTTTCAATTTTAAACAAAGTATTTAATGATTCTATGAACTAGTTTTCTTAGACAAAAGGCCTCTTAATGCCAAATCATCCTGCCAGCCTATTATTATTATTAATTCTCCTGTTTATAAATACAAATTGCCTTCAACAGAATTTATGAAAAACAACTCTTTTATTCTGTTGTGTAGGTGGAGGAAAAAATACTTTTTTCGTACTCACTCCCCACATGTTATTATGTTCTGATCCATATACTCATTTCAGAATTACATCTGCACATGGTAAACTAAACAAGTAAAAGCACTGCAGTATCATGAGGTTGGGATGGGCTCTGGGTTTCTGAATCCTATCACATACCACACTGCAGGCCTCATTTGCAGAAACTGTACCTAGAAGGACAAGAGCCAAATGGGAAACAACTTACAATTTTTTTTTTTTTTTTTTGAGACAGAGTTTTGCTCTTGTTGCCCAGGCTGGAGTGCAATAGCACAATCTCGGCTCTCCACAACCTCCGCCTCCTGGGTTCAAGTGATTCTCCTGCCTCAACCTCCGGAGTAGCTGGGATTACAGGCATGCGCCACCGCACCTGGCTAATTTTGTATTTTCAGTAGAGATGGGGTTTCTCCATGTTGGTCAGGCTGGTCTCGAACTCCCGACCTCAGGTGATCTGCCCGCCTTGGCCTCCCAAAGTGCTGGGGCTATAGGCGTGAGCCACTGCACCCAGCCTACAACTTAGAATTTTTATGAATCACCAGGAGAGCTGTGTTGCCAAAATTAAAGCATCTCTGCTGAGCTGCTCTGTCTCAGGGTTTCCTATACCCAACTTGCTTGTATCTAAAATATCCAGGTTTGAGGAATGCCACAGAAGGAATGTTTGTGTCCCTCCAAAATCCATATGTTAAAACATCTTTCCCATTGTAAAACTATTTGGAGGTGGGGCCTTTGGGAAGTAATTAGGTCATGAGGACAAAGCCTTCATGAATGAGATTTTTGTCCTTACAGGAAGAGACCCAGCTGGGTGTGGTGGCTCATGCCTGTAATCCCAGCACGTTCGGAGGCCGAGGCCAGTGGATCACTTGAGCTCAGGAGTTCGAGACCAGCCTGGGCAACATGGTGAAACCCTGTCTCTACTAAAAATACAAAAATTAGTTGGGCATGGTGGCACATGTCTGTAGTCCCAGCTACTTGGGAGACTGAGGCAGGGGAATGGCTTGAACCCAGGAAGCAGAGGCTGCAGTGAGCGGAAATCATGCCACTGCACTCCAGCCTGGGCAACAGAGCAAGATTCTGTCTCAAAAAAAAGAAAAAGAAGAGACCCCAGCCCAGACAGCTTCCTTGTCCCTTCTGCTATCTGAGGTTCCAGCGAGGAGACGGCCACCTATGAACCAGAAAACAGGCCTTTACCAGATACCAAATCTGCCAATGCCTTGCTTTTGAACTTCCCAGCCTCCAGAGCTGAGAGAAATAAATTTCTGATGTGTATAAGCCACCTATTTATGTTATTTTGTTACAGCAGCCCAAATGAACTAAGACAAGGACAAATTTCAATGCTCATGTGCCTCTAGCCCCATGAACCAAACACTAATGGAAAAGCTGAAATTGAGAGTAGAATCATGACCAGGCCTTCTTCTGGAAGGGGGGCCCTGATCGTAAAGCAATGGAGATAGGAAATGAGAGAGGAAGAGTGGAATCTTGCCCACTAAGAATACATGGTCCAAGAACAACCAGCCAGATTGTGCATTCCTTTTTGATTTGGGCTGGCCATGGAGGAGTCTTAAGGCCAAAAGATAGCAGTGAAAGCAAAGGCAGAAATTTCTTCCTCTCTGTGGGTAAAGGAGCAAATACAAAGAGAAAAGCAGACAGTCTTCCTGCCCTCTTCATATAAATGCCATATGTGGATATAAATTGAAAAGTAATAGTTTCACCAATCTCTAGTCCTAATCCCTAAAGGTAACCACCCTTACCATTTTATTGTGAGTTTACTCATTCAATGCATAGCTATTAAAGATTTATTACATGCCAGGCATCATCTTTGACCACATTAGTGAACAAAACAGAAAAACATAAGGCTTACTCTATGAAGCTAACATGCTAGAACATCTTCCAGAAATGCTCTATGAACATGCAAATATGTGGATTGCATAAATATCTTTATAAAAACAGAATGAGCCAGATATTGATTGGTTATATTAGATGCATCTCTATAGATCAGTGATTGAGCCATCAGCCCCTGATTATCTTAGATCCCTGGGTTGTTGCCATAACAAACACACCACAAAGTTAAAGAAAAGTCCAGTCTCCTGTCCTTTGGAAAGTTATAGTTTGATATTATGAGTCCTACAAAACAACTTTGAGAGCTTATTTTAGAGCTTCTAGTATTTTTAGGGGCCATGAGTGTGTTTCAATAGTGTTGTCACTGCCTAAAACATTTTTGAAACTGTTTTGAGACTGCCTTCAGAGTCAATTTATGTGTGATACCTCCCCTAACAAATTCCTTATTTACTTATTATTGCAAATAATACTAACCTTGACCACAAAACATCTTTCTCCAATACAAAAGGTGACACTCACCTGCTGAGGGGACAGCTTCAGAGGTCCTCTCTGGTTGAGTCCGTAGGTGACTGGTGCCAAGACATTGGCCAGGTCATCCTGTTGGCCAAATGCAAGCTGGGAGGGTGAAACCACTATAAAAAGCCATGCTGAATAAATTCAGTGGGAAAAATTAGGTCAATAGTTTTTCAACTTTTTTTTTTTTTTTTTTTTAGACGAAGTCTCGCTCTGTCACCAGGCTGGAGTGCAGTGGCATGATCTTGGCTCACTGCAACCTCCGCCTCCCGGGTTCAAGAGATTCTCCTGCCTCAGCCTCCCAAGCAGCTGGGACTACAGGGATGTGCCACCAGGCCGACGCCACCAGGCCCAGCTAATTTTTGTATTTTTAGTAGAGACGGGGTTTCACCATGTTGGCCAGGATGATCTCGATCTCTTGACCTCATGATCTGCCTGCCTCAGCCTCCCAAAGTGCTGGGATTACAGGCGTGAGCCACCGTGCCCGGCCCAACTATTTTTTTTTTTTATCTTTTTTAACAGTGCAATCCTTTCTGTGGATGAAATCTTGCTCAGAAGCTCAATATGCAAAAGAAAGAAAAACAGCAGGGCTGGACGGATGTTGGGAGTGGGGTAAGACCCCAACCACTCAGAACCACCCCCCCAACACACACACACATTCTCTCCATGGTGACTGGTGAGGGGCCTCTAGAGGGTACATAGTACACCATGGAGCACGGTTTAAGCACCACTGGACTACACATTCTTCTGTGGCAGTTATCTTACCTTCCCATAGACACCCAGCCCATAGCCATTGGTTAATAAAGGTTGTCCAAATGAGAAAGGGGATCAAGTAGTAAATCGCTGTTGAAGGGGTAGAAGGTGAGGGGCTCTCAAAAGAGCTCAGCATTTAAAGGAACCAACTAAAGAGCAATGGAAGACCCATTGGTCTTGATCTACCAAAGATCATTACCAAACAGTGGTTCGTATCTGCAAGAACGATTTCCTAAAGGTTAAAATCCAGAGCAGACAGAAGTTTTTGAAGGCTGGGGTAAAAAACAGATGGGGCATCCTAGCACTCTTTGAATTCACAACATGAATGAGTAGGAGGTAGCCCATGGTCTAGGGGAATGGGGTGATGGTAACTGATGACAGAGGAGGAGACAAATGCTCCATTTTCATTTTGCTCCCTACTCCTCCAGCGGAGATAATAATCGATTTGAAACCTAGGGAAGTAACCCACATGGATTAAGTGGACTTACATGGGAAGCATGACAAAGGCAGGTGCTGGGGTGTGGTCAGGAGGGCCTTGGCTCTGAAGCCACCCTTGAGGGTACCAGTAGAGGAACAGGACCTGGGAATGGGTCTCTGAAGTGCCTAAGTGGTGCTCTTCTCCACCTTCCCTGGGCAAGCCCTGAATACACTGATACGTACAGTTAGCCAACACTCAGTTATAGTTACCAGGGGCAGGCATTGTTCCAAATATTGTACATATACTAACTCGTATAATGCTCCCAACAGAACTATGAAGTAGTTTCTATTGTTTCCCTCCTCTTACAGAAGGAAAACTGAGGGTCAGTGGGGTTTAGGGGTTTGCAAAATTTTCACACACACAAAAAATGTTCACTCCAAGTGAGTGGCAGAGCTTGGATTTGAACCAAGGTACTTTAACTCCAGAGACCAATTTCTTAACCAATATGCCTCCCTAGACACTAGACTCTCAGTTTTATTCCCAGTAAAGAGTCAAGTTGAAGGACACAGCGGATAACTGTGGGCAAATGAGCTTTGTGAGGGGCTGCCCTATAAGCAGTGCAAAACCAGGGTACCCATACCAGGTGGGGTGTGGAGGAGTCTGCCCAAGGGTGACACAGCCTGGGAAAGCTAAAAGAAACTGCTGCTCCCTGGAGGCAGCTCATCCCAAAAGGACAAAAGGGGTCTTAGAGCTGAGCCTGCCAGTTTATTTATTCCAGATTCACCAATCGAATTAAGCTACTCCTTCATCATGAGATGGATGGAAGAAAAGTTGAGGAGTGGGCGGGACACACTCACCCTAACAAGGAGCACAAAGGGAGATAGGAAAGGTCAGGGCAATGGTGTGACCCAAAGTTGGGTAGGAAGCAAAATTCAGGACAGGACAAAGAGCCAGCAATAAAGCAAAGTGGAGAGACTAGATCCCTGCAAATGGTCTAAACCAGCAGATATCCTGAGATTCAAGAAGCTATGAAAGGTGGACCCAAGAGCTGAGCAAAGGGTCAGCAACCAGGGCATGCATTAGGTGGCTTCAAACAACTCCTTAGGATAGGCACTTTACACACAATGTCTGATCTATTCTTCACAGTCAGCTCTTACAGCCCAAAGTATGTTCCTTTTACAGATGAGGAAACTGAGGCATAGCACAATTAAGCACCTGCTCAGTTTCCAGCTGTCCAGGACCAGCATCATATTTCTTCTCTCCATATAGCACACTCACTTCTTGCAAAGAAGAGAAACTTGCTACGATGCGAAACATTCAAATGCTGCCCTAAATTAGAACATGGCTTTTCAAATTCTCCATCTTGTATAACAAAGCACCTACTAAAATGTTTAATATGATTTTTCTCCAAAAGCACATTCACTACCCACCTTTGATAATATTCTAACATCCTGAAATCGAAGTACACGGTTTTAGAAACATGACAGAATATCTAGACTAAGGGCATCCCTGAACATAGAGTTTTGGCCACTACACCAGCCTCCAATTCCCAAAGCAAGCACTGTCAGTCTCCTATGCTCAGCGACATTAAGTATCCCCTAATTCTGTGACACCATAAGACAGCTGAGACAATCTGATGTTTTTGCTTTCTGATGAGGAAGCCAATGAGAGACCCAGCCCCAGTAAAACATGGACACCAGTGTTGAAAGTTATTATTCCTTTTGCAGCTACTTCCAGCCTTGCTGCTTGGAAGGCTCTTTTAGGACTCAGAGTTGAAATTCTCCAAATAGTAAATATTGCTTCCAGAAAATTTCTTCCCAGAGTTCATCATGGTAACACATTTTTTAATTACTTGCAAAATGAGCACCAGTTAATCCCCTTGCTCCCTGTTAGCCAGTGACTGTAGAGATGCTGATTTAATCGCTGCTTGCCATCCACATGAAGGGCAGGGGGGATCCTGCCACTCTATGATAAGGATTTCCTAAGGGAAGAAAGGGGCTCTCCTCTCCAAGCTCAGTCCCGTGCAGACCGTGGGGAACTTTGAGGTTTGAGAAGAATTCGCATCCATTTTTAGAAGAGACATCCTCACATCGTCACAGTGTGCCTGCCACTGTAAACCTAAATAGGACATGAGGACAAAGCCAGAAAGACAAGACCTTCATGCCTCAGGCACAAGGTCCCCAGGCACTGCTTTGGACTGCAATCACATGAGAAAGACTCTACAGAAAATGAAGAAAAACAACTCTGACGGACAAGCATCCTTTTCTAGTTTGCTACAGTTAGAAGCTGTCTAGACAGGCAGTAGAGTCCTCAGCCCAGGCAAGTAAAGGCCCTGCATGGTACCTTGACATTCAGGAACCTCATCTTGGATACGGCAAGGAATTCACGAGGCCAGAGAACCACCCCAGCTGCCCTTAAAGATCATGTCCCAGGTATTCTAGGCCCAAAATTTCCTGCCCAGATGGTTCTGAGATTGCCTCCAGAATAGACTGAAGGCCATGTAGGTGACTACTAGCACACTTGGAAATATTAAGAAAATCATCCCTATCTCCCTGGGTGCCTGTGTGTTCTGAATCTCCCATCTTGTTCTTACCTCTTTCCTCACCCAGCCTGGAGCTCTTGCTTTAGACCTGGACCACAAGAGCCCTCAGTTTCCTGGTTCAGTCACCCTTTCCCTGCAAAGCACAGCAAAACCAATGATCTGCCTCAAAAATAACCATTGCTGCCACTCGTGGAGTACTCCCTACATACCAGGCAATACTCTGTGAGATAATAAGAAATATATTTGGTATTTGTTCCTGGTTCCTAGCACAGAGCCCCTAAAACCTTTGTAATTTCTAGAGTGAGAGGAGTGTCTTCGGTCACACCTGAGTTCATGTTAACGAGGTGACTTAAGGTGGGACCCCTAGAGAGCCTCAGGATGTGGCTGGTTGCCAGGAAGACTAAGTGGTAGAGGATGGAAACATTCAGCTTCACCAGTCAACCTCCAAAAAGGAGAGAGTGCTGGAGACTAAGCTCTGTTGAAAACTCTTAAACAACAAGATAGGATGTGTGAACACATCCAGGTGCTAGGGGCGTGCTGTAACCTGAGAGATTGTGGAAGCTCTATGCACATTGGCCTACACCTTCCCTGTGCATTCCTTCTGTTCAGCTGTTCCTGAGGTGTATCCTTTATAACAAACGGATAAACATAAGGCAAATGTTTCCCTGAGTTCTATGAGCCATTATAGCAAATTATCAAATCTAAGAAGGAGGTTATGGAAATTCCCAATTTGTTGCCAAGTCAGACAGAAGTTGTAGGTGACCTGGGGACCCACCACTTGCAACTGGCATCTGAAATGGGGTGCAGTCTTGTGGGGTCCACACTAACTCCTGGTAGCATCAGAATTGAGTTAAATTATAGGGCACCCAGATGGTGTCCAGAGAGTTGGAGAATTTGGTAGTATTGGAAGACCAACAACAACAAACCAAAGCAGAATGCTAAATACTTTCCATGCACTACCATTTGCTGTTTGCAGCAATATTATAGGTGGTAGTTATTAATTCACATTTTCCATATTAGAGAAGAGAGGTCTAAAGAGGTTAAGTAATTTGCTCAGGGTCAAACCGCTAGGGAATCCACCCTGTAATACAACACCTATCAGTGAGTTCCTGTCTGATTTAGGCCCTCAACCACTCGTGTCCTTGATCAGCAGTACAATTCCAGCTGCTATTCTAGACCTTTGACATGCTCTGTGTCAGTGGAAGAAAGACGAGATTCATAAATTTGGAAAGGAAAGCTTTGATTCTCATAAAACATTGCAACATGCAGGCTGAGAACCATAGCTTACAACCAAAACCCAGAAACAGGAACTTCAAGGGTGTTTTACTGTACCAACCCCCGTAACCCCACAAACACGCGTAAGACAGGGATTCATGCTAAATTAGGTGGCCAGATATACATATTCAATAAGCTACAGAAGGAGTCATGAATATTTATGAGAGGAGAAGCATGCTCATGTGCAAGTCAGCTTCATGCTTCCCTGTGAGACTATGTTAAAAAAAAATGCAGCCTTAGCATGATGCAAGGGTCATGCGAGTTTTAGGACCTCTGATGTCAAAGGTGAAGCAGAGGACACGAAAGCTCTCACTGCACTCCTCCCTAGACTGGACAGAACCACCCCGTTGTCTGTGGTCTCTCATCAGGAGGGAATGTGGGGTTGTTTTGTCAAAACTGCAAAAGGGTTTAGCAGCACCAGGTGGTTGGTTGAACTCAGTGGTGCAGTCTTTTGAAAGGGCTGGTTTCTGTTTAGCCCTTGGGGAAGAAAGCCTAATGGTGGTTAGCGAGGGATGGGGGACAACGAGATGTGTTCAACCTCTCATCATGTCATGGCTGGGAATGTAATTTCCAAGGTTTATCTGGGGTCCTCTTGGGCAAGAGGGGGTCCATTAAGTCAGCTGAGGGTGCTTAGAGTTTTTTCTTTCTCATCTGCATCCCACACCAACCGCTTCCCCTTTCCCATCCAGAAGTCCTTCCTAGTTCACCAGCAGACATGAGAAGGCAGGTGCTGTTTTCACTGTGCCCCCAACCCCACACATTTATCTAAGCTACATCAAGAATAAAATAATCTCCACCATCATTTATCAGTTCCCATGAACTTTACACACTATGCCTTATTATCTTTTCAAAAAATCCTGCAGGGAAGCATTTTTTTCTCCATTTTATGAGCAAGAAACCATGGCTTCCTAGGATATTTTGACTTTGCAGTACAAGTTCTCATATTACTTTTTTTTGTCTTGAAAAACTTTTGACTAGTCTTAATCACTTCACCTACTAGATCAATTTTAGTAAGTTAGAATTAGCTTGCCATATTCCCAGAAAAAGAAATAACTAGGATGTTGATTCAAATTGCATTAGATTCATAAATTTTTTTTTTTTTTTTGAGACAGAGCCTTGCTCTGTCACCCAGGCTGGAGTGCAGTGGCACAATCTTAGCTCACTGCAACTTCTGCCTCCCATGTTCAAGTGATTCTCCTGCCTCAGCCTCCAAAGTAGCTGAGATTACAGGCACCCATCACCTGGCCAACTAATTTTTAATGTTTTTAGTAGAGGCAGGGTTTTGCCATGTTGGCCACGCTGGTCTCGAACTCCTGACCTCAGGTGATCTATCCACCTCAGCCTCCCAAAGTGCTGGGATTACAGGTGTGAGCCACCATGCCTGGCCAGATTCATACATTAATTTAGAGGAATTTGTATCTCTGCTCTGGGCCTCTCCTCCTGGGCAAGGGGACAAGGCTGGGAGTGGAGCCAGGGCTAGGCAAGGATGTGGAGGGGCTGTTTCAAGAACAGGAGGCACATCCATGTGTGGGTCCCCATACAAGGGACATCTACCACCACTACCCGCAAGGAAAGCTTCAGACATCAAGACAAAGAGGTTATAGAAACAAATCTGAATCCAAATATAAGGATGGGCATAGAGAGTAGGTCCAAGCTGTCAAAGGGGTCAGAGTCCAGAGGAGGAGAGGAATGCAGGCGACGAATGCAGGTGACGAGGGGCCATTGCAGGGAGGACACTACATACCTGCATGTGGCCTGGAGCCAGCATCAACACCACCCTCTCCCTCACTCCATGACAAAGTGGTCTGGGAGTCTGAGTGGACTTCACAGCACCATTCACACCTCTTTCCAGGACAACAGATCCCAGAACTGGCCATGGTGTCATCAAGAGTCAAGCATTCTTAAGTCACTCTAGTTGCCCACGCCTGCTCTGACCAAGGTCTTGAGGGTCAGAAAGAAGACCTAGGTCCCTGTGTCAGAAGGTGAGAGAGTGGTGAGAGATAGGGGAGATTTAACTGGAGGGAAGTTCATGGGGCCAGAAGACCAGAAGGTCACCAAGTCCATCACAGTGGATACCTGAACTACATCCTGCCAGCTTCTGGAATGAGTGGGTGATGAGACACCCTGAAAGGCAGGCGGATGGTACTGTCTGCTCAGTGACTGCCTAGGTGCTAGTGCTGCTCAGTACAGTACTCCTGAAGGCAGTCAGTTACTTAGGAATTTGGGAGAGAACCATCTCCCAAATTCCAGTCCCCTTAACATCACACTTACCTTGATCTGTCTCTGACAAAGACCCAGGACTATAGAATGCTTTAGGACACACCCTGCCATGGCACAGGTGTCTCTGCTGGGCTCTGAGGGACAGAAAAGACTCAGTCCCTATTCCTACCTCACCTCCTTCCCTGTAACCCAGCCTGTGCATCATGAACAATGAGCTCTTCTTTACTCAGGACCGGAGGCAGGCTGAAGTGAACTGCACAGGCTTTGTAGAACATCTTTTTCAGTGGGGATCTGTGGAGTGGACATCCTTCCAAATGCTTAACCACCGCAGCCTCATGAGGGGAGAGAAAAGCCACACAGAGCAACCCAGGCAGGGCCAAGAGCCCAGAGCCAGAACAGCTGTGCATCCAGCCCAGCTCTGCTCACAGTCCCTCCACCCCTCCCAGAGGAGCCACCACCCCCAACCCAGTGGCACATGGTCTAGGAAGAAACTAGAGCCTCCCCTGCTGGGGATGGAGTGAGAGAGAATGAGTGGGGTAAAAGGTTAGAGAGGCATGAATAGGATCTCCTAGCCCCGTAAACAACCAATTGAACAGGGATAGAAGCTGTGGTTTTCATTGAGGGAAGATGTCAACAGGTGCACTAAAGACCCACCTGAACCTTTTGCAAAGTTACTCCCCTTTTATCAAAGATAGTGTATTAGTCCGTTTTCACACTGCTATAAAGAAACGCCCGAGACTGGGCATATTAGTTCATTCTTATGCTGCTATGGAATACCTGAGACTGGGTAATTTATAAAGGAAAGAAGTTTAATTCACTCACAATTCTGCACGGCTGGGGAGGCCTCAGGAAACTTACAATCACGGCAGAAGACACCTCTTCAAAGGGTGGCAGGGGAGAAAATGAGTGCCTAATGAAAGAGGAAGCCTTTTATAAAACCATCAGATCTTGTGAGAACTAGCTCACTATCATGAGAACATGATGGGGAAACCACCCCCATGATTTAATTATCTCCACCTGGTCCTTCCCATGACACGCAGTGATTATGGAAACTACAAGATGAGATTTGGGTGGGGACACAGCCAAACTATATGACTGGGTAATTTTTAAAGGAAAGAGGTTTAATTGACTCACAGTTCTGCATGGGTGGGGAAGCCTCAGGAAACTTACAATCATGGTGGAAGGCAAGGGGGAAGCAAGATTTGGCCTTCGCACAAGGCAGCAAGAGAGAAAAGAGTGCAAGCGGGGGAAATGCCAGACGCTTGTAAAACCATCAGATCTCATGAGAGCCCACTCACTATCACAAGAACAGCATGGGGGAAACTGCCCCCACAATCCAATCACTTCCCACCAGGTCGCTCCATAAACACCTGGGGATTATAATTCAAGATGAGATCTGGGTGGGCACACAAAGCCTAACCATATCAGATAGCTTTTCTTTGCAAAAACAAATGCTAAAATAGAAAACATAGAAAAACACAAACTAAAAGCACCATGCAGAGATAATCACTGTTAATCTTTGGATATATGAACTCTGTATTTTTGTCATTTGATATAGATGTAGATATAGACATATTAGAGAAGAATGGCACTTACCCAAACCCCAATTGTTCCAAATTTATGTTTTTTGGAGTTTAGATATCTTATTTCCAAAATACCAAAATAATACAGAGATACAGTGATTTTGATGAACATTTTGGCCCATGTTTGGTGTGTGTATGCCTGTGTGTGCGTGCGTGTGTGTAATCTCTAAGAACACACACACACATTTTTCTTGCAGCACAGCTATTCCTTCAGCATCCCATTATCATCTGCAGCCCATGAGATCACTCTTTCCCCAAGCTCTGTAACTTTATATGGTTCCATTACATAGTTAAACATGTAAAAAAATCTTTTAGAGCATGCAATTTTTAAAATTCTTCTAGCAATTAGACTCCTGAATAAATAATTTCTTCTGCATACACAAAGTATATTTAACAAAAATGTAGCTTATTTTATTCACTTAGCAATAGTCTAAAAATAGCTAATGTTCCTCAGGCTAATGTTATAGGCTTAATATTATTCTAAGTGCTTTAGTTAAATTGACATTTATAACCAACCTAGGATGTAGGTACTACTACAAGCCTCTAATTTACAGATGAAGAAACCAAGTCACAGACAGGTTAAGTAACTTGCTCAAGGGCACACAGCCAGCAAGAATTGGAGCCTAGGCTCAGTACCAGGTGGCTGACCTCAGAGCTTATATGCCTAATCATTATCCACATATTGTAAAATCAACAAAAATGACACAGAAATAATTCTTAATAGCTATAGAATTTTCTATTATATGTTCATACCATGAGTTCCTTAACCAATGCCCATCGTTGCTTATTTAGGCTATTTCCAATGTTTGCCTATTATAAAACACTTCCATAAATAACTTCATGGCTAAATCTTTGCACATATCCACTCCTACTTCCTTAAGATTAATAAATGAAAGTAAAACTTATCATGCGCATATTGTAAGCTTTGATACAGATGGCCACATTGCTCTCCAGAAGAACACACGTTAGGTTTTTTTTTTTACTATAAATATTTTTTTGTTGACACATAATAATTGTACACACTTATGGGGTACATAGTGATGTTTCCAAACATACAATGCTTAGTGATCAGATCAGGGTAATTAGCATACCCATCATCGCAAACATTTATCATATCTTTGTGTTGGGAACATTCAATATCTTCCTTCTAGCTACTTGAACTAGATAAATATTATTGTTAACTGTAGTCATCCTAGAGTGCTATAGAACACTAGACCCTTTCTATTTAGCTGTAATTTTATATCCTTTAACAAATCTCTCCCCATCCCCAAGAACCTATGTCAATTTAACTTTCCAATAACAATGTTTGAAATTAGTACAGATGTCCCCATATCCTCATATCATTGCATACTATCATTCTATTTTCTTCTTTGTCTTCTGATAGACTAAACAGACACCTTGACATTTAAGCGTATTTGATTACTAGCAAAATGGACCGTCACTTCATAAACTTATTGACAATAGGTACATCTTCAGCTCTTTTTACACCCTTTGTCTCTCTTTCCACTGTGTGTTTGCCTTTCCTTGTTATATTGTAAGAGCTTTTTATATATTAAAGAATTCAACCCTTTATTGCATAGGCTGCAAATATTTTCCAAGGGTTTTGTTTATCCTTGAATTTTGTTTATATTGTCTTTTGACATAATGTGCTTTTGTTTTGCTTTGCTTTATTTTGAATTTTTTGGAAATCAAATCTGTGAATATTTCCTCTATGGTTTCTGATTTGGGTTATGTTTAGAGTCCTGGGTTGTTATGTGATTTTTACTTGTGTTTTTGTCTCATCCTTGTAAGTGTACGAGTTATATTTAACGCTTTTCTTCAATCTGAAATCTAGTTTGGTGAAGATGTAAGATTAGAGCTCTAAATTTCTTTAATATCTAATTATTCCAGCAAATCCAGGTGGCTGACTTTCAATCCTTGCCACTGCTTCTATAAATCCACATGGAATGAATGAGGGAGGAGTTCAGTCTTTAGAACTTTTACAGATGTCTTGTCTGTTGTCCCCAGAAATCTTTTAATTAAATTTATCCCAATGTCACAATGAATACTGAATCAAAAAGCCACTTCATTTATTTTTCACTTCCAATTATACACAGTTGTCTCATTTCACTAGACACAGCAGATAAACTAATTCAATGTACTCCAGATATAAAATAGCTCATCACCATATAAAATTTTAAACTCACTCCTCTATCAATTCAGTGCCTTATATTCATAGAGAAATCAAGGCTTTACAAAATGAATCTCCCTCTATCCTTGTCATGTAAGTTGCACAGCATGGATCAGAACAGCTCCCAGTCCCGTGTCCTGCTGCTGCAGCTGCTCGGCCCCAGTGGAAGATGCCTGGTGCCTGGGTCTTGAGAGGTGGGCCCTGGATCCAGTGAAGCTCCCTCAGCACCTCCAAAACTGGGGCCAGTAAGCCCTAGCAGCCCGTGAGTCATGCATTTCCAAAGCTCCACATTTCCTTCCAGTCTCAGAATTTGGAAAACAGAAGCAATTTCAGAACTAGATGTGACCTCTGCAGCAGCTTCCAAAACAAGCACTCCCTCCCTTATTTGGCTGGAGATCCCACAGATAAGTGGGGCCCAGGCTGCACACATCTAGTCTTGGGTGTAGAGCATAGCTGGCCATTGGTGATTCTCAGAGAAGGAAGTAGACAGAAAATGGAGAGAAGAAAAAAGAAAATAATTCATGGTTTCCCTCTTTCCAGGCTATCAGCAAATCTAAAAGGGTTGCTGTTGTGAACTAAAATTTATCTGAGATATACCACACAATAAAGGGTTAATTTGTACCCAGCTTGGGTTTTGTGTGTGTGCGGCAGAAGCTCTATCAATTAACTCCTCTCTCATAAAGGGGCATTTGAAATAATTGTGATTACTTAAAATTTTTAGTGACCCTTCTAGTTCACGGGCCATTTCTGAGGATCTCTTATTCTGTGTCTTCTAAATATAACAAAGGCTTTAAAATTACATTTTCAATCTCCGTCTTCCTCTTGATCCCTGAGTCCCTGGTACCTCAAGGCCAGGGTGTGTGCTCTGGCTAATGACACAGTGTCCCTCTGCCATTTATACGATGCACTCTCCAGAATGGGTGGCCCCAAGCCCAGTGCCCTGTTCTTTATTCTAGAGAGTGGTGACCTCATGGCCTTTGGCATCAGACCTCTGGGTTCAGATCCCAGTTCTGACACTCACAGTAAAGTATCCACTCTTTGTTGTGGTTTCCTCATCTGTACAACGAGGATGCTACGATAGCATCTACCTTACAGGGTCGTTGCAGAGATTAAAGGAGATGACACGGCCAGGTGCAGTGGCTCATGTCTGTAATCCCAGCATTTTGGGAGGCTAAGCCAGGAGGATTGCTTCAGCTCAGGGGTTTGAGACCAGCCTGGGAAATATAGTGAAAACCCATCTCTACAAAAAATAAAAAATTAGCCAGGCATGGTGGTGCATGCCTGTTGTCTCAGCTTCTCAGGAGGCTGAGGCAGGAGAATCGCTTGAGCCCGGGAGGTCGAGGCTGCAATGAGCTGTGATCATGCCATCAGCCTGGGTAACAGAGTGAAACCCAGACTTTAAAAAAAAAAAAGAAAAAGAAAGAGTGAATGAGACCACATATGAGAAGGGCTTACACACATAAGAAGCACTGTATGCATGTTAGTGTTTCTCCCCTTATGTCTCTAAGTAGAAAACAAACCCTAAATCTGTCTAAACTATGTGCCTCTGCTGCTCTAGGTACCACCAAGCCTGTGCCTCGAGCATCTATAGTCTGTATTATGCCTCCTCAGAAAGCCATGCCACTGTCTAGATTCAAGTCCTTGGATAAACATCACAAGCTTATTAGAAACATGAGCATTTTTTCCCTATTACAGTAGTTTCCACCTAAATCTATCTAAATCTACAATCTATTTCTTTTTTTTTTCTTTTTTTTTTTTTTTTTTTTTTTTTTGAGACAGAGTCTCACTCTGTTACCAGGCTGGAGTACAGTGGTGCGATCTCAGCTCACTGCAACCTCCCCCTCCCGGGTTCAAGCAATTCTCCTGCCTCAGCCTCCCAAGTAGCTGGGACTACAGGCGTTTGCCACCATGCCCAGCTAATTTTTGTATTTTTAGTAGAGACAGAGTTTCATCATGTTAGCCAGGATGGTCTCAATCTCTTGACCTAGTGATCTGCCCACCTCAGCCTCCCAAAGTGCTGGGATTACAGGTGTGAGCCACTGCGCCTGGCCCTAAATCTATTTCTTATGGAGCACCACGGCAATCCACCAGCTGGGTTAAGGAACAGGACAAAAGGAAATGAAGCAACATCTCTCACCCTGTAGCCTGTGCACTGAAGGGCTGTCTATTTGAGCTGAGTCCACTGTGGCCTTTGAAGGAAACCTCTGTTCAACTCAAGACCAGCCCTTGCCTGCTTCACTGGGGAAATTGCCTACAGGTAGGTGATTTGCTCAGACCAGTTCTGCCCTGGCCCTAGAATTGGCCGCTCATCTCCAGCAATCCCAGACCTTCCTCTGAGAACTTCTGCTACAAGTGCCTGTCTCTTCCAATGGGAACTTGCCACAGACAGAGTATCCAGATCACTCCCTGGCAGGAACTAGAGAAGCTCTGCTGCACAAACTCCAGGCCCTGGGGCAGATACTTCTGCTACCCATAAGGTAGGGTTGGTTACAATTCTGTTGAGCAGGTGGGCAGGACCCAGAAACCCCACATCCTACTTTGTCCACAGCTATCCCTGTTGGCATCCAAGCCATTTTAGGCAAAAAGTCCAAGGCCTGGCAAGTGACAACTCATCATTACCAATGAGCATTTGGCCTAAATCCCTCCCTGGCCTCCTGCCAGATCAATCATGTCCCTGCTTAAAACCCCCAATGACTTCTCATTGCTCTCAGGATAAAATCCAAAATCCATACAAGACCCCGGTTGATCCAGCTTCTCATCCCCTCCTCTTTGCTCTCCACCCCTCTCTGCCTTCCAACTCCTTGAACCTAGCTGCTCCTTCCTCTCTGTCTGGAAAGCTCCCCCTCTGCACACACGCTAAGCCTTTTTTACACATCCTTCAGACAGCAGCCTAAGCATCACCAACCCCTTCCCTGACCCCAAGACTGGGTCACAGCCTCTTCATATGCATTCCTATAGCATCCTGTACTTCTTTGCAGCACTAACTAAATTGTAATTAAACAACTAATTTGTGTTTATTTGGCCAATATCTGTC
This sequence comes from Homo sapiens, assembly GCF_000001405.40. Lineage (NCBI taxonomy): Eukaryota > Metazoa > Chordata > Mammalia > Primates > Hominidae > Homo > Homo sapiens. The sequence continues at coordinate 26,734,953 of NC_000008.11, read as the reverse complement.
TCCCTGACTTGGCTGTGAGCTCCATGCAGCCTGGCTAGGACCACATAAGTTGGAATTCCTGTTGTTTCTCCTCTGTCCAGTACAATGCCTGGCACATAGCAAGGGCTCAAAAAGATCCGTTGACTGCATGAATAAATTAAGTAGAGTCCCAGTTTTAATCCTAACCAAAGTATCCTTTATTTCCTGTCCACTCTAGCTTTAAATTTTTCTATCCTTCTTGCAAATGCCAGTCTCAGTCTCCAACTAAATGACTTGAACATTATTTGGAGCCCTCCCTAGCCAGGGCTCACACAGACAAGAATTTGAATACAGTCAGCCAAGCCCTGGTATTTTATTTGTCTCATTGCCATACGGACACCATGTTTTCTGTTCCAATCCCCATAAATCAATCTCTCCTGCTCTTCCCACAAGCCATCAGACTTGACCTTTGAAATACTGCTATTTTTCCTAGAAAGCTCTTTGCTCTTAAAAGAAAAATGGAAGCAATTAAATCCTCTCCATGCAGATCACCAGAGGCTATCTTTGCCTCCGCAAAACTAAAGGGCTGTGGAAGGTGTCTTCATGGTAAACACTGGATCCCAGCCCCATATCAGATAAAAATCATACTGTGAGGCCTTGGTATGTAAACAAACCTCACTCCTAATCTAGGCGATCTCTCATGGCACTTCCAACATGAAGGCTCTGCAGGTCTGTGATTATATGATTACTCAAAGGAGGAGAGAGAATAGGGTGCTGATTACGAGTTAGATAAAGATTTGGAGTCAGAGACACTTAGGTTCAAATTCTAGAAGTCCCTTTACTAGCTGTGTGATGCTGACCAGTTGCTTAATCCCTCAAAGCCTCTTCATATCTTCCTCTCCAATAGGGCATGACAGCACACCTCACAGGCCACTGAGGGAATAAAACAGAATGGTGCATAAGAATGTCTACAACAGTTCCCAGTTCTCAAAAAGGTAGTTACTGTGGATGTCATCAGTGTCATCACTGCCCTGGGCCATTTTCACTTACAGGATTGAATCACTTTGTCCCACTCAACAGAGCATCTTTCCTCTGTTCTATATATCAGTTACATACAGAAGCTCTCTACAGATTCCTCCAGAATGACCATGGGGGTGGGCTACATTAAGAAGGAAGAGGCGGCAAAATACGACAATGTGGAGGGTTAGGCTTTAGGGATTCATCCACTTAAAGAGATACAGTCGGCCCTCAATATATGTGGGGGATTTGTTCCAGCCCCAACCAACCCCATGCATACTCAAATCCATGCATACTCAAGTCACCCAACCAGCCTTGCAAAACCCACTGTACATGGGTTTCACATCCCACAAATGCTGTATTTTCTTTTTTTTGTTTGTTTGTTTGTTTTAGATGGAGTCTTGCTCTGTCGCCTAGGCTGGAGTGCAGTGGTGGGATCTCGGCTCACTGCAACCTCTACCTCCCGGGTACAAGTTATTCTCCTGCCTCAACCTGCCGAGTAGCTGGGATTACAGGCATGCACAACCAGGCCCGGCTAATTTCTGTATTTTTAGTAGAGACGAGGTTTCACCATGTTAGCCAAGCTGGTCTCGAACTCCTGACCTCAGGCAATCTGCCTGCCTTGGCCTCCCAAAGTGCTGGGATTACAGGCGTGAGCCACTGTATCCGACAAATGCTGTATTTTCAATCTGCATTTGGTTGAGGAAATAAATCCCTGCATATGAACGGACCCTTGCAGTTCAAACCCATGTTGTTCAAGGGCCAACTGTAGTCTCAATAAATTTAGTTAAACACAACAATTACAAATATTGAAGTTTTTTAAAAAAAATTCTACTACAATCTGGATTTCATGTTACCTAAAATTCGGACTATTTGCATTTTTTTAAAGTTGTTGTTGTTGTTTTGTTTCATTTTTGAGACAGAGCCTTACTCTGTCACCCAGGCTGGAGTGCAGTGGCAGGATCTCAGCTCACTACAACCTCTCCCTCCTGGGTTCAAGCAATTCTTCTGCCTCAGCCTCCCAAGTAGCTGGGATTACAGGCACCCGCCACCATGCTCAGCTAATTTTGTATTTTTAGTAGAGACAAGATTTCACCAGGTTGGCCAGGCTGGTCTCGAACTCCTGACCTCAGGTGATCCACCCACCTCAGCCCCCAAAGTGCTGAGATTACAGGCTTGAGCCACTGCACCCGCCCCCCGCTTTTTTTTTTTTTAATTTTTTAACCAGTCTTGTTCATGTTATGTAGATGGAGTTTATGAAAAATCAACACAGAGAAACAATGGTCCTTGATCAAATAGAACTCACAAAAATAACTCGGATTGCCAAAATATCCTACTCTTCACTATCTGCCCATCACCAGACTCATTGCCATGTACAGCCTACCTACACTGCACTGCATCTATTTCCTATGGTTGCTGTAAGAAATTATCACCAAAGTGGAGGCTTAAAACAACAGAAATTTATTCACTCACAGTTCTGAAGGCCAGAAGTCCAAAGTCAAGGTGTGGGCAGGGTTGTTTCCTTCTGAAGACTCTTGGGGAGAATCCGTTCCATGCCTCTCTCCTGGGTAGAGGAACTTCCTCCCTGGCATTTCTTGGCTTATGGCTGCATCACTCTAACCTCTGCTTCCATCTTCACATGGCCTTCTCCTCTGTGTTTCTGTGTGTCTTCTTTTTTGTCACCTATAAAGACATCTGTTATTGGATTTAGGGCCCAACCTATGATCTTATCTCAAGATCCCTAACTCAGGGGCCACCAACCTTTTTGGCACAAGGGACTGGTTTTGCAGAAGACAACTTTTCTACAGAACAGGTTGTGAAGGATGGTTTGGGGATGATTTAAGAACATTATATGTATTGTGCACTTTATTTATATTATTATTACATTGTAATATATTATTATGCAACTCACCATAATGTAGAATCAGTGGGAGCCCTGAGCTTATTTTCCTGCAACTAGATGGGGTGATGGGGAACAGTGACAGATCATCAAGCATTAGATTCTCATAAGGAGTGTGCAACCTAGATCCCTCACATGCACAGTTCACAATACGGTTCAGCACTCCTATGAGAGTCTAATGCTGCCACTGATCTGACAGGAGGTGGAGCTCAGACAGTAATGTGAGTAAGGGGAAGAGGCTGCAAATAATTATGAAGCTTCTCTTGCCCACCACTCACCTCCTGCTGTGCAGCCCGGTTCTGAACAGGCCATGAACTGCGGGCTGGGGACCCCTTCCCTAACTTAATAACATCTGCAAAAACCTTTATTCTAAATAAGGTTATATTCTGAATTTCCAGATGGGGACATCTTTTAGGGGTATACCATCAACCCACTACATCCACCAAACTAATTTCTCTCAAGTATCATTTGGAAGGCAAGTCTTCAGTAGTAATATAGAGCCTATCATATTAATTTCAGACACTTGCAATTAATTGCAAAGCCCTCCACAATCTGACCTCAGTCTGCATTTCAGTCTTTAAGCTGGCAGAATACACAAGGCTCTTGGGTCAGAGACAATGGACCTTATTACTCATAGCACATAGTTTTACTAAAAAATAAAAATTATGTATTGTTTATCTGAAATTAAAATTTAACTGGGTAGTCTTTATTTTATTTGCTAAAACTGGCAAATGTAGGCCCAGCACATTGCAGGAACATCTTCAGCATACTTGTGTTAGCTGGTAGTCAGGGCCTTGTTTTCATTTTTTTTTTTTTTTTTTTTTTTTTTTGACAGGGTCTCACTCTGTCACCCAGGCTGGAGTGCAGGGGTGTGATCTTGGCTCCCTGCAGCCTCCTCCTCCCAGGTTCAAGTGATTCTCCTGCCTCAGCCTCCCAAGTAGCTGGGATTACAGGCTCAAGCCACCATGCCCAGCTAATTTTTATATATTAGTAGAGATGGGGTTTCGCCATGTTGGTTAGGCAGGTCTCGAACTCCTTTCCTCAAGTGATCTGCCCACCTCAGCCTCCCAAAGTGCTGGGATTACAGGCATGAGTCATCACGCCTGGCCAAGGCCTTGTTTTGGGGACATACCCAGAAAGGCAGACAGGAGCATGAGAGACTTGTGGGGGCAGTGGGGGCAGAATCAGCAGGTGGCTGAGGGACAGCAGGCATCTGTGAACATTATTCCCCCTACGTCAAATCAACACTTCTGCCAGAATTATTAATATCTACTCATTGCCATGCTACAATTTCCTCTGTGACATCCACCCTTAGAATGTCATCTCTCTGTTTATTCCTTCTTTGTGATGCATCTGAAATCCCACTTTCTCCAAATCCCACCTTCTCTGATGATATATGCATGAAGGACTTGTATTTCTTGTTTGTACCTTCCATTTAAAGGACTCTTGCACTGACAATTAATACCTTTTTCATTTGTATTTGAGCAATTATTTCAATTATATTATTTAACTTTTCATATGTTTCTTTTTTGTCTCTCCATATTTTAAGTTCAAGGTAGAATGATCTTTTCATAAACTCCTTGCATCCTCCCTCCCCCACAAGGAACCTGTGTTACTTTGATTTAGGGAGTATATTAGTCAGTGTTCTCCAGAGAAACAGAACCAATAGGATGCATATATACAGAAAGAGAAAGAATTATTACAAGGAATTAGCCATGTGATTACAGAGGTTAAGAAGTCCCAAGATTTGCAGTTTGTAAGATGGAGACCCAAGAAAGCTCATGTGTAGTTGCAGTTCACGTCTGAAGACCTAAGAACCAGGAAACTGATGGTATTAAGTTCCAGTCTGAAAGCCAGCAGGCCTGAGACCCAAAAAGAATTGATGTTTCAGTAGAGTCTGAATGCTAGAAAACATCTATGTCCCAGCTCATCAGTCAGGCAGGAGGAGTGCCCTCTTATTCAGCCTTTTTGTCCTATGTATATTTTGAATTGGTTGGATGAGATCCACATACATCAAGGGAGGGCAATTTGCTTTATTCAGTCTACTGATTCAAATGTTAACTTCATTCAGAAACACCCTTATAGACACATCCAGGATAGTTTGATAAAATGTCCAGGCACCCTGTGGCTCAGTCAAGTTGACACATAAAATTAACCATCACAGGGGTAGCAGTTGGCCCTGACTCTACTAATGAGTAGATCCCTAAAATCACAGACCCCTAAAATCAGAGACTGGGAAACTTGGAACCACTAAATCTTCAAGCAGGTTTGCTCTACCTATAGTTTAGGTGAGATGTTTTTCCAGAATCCCCCTTTGTATTGGTGGTAGTCAGAAGGTGGGCTGGGGGGAGTACTCTTCCTCTAGCAGCTGCTAAAACAGGAGCAATGAATGAAGCAATACTTATTAGCCAACCTAGTAGCAATGTTAATATCAGTTGGTGTCTTATGTTCTCAACCCACTTCCCAGATGCAAGCAGCTCTTACGAGTTATGCTTGAGAGCATCTGAGAGATCAAGCTCATAGATTCTAAAAGAAAAGATTTGAGATTCCCTTGAGAATCACTATGTTTATGCTGATGTACTATATCTGGAAGGTCACTTTAACTCTACTAATACAAGCCTTATACCCTGTGCTTTGCACATAACACATAATAAGTACTGTTGAGTCAATGACTGTAGAATATCCATTTTTACTTTTATGCTCACACTGCTGAAATACTCATCTCCTATGAATGTGATATTGTATTTCATTTCATCATTTGGGGAGATTTACAGAAGAGAATAACACTTTGATACTGTGATTAATACTATGAATGGAAGTGCACTGAAAATAAAATAAACTTTTTTGGTATAATAATCTATGTTCCACTGCCTTCTTCTCTGAGCTGTATATAATGTCTCACCGAATACCACAGTTTTTTAACAGTTGGCTCAAAAAAGTTTTCCTGTGACATCCCCTAGTGTCTTTGATTCCCATTCATTTTAGGATAACTTTATCCTGTGCCTGTAACTATGAATCTCCACCAAAAATTTAATTCATTTTAAGTAGCATTTCTCATTCATCCATTACATGCTGAGAAGTGGGCCACAATTCATAGGCTTATAAATCAAGAATGTGCCACTGTACCTGTATCTGTCAGTGTCCAGCCAGGAAAAGAGATGTCACTTTAAATAATCCAAGGAGAAATGTAATGCAGAGAATTGGTTTTAAATGTTTTGTAATGGCTCGAAGAGCAAAAGAAAGAAAGGTGTGGGGGGAACCAAAATAAAGAAAACATTTGTCACTCAAATATCAGACAATTGCCTTCATCCCTGCCTAGAACCCCCAAGCACAGAGTAGGTGCTGAGTGCAAAGGAGGCATTGCCATTGCTGCTGGCTCTGAGCACAGGTCACCAGGAGCCTATGCACCCACTAATGAAAAGCACATGTTTGGCTAGAGCCCACAGATGCCTGCAGTCTCTCAGCTGCCTTAAGTGCCACCACCACTGCCCCTTGGGTCTCTTGTGCTCCTGTCTGTCTTTCTTGGTATGCCGAGGATAGAGGCCCTGACCACCAGCTAATACAAACATAATGATGTACATGTAGTATGCTCTGCCTAAATTTGCCAGATTTAGCAAATAAAAGTACAGGATGTCCAGTTAAGTGTTAATTTCCAATAACCAACAAATAATTTTTTTTTGAGATGAAGTCTCACTCTGTTGCCAGGCTGGAGTGCGGTGGCACAATCTCAGCTCACTGCAACCTCCACCTCCCGGGTTCAAGCAATTCTGCTGCCCCAGACTCCCGAGTAGCTGGGACTACAGGCGCATGCCACCACGCCTGGCTAATTTTTGTATTTTTAGTAGAGACGGGGTTTCACCATGTTGGCCAGGATGGTCTCGATCTCTTGACCTCGTGATCTGCCCACCTCGGGCTCCCAAAGTGCTGGGATTAGAGGTGTGAGCCACTGCGCCCGGCCCAAATAATTTTTTAGTATAAGTACATGCCATGAGTAATACAATCCCTTGTCTCTGACCCAAAAGTCTTGTGTCTTCTGCCAGATTCCATGAAGCAGTAACAGACTAACTTACTAGCTTATAAGGAAGGTAAGAGTTGAATCCCAGAGCTGACCTTGGGCAGCCCAAAGCAATAGAGTCCACCAGCCCTCCAAGTCTAACCTTCAAAGTCAAACATGCAATAAAAATTTCTGATGCTAAACAATCAGTACCCTCCATCCGCACTTTTATCCATGTACAGTCATGCCATCAACTCTAGAAGAAAACTCCCTCAAACAAATTGAAAACTTGAGGGAATTCATTGGTCGAATCCCTCACTTTTCAAATAATTGCTGTGCCATGGTTTAGACAACTTTATGCTGACAATTCACTCCAGCTCCTAATATAGGGCTGGACGATTTGATGCAGGTCCAAGTAAAGTCAGTACATCTTAATTGAGCTCAGCATGTGCCAGACAGTGTGAAGTGTAGCAGGCATGATTCTTGACTGCAAGCAAGAGAAGCCAACTCTAACTTAAAATGTATTAAAAGGCTATCACCAAGCTCAGAGAATTGGCAGGAAGGCTGGACAACCAGGCTAAGAAAATGAGCAGATCCATCAAGGGAGTCCAGAGGAGAATGTAGATGAAGTCACATCACAACATCCGTCAAAGGAGGACCCCACTCCTGGCTCCAATTCCTCTGCTGCCACTAACAGTGGTTATCAGTGGATAATCATCCCTGTGCTAGACTGACAGTGCTACCACCATCACCCTGAACAATTTGACAGCTCACTCTGCAAATCCAAAATTCCAGGATGACTAAGCTTATGTTGTGTGCCCACTCTGTCTGCCAGGCATGGAGAGAAGGAAAATAAGAGTTTCTGTCCCCTTCAGCTTCCATTGGTGGATCCCTGCCCTCCACTAAGATTCACATAATAAGGTTTCTCCCAAAATAAGAGGGCAAGTGATTCAGTTATTGGATAGGCAAATATAACAAATGGTCACACTGGGGGATATGAAAAAATGATTTTGCTTTAAAGTGATTTAATGCTAGTACTAGCCCATAACAAAAATAATAATAATTATGACCTTAGCCCTAGAGAACTAGGTAAAAGGACCAAAGAGGTATGAGAGAAGGGAGAGATGAGTGTGATCTGGGGCAGTCCAGGAAGTCTCATGGGGGAACTTGGCCCTCATTTAGTGTTCTAAAGATAAGAAGACTCTGATAGGGCAGGAGATAGGAGAAAGGCACTTCATGTGGGGTGAAAAAATGAGGAAATATTTAAAAGCAAGAATGAGCAGAGCCCACGTGGAGATAGTAGGATACCTGACCTGGCAGGAGAAGAGGGTTTCCCTTGGAATTCAGTGGTAAATCAGCATGTGGGGCAGCGAGGGGTCTAGAGAGATTTGGCTTGATGTAAGAGAAAATGGGGAAACATGTATATTTGGTTTTCAGAGAAATTCTACACTTAAAAAAAAAGATGCTTCAGAAAGGTTAATCTGACATTAATATAATGATTTGGACAGGGGAGAAGCTGACAATAAAGTTCTGTATTACTGAGAGGTGAAAGGGATTCCTTCCTGACTCCATGTTGGGGTAGCCATTAGAGCAATATTCTGGCCTCCTCCACCACTCCCCGCTGTGGGCTGCAGAAGTGTACAGTAAATTTGGATCAAGAAGCTCAACATTGGAGCCTCAACCTCTTTCTCTAGCCTTTCCGTGGGGGTTCTGCTCAGCTCCTCCATGCCCTAAATTTTGCAAAGGTAGGTCCCTACAGGGGGACCTGGGGTTATCAGGGCTGCCTGTGACTATGTGAGCAAATCTGGCTAATTTGGGACTGACCTATGAGCCAACCCATTTGAGGCTGGCTAACTCCTGGGCCCCATCTCTCGTTTGGTTCAGAACTCATTCAAAAGGAGGTGATGGCAACTGAATCTCCAAAATGTTATCGTGGAGGTCAATGAATGCATTAATCCAGAAATAGTATGAGGAAGACTTGAATGGTAGTATTTATGAGATGGATTGGGGGACTAGGACTCAGAAGTCCTGGAATCTAATCATACTTCAGCTACTAAATGGCTTTGCAACCTTCATTTAAGTTCTCTGAACCTCAAGTTCTTCATCTTTGAAACACGACTAATTCCTGACCTCCTCATCTCTCAGTACTGATGAAGGTCAGGTAGGCCAGGGTGGTTTACATGGCTCAGTGCCTGAGTCTCCTCCCCATTCCCCACAGGAGTCCACCAAGTTGGTCAGCACAGGGGCTCAACAATGGCACTCCAAATTTTTAAAGCCCCAGTGCTGGCCTTGGGAATGCTGGAAGCTATTTCTGCACTTTATAGTGAAGGACAAAATTATTTTCAAAACAGAGCTTCTCTTTGTTGCAGAAAATACCACCTTGTGAGACCTGTTCAGTTGTGCAAACCTTGTGCAAAGTTCACACTGTCTACCAAAGGGAACAGCTGGGACTCCAACTAAGTCATGCCAAACTCAAAGTCTGTGTCCAATGCAGGCTGGAGAGGGTTTTCCAAGGAAGGCTCAAGGGACACCAAAGTTGGGAGGATGTGCAGAACGGAGACTTGGCCAAGGGCTCCACCCCAGTAAGTCAGAGAGAGAAGTTGGTCATCACATCTGAAAGGGAACAATTGAGAGTCTGAGGGACCATGGACCCAGGACTCGGAGAGCCAGGGAGGGGAGCACAGAGCATGTATTAGTCCATTTTCACACTGCTGATAAAGACATACCCAAAACTGGGGGAAAAAAAAAGAGGTTTAATAGACTAACAGTTCCACGTGGCTGGGGAGGCCTCATAATCATGGCGGAAGGTGAAAGTCACTTCTTACATGGCGACAGCAGGAGATAACAGAACTTCTGCAGGGAAACTCCCCTTTATAAAACCATCAGATCTTGTGAGACCTATTCACTATCAAGAGAGCAGCACAGGAAAGACCCATCCCCATGATCCAATTACCTCCCACCAGGTCCCTCCCATGACACGTGGGGATCGTGGGAGCTACTATTCAAGATGACATTTGGGTGGGGACACAGCCAAACCACATCAGAGCAGAAGACAAAAGCAAGCAGAATGTGGTGTGGGAAGTTACCGAGGACAGCCACTGCACTTTACCACTCTACCTGTGCCACACTCTCCCTTCTGCAGTGGGACTGAGACCTCCCTGGGTTTGCCAAACAAAATGCCTGACATAATCTGGATCATTCTTGAAGCTGGAGGTGGGTTCCCATAGGCTTTGTTCATCCAGCTGGGAGAAGACCCTACTGATTGAACAAGGCACGGTATAAAAGAACATAGTCCTATTCATGCTCCTACTTGTAAATAGAGTTTGCTGCTTCTGTAGATGAACAAGCCTTTTAAAATTAATATGTAAGTGTGGGGAAGTAGACATGTGTATACTATTGGTAGGAGCATCAATTAGCATAACTACTTTGGATAATGATTTGGTAAATTTATATCAAATGCTAAAATGTGCTTGTCCCCAGACCCAACAATTCCACTTCTATACAGTTTTATTCTATACCCAAAGTCATTCTAATACACAAAACTATATTTACAAAGATGCTTATTGCAGCACTATTTGTAATATGAACAAACTACTAATCTATTAATAGTGAGTTGATTAAATAAGTTATGAACTGGGCGAGGTGGCTTATGCCTGTAATCCCAGCACTTTGGGAGACTGAGGCAGGCAGATCACTTGAGTCCAGGAGTTCAAGACCACCTGGCCAACATGGTGAAACCCTGCCTCTACTGAAAATACAAAAATTAGCCAGGCATTGTGACACGTGCCTGTAGTCCCAGCTACTCTAGAGGCTGAGGCATGAGAATCTCTTGAACCCAGGAGGCGGATGTTGCAGTGAGCTGAGATCGCGCCACTGTACTCCAGCCTGGATGACAGAGCAAGGCTCTATACAAAAAAAAAAAAAACCAGTTATGATACAGCGTTTCTATGAAATGCTATGTAACTATTTTTTAAAGGCGATATCCCTGTATCATGAAAGGATAGCTAATACATATTAAGTGGAAAAATAAATTGCCTGAGAATACATATAATATAATCCAATTTATGAAAAAAATATATATTATAAATTCTCATTTTAAAAATACAATAACATCTCCCTTATCTGTGTATTTATTTTCCATGGTTTCAGTTACCCACTGTCAACCTCAGTCTGAAAATATTAAATGAAAAATTCCAGAAATAAAAAATTTATAACTTTTTAACTTCACAACATTCTGATTAACATCACAAAATCTTGCCCTGTCCCACTCTATCCTGCTGGGATGTGAATTGTTGCTTTGTCCAGCGTATCCACACTGTACGTGCACCCCGTCAGTCACTTAGGAGCCGTCCAGGTTATCGAAACCACCGTCACAGCATTATAGTGCTCATGGTCAAATCACCCTCATTTTACACTTGTTTTGTGCTCCTGTGGCCCCAAAGCATCAAAGTAGTGATGCTGTAAATTTGGATATGCCAAACAGAAGCCATAAAATGCTTCCTTTAAGGGCAAAGGTGAAAGTTCTCTACTTCACAGGAAAAGAAAAAAAATCATCTACTGAGGTTGCTAAGACCCACAGGAAGAACGAATCTTCTATCCATGAAATTGTGAAGAAGGAAAAAGAAATTCACCATAATATGTATATAAGGTTCAGTACTATCCAGTCTCAGACATCCACTGGGGAATATAATTATACTTAAAAACAGTTCCATTCTCACAGGGACCCTTCCTTTTGTCCTTTTATAATCTCACTCACCTCTCTCCCACTACCCCTACTGCTAACCCCTAACAACCAGTATTCTGGACTCCACCCCTATAATTTGACCATTTCAAGAATGTTGTATAGGCAAGGCGCAGTGGCTCACGCCTGCAATCCCAGCACTTTGGGAGGCTGAGGTGGGCAGATCACGAGATCACGAGTTCAAGACCAGCCTGGCCAATGTGGTGAAACCTCGTCTCTACTAAAAATACAAAAATTAGCCAGGCCTGGTGACACACGCCTGCAATCCCAGCTACTCAGGAGGTTGAGGCAGGAGAATCGCTTGAACCTGGAAGATGGAGGTTGCAGTGAGCCAAGATCACACCATTGTACTCCAGCTTGGGCAACAGAGCTGAAGACTTCGTCTCAAAGAAAAAAAAAAAAAAAAAAAAAAGAATATTATATGAATGGAACCACACAGTGTGTAAATTTTGGCATTGGCTTTTTTAAATCAGCATAATTCCCTTGAGGTTCATCCAGGTTTTTGTATGTATCAATAGTTCACTGCCTATTATGGTTGAGTAGTATCCCATTGTATGGATGTACCATGGTGTGTTTAACCTTTCACTACTGAAGAACACCTGGGCCTTTTCTAATGTAGGCTATTAAAGATAAAGCTGCTAAGAACATTGGTGTGGTTTTAAGAGGACAACAAAGGGATCCCCGTGGTGATGGGAATGTGGTCATCGATACAGGAACCTACACACGAAATTAAACCCACACATGAGTTCAGGTAAAACTGGGGAAATCTGAATAGGATTAATGAGTTTGATCAATGTCCATATTCTGGTTGTGATATTGTGCTATAGTCTTGCAAGATAGGACCACCAGGGGAAACCGGATGAAGGGTATCTGGGATGTCTCTTTAGATTCTACATGTGAATCTGCAATTATCTCAAAATAAAAAGTTTAATTTTTTTAAAAAGTCACTTTTTTAAGAGCCCCAGGTAAAATGCACAGCTTGATTTCTGCTGTTTCTAACTTACTGAATAAACGTCACTGAGTATCTACTATGTGCTAAGCACTTGTGTTCAACTTTGCTTTATAACAAATTCATCTTCCTGTGCTATTACATAATTTAACAAAAACATTAATATTATTAACAATATTTTTAATCACAAATAATGAAAGTTATTAATAATTCTACTACTTTTAAAAAGTGTGTTAAGGCAGGAGTCATCCTTTTTCCCCATGCACCTCCGTGCCCCATTCAATCCCAACCCCAGGAAGTTCCATTTCCATTTGCTACCTCTCCTTCCTGACTCCAAAGTTGACACAGAAACACACACACATAAATATTTACACACATTTTTAAGCGAAAAGGGAAATCTGCTATGTGAAATTATCTATATCCTGCTTTTTCTTTTTATTTACTTATTTTTATTTATGCATTTATTTATTGAGACAGCTCTGTCACTCAGACTGGAGTGCAGTGGCACAATCTTGGCTCACTGCAGCCTCAAACTCTTGGGCTCAAGCAATCCTCTCGCCTCAGCCTCCCAAGTAGCTGGGACTACAGATGCATGCCACTATGCCTGGCTAATTTTTTAATTTTTTGTAGAGACAGGGTCTTGCTATGTTGCTCAGGCTGGTCTTGAACTCCTGGCTTCAAGCAAGCCTCCCACCTCAGCATCCCAACAGTATCACCAATTGGGATTACAGGTGTGAGCCACTGCGTTAGACTGCTTTTCCATTTAATAATAGATGAAGGATAAATTTTTAGATGTGAACATCAACTTTGGCCACTTATAATGGCCACACTGTGTTTATTCCATGCACACACCATAACTTATTCAATGACTTCCCTATAAACGGACATTTTGGTTGTCTCCACTGTTTTGCTATTATAAGCCAGTCTGAAACAAATGGTCTTACACATCTGTCATTACAAAATAGTGATACTATTTCTGTAGGGTAAGTCCTTGAAATGATATTGTTGAGTTCAAATATAGATATGTCTTTCACTGTTTATAGTTACAAATGTGGTTATTGGGGGAATTACAGATATTTTTGCTTCATGCACTCCTGTATCGCTTAAATTTTTGTAATGAACATACAACATTTCTAATGAGTAAAAATGTTTACTTTCCCTGTAAGAAGATGTGATACCCAAGCCCATCATCACTTTGGGTCATTCCCTGTAAGTCTTCCTTCCCAGAAATTCTCTGTTATTCAGTAATTCCCAACCAAGGCATTTTGGAAACATATGGGTGCAGAATTTGTCTGGTTGGTTGGTGGAGCGGCTGGTTGGTTGATTGAATGGGGTTGTTTGGTTTGTTAGGTTTGAGCTGTCAAAAGGACTGGGAGGAGCTTCTATTTGCATTTAGGACATGGATCCAAGTATGCTAATATCTTGCAATCTGAGGGAGAGTCCTACTTAAAACGCCAAAAGTGCCAGAACTGAGAACACCAAACCCTGTTTTAGAACATCAGATCCGTTTTTTCTTGCTCTCGCTTTTTTTTTTTTTTTTTTTTTTTTTGAGACAGAGTCTCGCTCTGTCACCCAGACTGGAGTGCAGTGCTGCAATCTCGGCTCACTGCAGGCTTCACCTCCCGGGTTCAAATAAGTCTCCTGCCTCAGCCTCCCAAGTAGCTGGGACTATAGGCATGTACCACCAAACCCAGATAATTTTTGTGTTTTTAGTAGAGACGGGGTTTCACCGTGTTGGCCAGGATGGCCTCGATCTCTTGACCTCATGATCCGCCTGCCTCGGCCTCCTAAAGTGCTAGGATTACAGGTGTGAGCCACCACACCTAGCCTTGCTCTGGCTTTTGATCTCGGTTCCTTTACCTTGATCGATCATGGACATTTAGGACTGCAATCTTTCTTGCTTCTTGATACACAAGTTTGCAGATCTCAGAGAGTAGGAAAAACATTAGTCTCGGCCTGTTGAACAGAATCTGTACCTGCCCAAGCCTACCACTGACAATGTGGGTGGCTAAGTAGCCGAGCACCCCATAGCCAGAAAGATACTTGTGCAGTCTCAGGTCCCCAGTCTGGCTATTTTTAGGTGAGCCCAAAACTGTAATATTGCAGAATTCCCTGATGCATTCTGCAGTCCAAAAGAGGCAGTTAAATTAAATTATGAAGCTTAGTTTTCATATTGCTGGCCTCCTAGTATTACCCAGAGAGGCTTCTACTTCCATTAGAGAATACTCAACTATGAATCTTGTCCCGAAATGCATTTGCATATGGCGCTGTGGACACTGATGAGCTCCAGTGACTTTCTAGCAATTATCCTCCACTCATGCCTAATTTCAGCACTCTTCCTGGTGCTGCCTGTGGGCTGGGGTTGGTAGCAAGAGAAGGATATGCACTGAGGAGATGGAAGAGGGGGGCATATCCTGGGAAGGAAGAGAATCCTGTCTTCACAATCAGCTCCCAAAAGAGAGAGATGAGGCTGTCATTTGTCCAAGAGAAACTTTCCCCAAGCCCTGACACAGAGGAATGCCATAAAGTCCCATAAATTTTACCCTCAAAGCTTTCTGAGAACCCCCCATGGTGAATTGGCTCTGTGGTCGACAGCACCTTAATTAGAATCCTGCTGTTGTAATAATAGTCTTAGTTCAGAGATGATTTTACAAAAAAAAAAAAAAAAAAAAAAAAAGAGCCACAGAGAGAGACAGCCTTCATTTGCTTGAAATCCTGTTTTTGCCTAGGGACATCTGGCAGCAATCATAATTTAACTCATTTGGACTGAATGAATGGTGTCTTATTTCCTCCCCTATGTGCAAACCCTTAAGTACGGCCATTAGAGGCTCTGGCATGTCATAGGATGTTGCTCTCTGCCAAGAAAGTCTTGTTCCCTATTTTTAAACTCGTAGAACACTCCCATTTTAGGATATTTTCTATCTGGACTAGCTTTTCAATCATTTGCATTACCTGTTTTTCTTTAAAAAATGATTTATCTTCTTTCCACACTGGGTCGCCTTTCTGGATCTACTGTTGGAATGTCCTTGGGTCTTGATCCAATGTTCCTTCTTGTTCAGTTAAGAAAGCAGCAGCCCTCATGTTATTGAAGAAACAAGCTACAATGGCTCCAAGGGTCAGCACTGGGGAAAACTTTGGAGTCTTGGGATTGTTCTGCATCCTGTTTGTGGCAGGTGTTACATGAATCGGTGCATATGATAAAATGTATAGACATTCACAAAAGTGAATACTACTGTTTATAATTATTTTAAATTCCAATGTCCAGGCCATATCTAGACTAATTAATCCAGAATTTCTGGGTGGGACCCCGGTATCTGTATTTTCGGAGGCTCCTCAGGAGTTTCAGCATGCAGTCAAGGCTAAGTAACAGGTGTCTATGCCAGTGTTGTGTGTTTGACCTGAATGTTGCTGCTGTGTCAGAAGCTCAGCCCACACTTCCCAGAGGCAAACTCTATCAGTCGGGGCCCACCTGCCAGAGTCTGGAAGGGAGGTGGGTTTTTATGATTTGATTCTCCAAGGGATGCTTTTCTTTATGAACAGTGTCTCAGAAGCCCTGCCAATTCCCAGGGTCTTGAGCCTGCCAGCCCCCAGGCTGGAATTATACCCCTGGCTCTCCTGGGTCTCCAGCCTGTCGACTCACCCTGCAGATCTTGGGACTTGTCAATTTCCATTATGTCGTGGGCCAATTCCTTATAATATATCATATAGAGAAAATCACAAATGTGTGCTTCCATGTCTCTGGAGGACCCTATGATTCTTAAAATTCATAGCCACTGAGACATAGAGGAGACCTGGGCCCTGTGTTTCTAAGCTATTTCAAATTCACTCTGGTCCCTTCCCTCACCCAAGCACAGAAGATTAAAGGCATTAAGAATTGGCATATGTGATCAGAGACAGGAAAGGGCTCTATGATAGCTAATTTTATGTGTCACCTTGGTTGGACCCCAGGGTGCCCAAACATTATTCTGGGTATCACTGTGAGGGTGGATGACATTAGCATTTGAATCAGGAAACTAAGTAAATTAAATTGCCTTTGCTAATGTGGGTGGGTCTTGTCCAATCAGTTGAAGGCCTAAATAGAGCCAAAAGCCTGACCCTTCACTGGGACATCAGCTGTTTCCTGCCTTCAGATACAAAATGAAACATGGGGTCTTGGTCCTGCTGACCTTCACACTGGAACTACACCACTGGCTCTCCTGGGTCTCCAGCCTGCCAACTCACCCTGCAGATCTTGGCAGTTGACAATTCCTATTATGTCATGAGTCGATTCCTTATAATATAAATGATATAGATAAAGCCATAACTTTGTGCTTCCATTTCTCTGGAGAACCCTATGATTCTTAAAATTCATAGCGACTGAATTTTAGGTAGGACTAAACTGTAGCAGTTTAAAGGTAACAAGAAGACACTGGCTGGGTGTTGTGGTTCACACCTGTAATCCCAGCATTTTGGAGGCTGAGGTGGGAGGATCACTTGTCCAGACAAGCCTAGACAACAAAGTGAGGCCCCATCTCTACAAAAAAAATACAAATAATTTAAAAATTAGCTGGGCATGGTGGTACATGCCTGTAGTCCAGGAGGCTGAGGCAGGAGGATCACTTGAGTCCAGGAGTTCCAGTCTGCAGTGACCCATGATCGCACCACTGCACTCCAGCCTGGGTGACAGAGAGACACTGTCTCTAAAAAAAAAAAAAAAAGGAAGAAAGAAACAAGAAGCCATTGAACTGGACCTTCTAGAAAGACTACAGAGAATGTGGTCGGCTCACATTCCTTGTCTATGATGCACTCCTCTTCCAAGATGGTACCACCTGAGACCCTCAGCACATGGACCTCACTCCATCACACTGCTCCAAACATAAGAACCATAAGGAGAGGGAGGGAGACATTTCACTGATTTTTCCTCAAATATAATAAATACATCCTCTTTGGAACAAATTTAGGAGAGTTAGTTCAAATCGTTGATGATTGCTTCCATTTCCGTTGTTTTGTTTCCTCCTTGGGAATATCCAAATTTCTGAGCTTGACTCTCACTTTGCTATCCTCGATAGCTATTATCCAATCCCACATCGTCATGGTTAAAAGTCCTTGTACTTTTTCTCTGCATTCCAGAAGAGATTAGCACATGTGTTCTCCACTTCAGTGGTTCCATTGTTTTCGTGTCCAATCTGCCTTCAGGGTGGCTTGTAATTCAGCTGTTGCATTTTAATTTCTTTGCAGTAATTCCTTAATTTATCCACCTGTCTTTTTGTCTTATCCTCTTAGATTTTCATTGCAGCATGTTTTCCCATTATAAATTTCTATCCCTTTGTCACTAAAGCCATGTCTTCTTGCATCCTATTATGCAAATTACTTCCTGAAATGTTCTACTTCTGCAGCAGGTTGTTTCAGATTTTCCTCTCCATCAGAATCTTCAGGAGGATGTTTTCTTTCCCATCTTTTGCAGTAGGATTTCATAAGCCCCATGATGAAATATTTGCTATTGACTTATTCAATAAAGAGAAGATATCCAACTGGACTCAATGTTTACTAAGATTTAAGGTGTGTGGACTGTCCTTGTCCCTGAACTCTCTCCACTGGGGTACTGGCTGAATTTTATTCTCAAATATGCAGCTGGTGAGGAGTTGATATATTCAGCTTCTGGATCAATTTCCATGTCTAGGAAGCTTTTATCCGATGTGATTCTGTTAAGCTAAAATGTCATCAAAATTTTATTTCCAGCACCTGGCTCTCTGATAGCGGGAATAGATGGAGAACATATAAAACTACAATCCCCAAAATGTACTGCTATCGAGTTCTTTTAGTCTCTGACTCCCACAGAGAATGCTTAATCTAGAGGGGGCGGGGTTGGGGGTGGGTTAAAGGTCTTATGGTGAAATCTCCCTTGCCACCATCCCTCTTCCTCTTACTACCTGTGAGTAGAGGCAGAACAACTGGCAAAGATGACATGAGGGTGTGGAAGAGCCCCCTCACTGCTTCAAAAAGCAATGGCAACTCAGTACATCTTTCATTCTTTCTTTCACTGAATACCTCTTACACATCTACTCTATGTTGGCACCCTTCTAGGTGTGAGGTTGCAACAGCAAAACAAAGCTCCCCACTCACAGAGGTAATATTCTAGTGGGTACAGAGTTGATGAGCAGCCAAAGAAATGCATTAGGTGGATAAATGCTATGAAGAGACATCAAGCAGAGGAGTGGGAGAAAGTGCTGGAAGGGGCTGAAGGATTCAAGAAAGTCATCTCATAAATTGATTTTTAGCAACTCCTTTTCCTCCAAAATAAATAATATATGCAAGCCCAATATAGAAAATAGAAAATGTCTAGTTAAAATGAGGCACACAGCTGCTTCTACCCCATGGGGACCCTCAGTTATGTTCACAAATGCTAGCACCTCAAGGGACACAACTGGAAAACCACTGAAATGAGCCCATGAGGCACATGTGTTTTCAGTATTTTCAGTGGTAGTAAATATCCATCCATAGAGAGTGGGTTTGACTTTTGGAAACAACTAATAGTTATTCAGAACGGTCCTGGTTCCTGAAGCGAATAAACTATCTGGGAACTATCATTTGGATTCCAAAGAAAGTGAGAAAATTTTAATTTATTTTTCTTACAAGTCTTATAAACTGACAGTTTGAAATGGTAAAAATTGTGAAAAAAAACTACAAATTGTTCTAAGAATGACCTCATTTTGGGAATAATGGGATAGACTTCTAAAGTGGGTCCTTTAAGATAAATTACTTATTTCAGTGAGTGACTTCTGATATGTTTATTTAAAAACCAGTCCCATGGCCGGGTGCAGTGGCTTACACCTATAATCCCAGCACTTTGGGAGGCTGAGGCGGACGATCACTTGAGGTCGAAAGTTCGAGATCAGCCTGGCCAACATGGTAAAACCCCATATCTACTAAAAAATACACAAATTAGATGGGCACAGTGGCAGGTACCTGTAATCCCAGCTACTCAGGAGGCTGAGGCAGGAGAATCTCTTGAACCTGAGAGGCAGAGGCTGCAGTGAGCCAAGATTGTGCCACTGCACTCCAGCCTGGGCAAAAGAACGAGACTCTGTCAAAAAAAAAAAAACCAGTTCCATGGAAGGAAGCAATATCAGATGTTGAAGAAAACAAATGTTTTATATTCTGACAGACCTGAGTTTAAAGTCCA
Organism: Homo sapiens; assembly: GCF_000001405.40. Lineage (NCBI taxonomy): Eukaryota > Metazoa > Chordata > Mammalia > Primates > Hominidae > Homo > Homo sapiens. The sequence continues at coordinate 26,715,232 of NC_000008.11, read as the reverse complement.
GGTCTACCACATGGTACTTAATGTAACTTCAGTCAAGGTACTTAACCTCTTTGGTTTTGGTTTTGGTTTTTTGGGGAGAGGGAGTGGATTTTATTTATTATTATTATTATTATTATTATTATTATTATTATTATTATGTGTAGACAAGGTCTCACTCTGTCACCCCAGCTGGAGTCCAGTGGCACAAACATGGCTCACTGCAGACTCGACTCCCCTCCCACCTCACCCTCCCCAGTAGCTGAGACTACAGGCATGTGCCACCGTGCCCACTTAATTTTTTAATTTTTTCTGGAGACACGATCTCACTGTGTTGCCCAGTCTGGTTTCAAACTCCTGGGATCAAGCAATCCACCTGCTCAGCTTCCCAAAGTGCTGGGATTACAGGCACGAGCCACTGTACCTGGCCTTACCCTCTTTAAGCCTAAGTTTCCCCCTCTGTAAAATGAAAGTGAAGAGAAACTTCACCTCAGAGGAAATACCCAGAACCAATAAACACGCAGAGATGTTCAACATCATCCTGTTCAGGGAAATCTAAACCATACAATAAGATGCCACTGACACCAATTTGGTGAGAAAAAAATATATAGAAGTTTTACAATAGCAAGTGTTGGACAGCATGTGGAGCCATAGATTTTTTTTTTTTTTTTAAGATGAAGTCTCACTCTGTTTCCCAAGCTGGAGTGCAGTGGAGCAATCTTGGCTCACTGCAACCTCCACCTCCCAGGTTCAAGCGATTGCCATAGAACTTTTTATAAATCAGTCCTAGATGTATAAATGCGTGCAACTACATTGAAAAACTGTTGGATGCATTTCTTTTATAGTTGCACATTTATATAACCTGTGACTACTCAGAAATTCAACTCCTAGAAATATATACAAGAGAAGATGTACTCATGTACAAGAGATAAACACAAGCAATACCATACACACACACACACACACACACACACACACACACACACAACAATGTGCATAGCAATACCATCACAAAAGTAAAATCCTGGACATAACCCAAATGCTCACCAACTAGAGAGTGTATCAACTTTGACATAGTTGCACAATGGAATATAACAGAAGATAAAATCAATGAACTATAGCAACCTACAATATGGATGAATCTTAGCAAAATAACATTCATTATAAAAAGTGAGATGATATAAAAAGGAACACAAGCAAATGATGGACACAGGATCCAGCACGGGGGCTACCTCAGTGGGGAGGAATTAGGGAGATGGAAGTAGAAACCTTCTCACTAGATGCAGTTATTATCAAGATCTTAGCTTTTGTTTTCGGTGGTGGGTTCAGGGTGTTTATCACATTAAGATCACATAGCCAACCATGTAAATAAAAGTAGACCACGTATGGTCCAGTTATAAGCATTATGATTCTAGGCTGGGTGTGGTGGCTTATGCCTGTAATCCCAACACTTTGGGAGGCTGAGGTGACTGGATCACTTGAGCCCAGGAGTTCAAGACCAGCCTGGGCAACATGCGAAATCCCATCTCTAAAAAAAAATTAAAAATTAGCCGGGAATGGTGGTGCATGCCTGTAGTCCCAGCTATTCAGGAGGCTGGGGTGGTAGGATGGCTTGAACCTGGGAGGTCGAGACTGCAGAGAGCCAATATCATGACACTGCACTCCAGTCTGGGCAGCAGAGTAAGACCAGGTCTCAAAAAAAAAAAAAAAAGAATATGATTCTAGATTATGATTAACCCAATTCTGTGCACCTGGGATCCAACAAAAATAATAATATAATAAACTAGAATTGGGCTGAGCAAGACTTGGTCTAGCATTAGTCTCTGCATGTCTTACTAGAAATTCTCTTAATATGCAATATGCAGTACATGACCAGTCATTAAATGTGTTTATGAAGGAAAATAAAAAACAGAGTGAGGCTAATAAGACTTCCTTCACATGGTTATTGTGAGGGCTTGAGTGACAATAAGAAACGTATGTAAAGCAGCCGACACTGAGAATAAACAAAAAAATTAAATCCTTAATTCTAATTCTTTACTTCTCAACAATCACAATAGTGTAATGTTATTTCTTCACATTTTCTTGCTAAGATAAGGAATATTAAATGGAGGGTGGATTTAGAATTACAAGACCTAGGCTGGGCACAGTGGCTCACGCCTGTAAACTCAGCACTTTGGGAGGCGAGACGGGCAGATCACCTGAGGGCAGGAGTTCAAGACCAGCCTGGCCAACATGGAGAAACCCTGTCTCTACTAAAAATGCAAAAATTAGCCGGGCATGATGGCATGTGCCTGTAATCCCAGCTACTCAGGAGGCTGAGGCAGGAGAATCGCTTGAACCTGGGAGGCAGAGGTTGCAGTGTGCCAAGATCGCGCCACTGCACTCCAGCCTGGGTGACAGAGTGAGACTCCATTAAAAAAAAAAAAGAATTAGAACATCTAGTTTTCTTAACTGCTGGCTGATGATTTTGGACAAATCATTTGAACTCAAAGAGTACAGCTTACTCATCTGAAAAAAGACCAATGTAAATTAATATGTTTGAAACCCCTGAACGTTGTACCCATGTTCATTTGTGGTCTGTGCTTTTTTCTCATTTTATGAAATATTGCATTTATTTACATATTTTTCTCTCTGTCATTCTCAAGAATACCTAAAATACAGGATGGAATTATTGGCCAATCTTCTTGCTGTCATTTACTCTATGGAAATTACAGCAGTTTAATCAACAGTAACTAACATCATGAGTGCTCAGGAAATAAGAAAAAACTGGAAATCTCCACTAACAAAAAAATTCCTATATGTGACCATATTTCTTTTAAATCATTGTAGAAGAGTTTTAAGACTCAAGCAAAGCACTGGAACCCAAATTGTTCATCAGATTAATTAGTGCAGATCAAGGCCCAGAAAGAGTGGGATACAAGATGAATTAAAGAGAAGTAAGTGGATAAATGCAGAACCAAGAGAGTTCCAGAACATGGAAAATTTTGCAGCACTTCTTGGGGAGAGCAGGAGCCTGGCTTTACTGCAGATGGGATCTGTGCAATAAGGAAGAAGGAGCCTCAGAAGCTGAGAGGAGAGGTGGATGAAGGGGCACTGCAGATGATGGTGGTGTCTCTGTTATCATTCCATAAACTAGGGATGGGAGTGCCCCGGGCACAGGACGTGACCTAGTGCTGCACACACTTTGTCCCACAAACACATACACATGCACTGTCACACATATGCAATTCTCTTAGGCAGTTCTCAAGCAGAATTAAAATCTGCCTGAAAATGTTCACGTTCCCCAAAATAATGGGGATGCATGATGATATTTTATTTATTTCAAGCTACCACCCTAATGGACATGAAAAATATTCGAGTCACTAATTCAGTCTCTCAATCGGTTTGACAATATATTTACTGACCATCTATTATAAAAATATCACTACTGCTTGAGATGAAATAAAGTATGTAAGAGGGTACAGTATGTGACTCACGGTGGACAAGTGAGCAAACAGGAGGGGGAGGAAAAGGAAAAGGAGAAGAGAGAGGAAGATGAACTCTCACATACCACCAGTGAGACAGTAAATGGATCCCATTATTTTGGAAAATAGTCTGTCATTATCTCACCAAGTTTTAGATGCAGACTCCCTATAACTTAACAATTCTATTCCTAAGTAATTACTGGACAGAAATGCATGTTTATGCACTCTAAGATATGGTCAGAGTAGCATTACGGTTGGATAGAACAAAAGTGAAAACAAAATGCCCACAGAAGAATAGATAGACTGGCCAAAAAAAATGGATAAACTGTGGTGTGCTCATTCAATGGAATATTATACAGCAATGAAAATGAAGAACTACTGTTACATACAGCAACATGGATGAATCTTAAAAACTAAACGTTCAAACAGACACTGGAGCCTACTAGAGGGGGGTGGCTGGGAGCAGGGAGAGGATCAAGAAAAATAACTAATGGGTACTAGGCTTAATACCTGGGTGATGAAATGATCTGTACAACAAGCCCTCATGACACATGTTTACCTATATAACAAATTGCACATGTACCCCCAAACTTTAAAGAGTTAAAAAAAAAAGTAAATGTTCAACAAAACAAACCAGACACAAAAATATTTACTCTGAATAATTATATTTATATAAAGGTCAAAATCAGGAAAAGTTAAGCAAATTTTAGGGATGCATACATAGGTGATAAAACTATAAAGCATGGGCACAAAAAATAGCTAGAAAAATGAATAAGACCTAGTATTTGAAAGCAGAACAGAGGGACTATAGCCAATAATAATTTAATTGTATATTTTAAAATAACAAAGAGTATACTTGGATTGTTTGTAACACAAAGGATAAATATTTGAGTGAATAGATACCCAACTTTCCAAGATGTGATTATTACCCATGGCATGCCTGTACCAAAATACCTCGTGTACCCCGTAAATATATCTACCTACAATGTACCCACAAAAATTAAAAAGTAAAAAAAAAAATGTTTCAAGAAAACATCAAGCAAAACAAAGAAAGAAGGGAAGGAATTGTGATCTCTGTGATGGTTAATTTTATGGTCAACTTGGCTAGGCCACAAAGTTCCCAGATATTTGGTCAAATACAATTCTAAGTGTTGCTGTGAAGGCTATTTTCAGATGTGACTGACATTTATAGCAGTAGACTTTGAGTGCACCAGATTCTCTTCCATAATGTGGGAGGGCTTCATCCAATCATTTGAAGGCATTAAGAAAAAAAAGACTGAAGTTCCCAGAAGATGAGAGAATTCTGCCTCCAGATTGCCTTCAGACTCTAGCGGCATTCTTCCACCAGTCTCCAACCTGCACGCCTATTTGCAGATTCCAGAGTTGCCAGCCTACACAATCACATGAGCCAATTCTTTTTATTCTTGATCTGTGTGTGTGTGTGCATGTGTGTGTGCATGTGTGTGTGTGCGTGTGTGCGTGTGTCCTATAGGTTCTGTTTCTCTAGAAAATCCTGACTAACATGATCTAGAAGGGGCATGTAGGAGCCTTTGGGTGGCTAGGAACATTCAATTACTTGTCCCAGGTGGTAGTTACATAGATGTTCACCTCAATAGTTCATTAAGCCATGTGGTTCCATTTTATGTACTCTTCTCTGTGTGTATTATATTTTACAATAAAAGTGCTACTTTCTAGCTAGCACTGAGAAGTTCACAAATAAACATCAAGTGGCATACCTTGTAGCTGGATAGCTGCGGAGTCATGATAAAAATCCCAAAGTCGTGATGTCATATTTTCTTCCACTGATTTATCTTTGGCCCCTCCCATTCCCTAAAAAACTCAAGTCTTCTTCCTATAAACCCCCACACTACTTTATACCTTTTTCTGTCTTTTCCTCTTTCCTTAGTGAGACTCCAAACTTCTTGAGGAGAAGATTTACATCTTTTTCATTTTTGCATCCACTTTTGAGCATAGCAGACAGTAGGGGCTCATATCATTTTCTTAGATTAATAAATAAATCAGATAATTAATAAATAAATAATTCTGTTCTGAGTAATGAACCCCCAAATACAATTTTTCATGGTTCTGAATAATAAGGGAATTGTGTAAACTAGAATGATCAAAAAAAATGATACGGCAGCCAGGTGCGGTGGCTCACACTTATAATAATCCCAGCACTTTGGAAGGCCAAGGCAAGAGGATTGCTTGAGCCCAGGAGTTCAAGATCAGCCCAGGCAACATACAAGACCCTGTCTCTACAAAAAAATTAAAAATTAGCCAGGCATGGTGATGTGTGCCCATGATCCCAGTCACTTGGGAAGCTGAGCTGGGAAGATTCCTTTAACCCAGGTGGTTGAGGCTGCAGTGAGCTGTGATCATGCCACTGCACTCCAGCCTGGGCGGCAGAGCAAGACCCTATCTCAAAAAAAAAAGAAAAAGAAAACATATTATGGAATTTTTGCTGGATTCTGAAGGATAGTAGAATTTTATAGGAATGCCTACAAGAAACACAGCCGTTCCCCTCTTCACTTACAGAATATGTAAAGACAGAAGTGAACATGGAGGGCCTGCAGAACAATGGTGATGACTCCAGGGATGGGACAAACAAAGAGCTGAGAAGTAGAACAAGGCCAGTTGAATAAAAAAAGCCTAGGCGAGAAGACTGGGCCTGATTCTCTAGGACACAGAAACCATTTATAATTTTCTGATCCTGTTTACTTTGCATGAAGACTCCACCTCAGGAAAGGGAAACCTGAAAACTCCAGGTCTCCATGTGATGAGACTTGTCACAACTAAAAGATCTAAATTCTATGTCAACACATTCCCAGTGCTACTGATGGAGAAGTGAAACGCTTAGATTTCCTCTTTTTTCTTTGGTCTTCAGCCAGGGAGAAATGTAATGACTGCTCAGGTATTAACAGAGGACTTTAAAACATAGAAAATGATCCTCTTGGGAAAATGGCCTTTGGTTTCCATCCTGTAAGCATGAGATCCAAGTTCTTAAATAAAATTACTGAACATAGGATACAGAAGGTCGAGATCCCAAAACTAGTTGGATTGGGTTTTGTGCACAGAGCTGAGTTACATTCTCTAATAATTTATATGGTTTTTTTGTTTCTTTATTGTTTGTAGAGATGAAGTTTTGCCACGTTGCCCAGGCTGGTCTTGAACTCCTAAACTCAAGCCATCTGCCTGCCTCAGCCTCCCAAAGTGTAAATGGTTATTTTGATATCAAGTAGACTTAATCAATACCAAATGAGACTTCTACTTTTTGTGTACTGAGCTCATGTGTCTTAGTGTCTAGGAAAATCAATAACCTCTGAGGTGACACCAATAACACCATAGAGATTGGCAACCTTTGGGGAATAGCTTCAGCCATCTCTGCTGTTGTCCTCTGTGAAAACTTCCTCATTGCTTGTCTTTTTCTTTAGGTATATGTGGGCTCCTAATGCAGCTTTTTTTTTAGCTCTATAGCTTTTCTCTTTTCTTTTATTACATTCATAAAAGAAAGATAAAGCATCCCTCCATAATTGAATCTGGTGTTAACAAAAACAAATAGAATTAAGAAAAAGCAGGCAAAAATGAGAGATGGGGAAAGTATCTGAACAAAATGGTTGAAATTGTGGGCAATTTTCCAGTTTGATTTATGCTGCTCTTAATTGCAATTCCCAGGAGCCTCTTCTGCTTGTTCTTTAATAGGAGAGGGGATGAATTATGCTTTGTCCTGGAGTGAACCTGAAATAATGGATGGCAAGGGCATTCAATAATTATGCTCTGCACATATGAAGGAAACTTCCCCGCCTGGGATGAAAGCTTAGCTCAGTTGGTTTGTAATTCCCCTAAAGGCCACAGCCAACACAGTGTGGATTTGAATGCCACAGTATCACTTCACCTACTTTAAAAGAAGGTGCTTGTTGTAAGTACTTTGTTCTGGAATTCAGAGAGAATGTTTCATACCTCAATGCAAAACTGAGAGAGAAGCAACTTCTAAGTAATTATTAAACTATAACATCTAATAACATGTGTTCTCCTATATAAAAGTAAAATCTCTTTTAAAGACAAATACAAATGGACAAAAACATATAACTTTTGTTTTTCTACACAGAGACAACCAGTGCTAACTTATTCACATACCTTCTTTTGATACATCATATGTGAAGGTGTTGTTACGAATTGAATGTTTATGTTGCCCCAAAATCATATGTTGAAACCCTACCTGCCATGTGATAGTATTGGGATGTAGGGTCTCTGGGAGATAAGTAGATTTAGATGAAGGTCATGAGGGTAGAGCTCTTTTCATGGGATTACTGTATCTATAATTAAAGAAAGGACACTAGGACTCCCCTTATACGTTTTTTTCTTTTTTTTTTTTGAGACAGTCTCGCTCTGTTACCCAGGCTGGTGTGCAGTGGCACAATCTTGGCTCACTGAAACCTCCGCCTCCCAGGTTCAAGCGATTCTCCTGCCTCAGCCTTGCAAGAAGCTGAGATTACAGGCATGTGCCACCATGCCTGGCTAATTTTTGTATTATTAGTAGATACGGGGTTTCACCATGTTGGCCAGGCTGGTCTCAAACTCCCGACCTCAAGTGATCTGCCTGCTTAGGCCTCCCAAAGTGCTGGGATTCCAGGCATGAGCCACCAGTCCAGCTTCCCCTTATAATTTTGCTACACAAAGAAGAGGCCATGTGCGCACACAGAGAGAAGGCTGCCATCTACAAGCCAGGAAGTGGGCCCTCACCACGAACTGACTCGGCTCGCACCTTGATCTTAGACTTCCCAGCTTTTAGAACTGGGAAAAATTGAATTATTGTTGTTCACAAGTCACCCAATTCATAGCATTTTGTTTTAGCAACCCAACCAGACAAAGATAGGTGTATCTTTTTAAATGTGCACCAATGGTTTTCCATCCCTCTTCACTCCCACCTTTCTTATTTACCTTGCCCAGGTGAGAAGCGTTCCATATGAGAAAGAGAAACGTTTGTGTGAAAGATGCTCCTCTGGATAGCAAAGTGGTTACAAGTAGGAGCTCCAGGCTGCTATGTTTAAATCTACCACTTATTAGCTCTGTGATATTAGACAAGCTGTTTAACCTCTTTGTGCGTAAGTTTCCTTAACGAAAATGAGATACGTACAGTATCAACTTCAAAAGACTCTTGTAAGTGTATGGATAGCATTTAGAACAATATTTGTTATATGTTAATCTCTCTATAAGAATTTGCTGTTATTATTCCTAATACTATTAAGAAATCCTAAGATGGAGTACCACTAGCAAGGATCTGAAACTTGAGGAAGAGGGCAGAGAGACATGGGGAAAAGAAGGAGAGGAAGAGAAACCAGAGAGAGAAGGGACTCCTAGATACCCACCAGAAGCTGACTCCATAAGGATCAAAAGGCAATGTCAAAGAAAAATTATGCTAAGCCTAGCATGGGACAGAACCTTTTTGTATGGTGTAATTCACAGTTCATTGTGAAAGAAAAACAGTATTCCTGATAAAAATGCTTACACAATTTTCTGATAAACTTTAATGGGATTAAGACCTGTTCTGGGAAATCATGAATCATGATCTGCACTGACTGTCCATCAAGATTCTAGTGGACACACATCACTGGGTGCAGGGGACAGTCCCAGGTTTGTCTCAGTGTAATCATTAATAGTGTGCCCTTGCTCCCTCAAAGGTGTGCCAGTTGGGACAATAAATTCTTAGGACAAATATTCTTTTATTTTTTCTATAACTTTTTAGTATATAGTTTAAAAATCACTATCTGATAATTCTCTTTTCCCCTAAAATGTGCCTTCTGAAAGTGAGTTTTTTTAATATATTAATGTTTTTTCCTTTACATTAATGTTAAAATGAAACTTTGACACATATTTTAATTCAACTACTACAAAATATTTTATTTAACAACTTGATAGGTAAGAGAGAAGATGTCTGTTCCCATCCTCTGATATGGTTATGATCTCTTAGAAATAAGTTTGTTACGAGCAAGAAATAATTAGAATTTAAAATTTGAAAGACAGTATTATTTATATTAGCACCAAAATATGAAACAGCTATAAATTTTTTAACATACAGGATCTATGTGAAGAAACTACAAAATACTGGTGGAAGAACTCAAAGATCTAAATAAATGGAAAAATATTCCATTTATATGAATGTCTTAGTCCATTTTCTGCTGCTATAGCAGAACACCACACACTGAGCCATTGGTAAAGAACAGAAATTTATTAGGATCACAGTTCTGGAGGCTGGGAATTCCAAGAGCATGGCGCCAGCATCTGGTGAGGGGCATGCCATGACAGAAAGCATCACATGGCAAGTGAGCACACAAAACAGTGAGAGAAGTGGGACCAAACTTATCATTTTATCAGGAGCCTACTCCCACAATAACAAGCCTGCTCCCACATAGCAGCATGAATCCATTCTAGTCATCTCTGAAAGACCCCACCTCCTAAAACTATTACAATGGCAATTAAGTTTCCAACACATGAAAATATGGCGGACATATTCAAATCATAGCAATGGATAAGAAGACTTAATATTGTCAAGATGTCAGTTCTCTCCACCTAGGTCTATAGATTCAATGCAATTCCAATCAAAATCCCAGCAAGTTATTTTGACAAACTGATTCTAAAGTCTATATGAAAAGGCAAAAGACCCAGAATAACCAACACAAAATTAAAATAGAACTAAGTGGGACTGACACTACCCTTCAAGACTTATTAAAAGGCTAGACTAATCAAAACAGTGTGGTATTGGTGAAAAAATAGACAAGCAGATAAATGGAAAAGAATAGAGAGCTCAGAAATAGACCCATCCAAATATAGTCAACTGATCTTTGATAATGGAGCAAAGTCAATAAAATGAAGCAAAGGTAGTCTTTTCAACAAACAATGTTGAAACAACTGGACAGGCACAAGAAAAGAAAATGAATGTAGGCACAGACCTTATATCTTTCACAAAAATTAACTCAAAGTGGATTATAGACCCAAATATAAAATGCAAAACTATAAAATTCCTAGAACATAGCATCAGAAAAAAATCTAGATAACCTTGGGTTTGGCAATGATAATTAAATATAATACCAAAAGCACAATCTGTAAAAGAAAAATTGTTATGTTACACATCATTAAAATTAAAAACTGCTCTGCAAAAGACATTGTTCAGAGAATAAAACAACAAAGCCCACAGGCCTGGAGAAAATATTTGCAGAACTCATATCTGATAAAGAACTGGTATCCAAAAGAGACCCCCAAAAGTCATAAAACTCAACAATAAGAAAACAAGTACCCAAATAATAGGCAGCAGATATGAACAGATGCATCACCAAAGAAGATATACAGATGGCAAATAAGTATATAAAGAGATGCTTAATCATATGTCATTAGGGAATTGCAAATCAAAACAACAATGAGATATCATTACATAACACATTAGAATGGCTAAAATCCAAAATACTACAACACCAAATGCCGGCAAGGGTGTGGAGCAGTAAGAAATTTCACTCATTACTGGTGGGAATAAAAAAATGATACAGCCACTTTGGAAGACATTTAGCAGTTTCTTACAAAATAAAGCATACTCTTACCATATGATCCAGCAATCACACTCCCTGGTTATTTACCCAAATGAGTTGAAAACTTATGTCCACATACATAAAAGTGTACATTAATGTTTGTAGCAGCTTTATTCATAGTTGTGAAGCTTGGACGTCACCAAGATGTCCTTCAACAGGTGTATAGATAAACAAACTGAGACATCCATACAATGGACTATTATTAGCCAGTGGTTAAAAGAAATGAGCTATCAAGCCATGAACAGACATGGAGGAATCGTAAATGCACATTGCTAAGTGAAAGAAGCCAGTCTGAAAAGGCTACATATTCCAAGTTTATGGCATTTTGGAAAAGACAACTATGGAGACAGTAAAAAGACCAGTGGTTGCCAGAGATTTAGGGAGAGTGGGGAATGAACAGTTGGCGCACAGGAATTTTTAGGGCAGGGAAACTCCTCTGTATGATACCATCATGGTGGATACACGTCATTATACATTTATTAAGTCCATAAAATATATAACACTAAGAACAAACACTACTGTAAACCAAGGACTTTAATAATAGCATATCAATATTGACTCATTAGCTATTACAAATGTACCACACTAAAGCAAGATGTTAATAATAGGAGAAACTGGGTGGGAGGTAAACAGATATATGGGAATTCTGTATTTCCTGTTCACATGTCTATAAACCAAAACTGCTCTGAAAACATAAAATCTATCAACAAAATTTTGTTTTCTTTCTGACAATAAACTTTGCCTGCACAACCTTCCAGATTTTTTTTTGCATAAATGAATAATTAAATAGGCAAAAATGAAATCATATTATCAATATTCTCCCATAGGCTTTATCTTTTTTTGTAACTATGTACTGTGAGAATTTTTCCAGTTAGTAAACATTCTACATTATTTTGGCTATATTGATTTCCATTTATGTATACCATAAGGGATTATAGCAGTTTCCCATTTTTTGATATTTAGGTTGGTCCCGACTTCTGCTGAATGAATAGCACTATTAGAACATTCTTTCAGTTATATCTTTTTCAAACATGAGTGTTTCTTTGTTTAGGATAAGCTCCTAAATGCAAAATCGTTTGATACAGTCATATGCATCATTAAGGCTTTTCATATTTATTGCCAAATTTTCCCCCAGAAACATCTGTTTCCACTCCTTTCAGTCTGCTCCCTTGTGGCACTGAGTGTTATCATTCTATAAAATTGATGCTAACTCTATAGGCAAAAGATACCTCATTATTATTAGTTTTAATTTGCATTTTACTACTAATGAGCTTAAATGTATTTTAATATGTTTCTTAGCCGTCTAGAATTCCTTCTTATATTTTACTGAAAGGTATTTATTTTTAAGTTAATTAACATATTAAAAGAAATGCTGGTCAGGGATCTATTTTTATTTTTTTTAAAGACATAAATTTCCAAATCTATAGGGCCTCATATTCACTAACATAACTAATTCAAGTGAATAAAACAGAGGATAATAATTAATCTTACTTTAAGTTTTTAATTTGCAATTCTGTTAGTGGCTATCTGCTGGGGGAAAAAAAAAGCATAGCACCTATTAAGCATCAGAATCCCAGCTGGAACTGTTTCAAATAAGGTTGTTATATTGCACAATTGAGTAGGAAAAAATGAATTTACAGGAAGATAATAAAAACAAAAGTAGGAAGGCTACTTCTATATGCTAACCTTTCCATTTCACCTATACCATGGTGAGGTTATGCTATTTTTTTTTTTTTTTTTAGATACAGGGTCTCACTATGTTGCCCAGACTGGTCTTGAACTCCTGACCTCAAGCAATCCTCCTGCCTCAGCCTCCCAAGCACCTTAGGTTCCCAAAGTGCTAGAATTACAGGTTTGAGCCACCATGCCCTGACTGTACTTTGATTTTAATGAACTATGTTTGCTATTAATAGCTGGCATGGATTCCTTGAAGTAACTGAGCCATCACCCAAAATGTGGCAGAATGATAAATCCTTCATTTTACTTACTTAGAAACTCACCATCCTGCTACTAATAGGCTTACAGCCAATTTTTAAAGCATTAGGGAGAGAACGGGAGAAGTTCACCAGTAAATAAGGCACCTCAATACACCTCTGAAGGACAGGATACAAATGGAGGGGTGTGGCCAGTGAAGGAAAGCTGAGCATGCGTGGCTTTGAACCCAACCTTGGAAGCCACAGACCTACCCAGCAGACTGGGCTCAGAGTGCAGGGAAAGCAGAAAAGGTAGGCCAGGAGACAGGGCGTTAATGGAAGGTCTGTGTATGCCCAAGTTCACCACCCCACCACAAAGCAGCAGAGAAACTAGATGTCTACAGTCTCCTCTCACACATACATGACAGGGAAAGGCAAAAGAAAAAAAAGAAAAACATCAACTAGGGGACACAAGTTACCTTGCCTACAGCCTTGTAAGGACAATGACAAAGTTTGAGGGCACTTATGTGATGACTGTCCCCCTGCCCTCTCACCCAGTTAGCAGGCCACGTCCTCTCCCACCAAGATCCAGGTCAGTCTTTCTATTGCCTCATATTTAAATATGAACAAGCAATCAGAGTTTACCAGACAACTAAAGAAAGCCTACAACATCAAAAAGAGAGACTATTGCTGCAATAGTATAGTATGTTCCAAATGTACTAGTTGCAAGATTTCAGGAGACTGGGTTGCCAACAAGCTCAACAGAACCAAAGCACATAACTCCCCCAAATCCGATTGGTGATATCTCCTTTATTTCACCTGCTATGAACTACTGAGAACAACTGCAAGTTTGTTTGCAAATTTCCAAAGAACAGCTGGTGTTGCTCCCCTAAAGATGCACAGAGAGCCAAGATATCAGTTTCAATATGCACTGCCTGCTTATAAATAAAGTCAGCCCCATTAGAGATTTCTGCCAGTGTCTGTGAATACTCCACCTAGAGGGCATTTGAGTTTGCTACACACTTAAATACATTTCATCAGCTATAGTCACTTTTTGCTTCTTACAAAAACTTTAAGAGCTAGATTCACATTGCAGAGCTGCTGCTCAGGCTTTCAAGATTGAGAAAAAAAACTAAATGCTGTTATTCAGAAACCAATAGCAGACAACAAGAGAAATATTGGGGTGTACCTGTGTTGTTTCTTGCTGTCACTGGTACTGAAGCCGATGCATGATCAAAGCTTCATTTCCCTGCTTAAGTGCTGCTACCATTTTATTCACAGGAAATACACATGTAGGAGATGCTGGTGAGGATTCCTTCAAGTTTTGGGGAGAACTAAGCCACCCCATGTGATTAAATTCATATCCTAGGTATTGAAAATGATGGATGGATATTTCTTCTTTTTCTTTCTTTCTTTTTTTTTTTTTTTTGGAGACTGAGTCTTGCTCTGTCGCCCAGGCCGGAGTGCAGTGAGTGGCGTGATCTTGGCTCACTGCAAGCTCCGCCTTCCGGGTTCACGCCATTCTCCTGCCTCAGCCTCCCAAGTAGCTGGGACTACAGGTGCCCACCACCACACCCGGCTAATTTTTTTTGAGGCCTATTATTTTTTTAGAAAAGCCAGGAAATGTCATTCTATTGACTCTTCTGATTCCTTTTTCTTCCTCCAGTTCAGGACTTTCAAGGCTGCTGTACTTTGCTTTCAAAAATAGAACTTGAAACAAGTAGCTGTTGTGATTCGTTGACATGCTATAGATAACCATTCCAAACAAACTCTTGTAGTTTAGGGCTAGACATTTTGAAGATTTCTGTCAGTACTCACTACAGCAATCGCTAAATTGCTTTCAATTGAATCATGAATACTTCGTTAAGGCCAGTGCAAATCTCACAGTCAAAACGTTAATTTGCTTACAGGAAGTGGACCTGAAGCTATTTGAAAGAATTCTCAGAAAGAAGAATCAAAAGACACAGTCTCCAGTGTCCTAGTTCTAATCTTAGGAAGTGAAAGCACAGCTTCAATGCCTCATGCCACCTAAACCAGGAACAAAGGCAATTCACAAGCAACTCGGGAGGCTGAGGCGAGCAGATCATGGGGTCAGGAGCTCGAGACCAGCCCGGCCAACATGGTGAAACCTCGTCTCTACTAAAAATAAAAAATAAAAAATAAAAAAAATAGCTGGGCATGGTGGCGGGTGCCTGTAATCTCAGATACTGGGAAGGCTGAGTCAGGAGAATCATTTGAACCCAGGAGGTGGAGGTTGCAGTGAGCCAAGATCGCACCATCGCACTCCAGCCTGGAGGACAGGGCGAGATTCATCTCAAAAAAAAAAAAAAAAAAAAGAATATTGGATAGTGACCACATTTTTAAGAAGTGAAATTGGAGTAAGTAGTGAGGGGCAGGAATCAACAAGCATAAAACTTGGCTAAATTTCAACCCTGGCCTTACAGCATTGACAGAGGAAGGTTGCTGACACTGTTATCAATGTTTAGTACCGGAATCTCTTGTGCTTTCAACTGGTTCTCACAGACAGGTCATAGGATTCACCCCAGAGAGACTCTATGAACATAGAGGAAAGCCACCCGAGAGCAAATGTGGCCCAGTCTGTATCATTAAATCTAATCAGCCCTTACCAAGCTGAGAGAGCGTAGAGAGAAACTCTGAACTCTCCTCCAACAGTTAATATTTATTAATGAGCCCCCAACTCCAGTTCTCACAAACTAAGTGCTGTCAGAGGTGTAAGTGTCAGTAAAGCAGACAAAAATTACTATAATATTTTGTTGCACTTCAGCCATAAGCATAGTCACCAAGCACAGACACTTCCAAACGTTGATTTCACAGAGCTTCAAGTTGAAAGGAATCCATTTCAGGTGTCCCATGGAGGTGTACTTTCTATGAGGAAGGCAGGGGCTTTTGGCTGAAGAAATGGAGGAGTTTGTTGGTGCACTCCAACTTGAACGCATCCCTGACTTCCACAAATATGCACAGAAGCTTCTAAATATTTATCTGGATTTCTAGAACTGGAATTTAAGTTCTACTTGAAAGTCCTAGCGATCCACAGAAGCAAGCAATCCAATAGTAGCCGTTTGATTTTTTTAATATCAAAATAATAATAGTTAGCAAACAAACTCATTGTACTTAAAAGCTGGCTACAGTGAGCATTCAGAGGAGCTTCTAAATGGGATCTCATGCCATCAAAAACTAGAAGCAAAGCTCTGAACCCTTTGCAGTCCTCCCTAAAGTGTCAAGGAATCCACACCATCAATTCCTTGTATTTTCACATACTGCCAAAAAATGTCACAAGACTATGAATTTTCTAGCAGGGGAAAGAAAAGGCCTCCTGTAGCATTGAAAATGTCTTCTTGAGACTCCATTAAGCAAAGACCAACACTCACTGTGTTTCCTGTGAACACACCTGTGTTAATCATACGGTTTGTTGAGTGAAATGGAGTTAGCTGACATATAACTACATTTTCCTAACTGTATCACTTTCTGACAGATGGTTACAAACTTCACTTTCACTGTCTAGG
Source organism: Homo sapiens (assembly GCF_000001405.40). NCBI lineage: Eukaryota > Metazoa > Chordata > Mammalia > Primates > Hominidae > Homo > Homo sapiens. Next base: position 26,698,778 of record NC_000008.11, on the reverse strand, counting down.
AAGTGAATTAAGCAATAGAGCTTGTATGACTTGTATGAGCTTGTATGAACTAGAGTTCTGTAAAATTCTTATAAACAAGCTGAGGTTTGCAATAGGCTTCTCAAATGCTTCCAACCTGACCGCATTAATGCAATAGCACATTTTGAGGGGTGAAGTGTCTCGGTTCTCCTTGACATTGCAAAGAATTCTTACCTTTGCCTACAGGAAGTCCAATTTTAACTAATAAACTGGTAAGAATTTGCTATGTATAAGTTTTTAGCAAGAAAATGTATTTATTAGAGATTTAACAAGTATAGACAGAAGTATACAAATATTACTGTCAGATATGAGGACTGAAATCAACATGTTGACACCAATGGCTTTCCATTTTCCTTTAATCAAGAGATCTACTTTTTGTTTTCATTTTGTTGTTGTTGTTTTTATTTTGAGCCTCATAGCAGGTGCAAGTAAGGCATTAACAGCCCTGGACACCCAGCATTCAAAGAAGCCTTCAATGTGTTGGCCTGCACTGTTTAGGGCCAGCTTCAAAGCTTCTCCAAAGCTTTGCAAAGTACACACCAGCTACTCCATTCAAGTCTCCTTAAAAAATTGTTTTCAAAGTTCTGTGGCCTCTCAAATGAAGACATTGACATATTTTGTTTGTCCAACAGCCCTAACTAAGGTGAGCCTTCAAAGAAGCCTCTAGATGTTGTTCTCGCCGGCCAGGCAGAGAGCACAGGTGCAGGAGGTGGCTCACTCAGTCCTCATGGGACCTCCAAGAAATTCACTTTCATTCACCCTGTGAGGCATTTCTGTAAATTGGACTTATAAACGCAAAACATATATAAGGCAGTAAAACAAAGGATTACCATGCTACTCGATTAGTCGTCAGCCAGCAGCCTCGTGGACTCCAACTAAGACTCCCCGGCCTTTTTCTCTTGGCCAAGGAATAGAATGCAAATTGTGCTCCTCTAAACTTTGCAACGTGTGTAGGAGTAAACTGTAGGGATGGTGGACCAAGGGGGAGAGGACACAGCATGAGACAGGGCTAAGTGTACTAAGTACTAAGTACTAAGTAGCCCTAAGTAGTACTAAGACCCCTATCAGTACATAGGGGTCAAACCGCTGGACATGTGGGATTGAACATGTTAGCTACTGTAATTGAGATTAGTTCTAATGGTCTGCTTGGCTGGGAGATTATAACTTAGTGGTAGCCTATATTCACCAAGGTTGGGATTCCAGAACTTTCCTGGTATAATGTAAAGGACAGAGTTCAAAAGCTTATGGATATGGTAATGTTGGGCTGGATTTATCATACGCAACCTGTACACCAAGCCTCACCCCTTCTTCATCCCCGAAGAGGGCATTCTCTTGACTACGACCTTGAGAATCATAGCAGTGGGCAAAGCAGCAGTGTCCTAGCAAAGCTCTCTGGGGCCCATCTCCCGGATCCCAGTGTGACCCTGTAGGATGCCTCTACTGAGATGGGCTCCCTGATTTCAGGGAGGAAGATGACCAACAGAGGCCAAAGGCAGCACTTAACTGTCAGAGACAAGGTGGGCACATCTAGAGTGACGAGCAGCAGGAGCGACTTGGTGAATGGGATCCGCACAGATCTTTGGTACAAGGTGGCTCATGTATCACAGTGTCCCTGGGAATGCAGTGCATGGACAGCCTACTAACATAGCTCTTGGTCTGCAGAGTCGCCACAATGGGGAGTCTTGCATCACTCCAATGGAAAAACTTTCCTCCAGTTTCTAGACACAAGCCCTTTCACAGACCCTTCATTGAAGAGACCAAGTCACCTTAAGGAAGGCCCCTGCAACCCTGTCACAAGTATGTGCTGCTCCTTGCCTTCTCCCAAAGGGTATGCAACCTTAAGAAATGGTGATCATGCACTAGAAAGAAGAATCTCTGGACCTTTTGTGCATTACAAGACCCTAGCTTGGAACTGATGCTTGCTCCCAGGGACCCAAAACATCCATGTGATCTACTAGTCAAAGTGGGAGGAATGGTCTAATAGTCAGCTGACAAATGGAGTTTTAGCTCAAGTCCAAATCACAGCAGGCCCAGTAGGTACAAGGACATCCCTACTATCACTTCTCCATGTCCCGGATGCACAGAGTCACCACACTCAATGTGGTATGAGGAATGCCCACGTTGGCTCTCTGATCCCTACGATGAGCACTACTTTCTATCTTAGCAGAAAGGCCTTGGAACATCCCCTCTGCTAGGATAGAAACCCAGAGCTTTACTATATCCCTAGGAGAATCTGCAGAAATTAAGGCCACCATCAAAGACTCGAAGGAAGAAGTGGTGATACTTATCACTTTGCTCATTTTACAGATCTGTTGAGTCTGTCAGGAGCAGATGGATCTTGGAGAACATGGATTATTGTAAACCTAAGCAGATGCTGCCTTCTCTTGCAGCTGCTGCTCCAGATGCCAACACTTTCCTGGAGCAAATCAGCACAACTCATTGCATCTGGTGTGTAGCACCCAATGTGCCAGGTGCTTAGTTCTCTTTCCACCCATTTCCAAGGAGCATCAGAAGCCATTTGTTTTAACTGGCAGAATCAACAGTACACTTTCAAGTTTTTGGGTTTTTTTTTTTTTTTTTTTTTTGCCTCAGAGTAGAGATCTTAACAGTCTTTACATCCTACAAAAATCATACTGGTCCACTATATTGGCAGTGTTATGCAGATGAGACCTGATGCACAGGAAATAGTGACTTCCTTAGATACCATAGGAAGAAGACACATGCAGGCTGGAGGATGGGAGATGAGTCCTGAGTCCAAACAGAGCATATTGGGGTATCCTATTCAAAGTGAAAATTGTTGTACCTTTCTCCTCTTATCACTGAAAACAAGTTGCTGCTACCTGGTGGGTCTCCTTTTTTAATTTTGGAGGAAACATATCACATTAAATGTGCTATTTTGACCCGTTTACCCATTAGGCTTCCAGTATTGAACAGGGACCAGAGGCGAGAAGGTGTCTGCAGCAGGTTCAGCCTTCAGAGAAAACCGCACTGTCACTTGGGCCTTATGACCCAGAATATCCACAATGCTTGAAGTTTCTATGGAAACTAGCAATGCAGCGTGAAGCCTCTGACAGCTGCAGCAGGGCAATTGTCATGCAGGGATCTAAGGTTTAGGAGCAAAGCCTTGCCCTCTTCTTCAGGTAATTATTCTCCTTTTGAGAAGTGGCTCCTGCCTTGCAACACACCTGATAGGGACTGAATACCTGACCATGGGACATCATATGGTTATGTGGCCTGAGCGTCTCATCACAAATGGGGTGCTGTCTGACACAGTGACTCATAAAGCAGGGGATGTACAGGACCAGAGCTGGACACTTCCAGGTAGAAATGGCTAATGAATGAAGCTCAAGCAGGTGCAGAAAGCACAGGTGACCTGCATGAGCATCTATCTCGGACTCCCTGACAGCTGCTTCTGTTCTTGCATCTTCTCCCTCAGTCCACTCCTACAACCTCATGAGGAATTCCTTCCGACTCATTGATTGAGGAGGGAGGAAGGCTCTGACCTTTCTTACATCTAGCTCTGCGCAATATGGGAACTGGACTGCTGCTTATTGTAGCCCAATCAGGAGTGCCCCAAAAGACAGAAGGAGGAACTTCAATCAGTACATCTGTTGTCCTCTTAGAAGAGGTAGCCAAAGGTACAGTTACACTGACTCATGGGGAGTGGCTAGTGGTTTGGCAGTTTGTTAGGGACTTGGAGAGAACAAGATTGGAAAATTAATGACAAGGGCATCTGTGGCTGGATCTCTGAGAATAAGCAGAGGTAGTGGAGATATGCATGCCCCGTATGAATGCTCACTCTAGGACATCCACTGCAGTGGAGGCTCTTAATAACTAGGTGGATATGAGCTGACCCCCTTCCCAGCAACCCAGTTCTTGCTCTGTACACACGACCTCTGACTTATGACGGTTTGACTTAGGATTTTTCGACTTTATGATGGTGCACAAGTGACAGGTATTCAGTAGAAACTGTATTCCAAGTGCCCATATAACCCTTCTGTTTTTCACTTTTACCACAGTATTCAGTAAGTTACATGAAAAAAATAAAGTTAAAAAGAAAGTTACACTTTATTATAAAGTAGGCTTTGTGTTAGATGGTTTTGCCCAGCTGCAGGCTAATGTAAGTGTTCTGAGCGTGTTTAAGGCAGGCTAGGCTGAGCTGTGATGTTCAGTAGGTTATGTATATTAAATGCATGTTTAATGGAGTGCCACCGCAATGGAGTGCCATGTTTTTTTTTTATGCTACAGAAAAAAGGCACAGACCTTATATCTTTCACAAAAATTAACTCAAAGTGGATTATAGACCCAAATATAAATGCAAAACTATAAAATTCCTAGAACGTAGCATCAGAAGAAAACATGGCACTCCATTGCGGTGGCAGCAGTTACTACAGCGTCTACCTTCTTTCCAGACTTCCAGAGCCAGCCTCATGTGCCACCTCAGAGACACCAGCAGCTGCTGGGCAGGACCCCCTTCTCAAAGATCTGAGCCCCAGCTGCACAGAGACCCTCCACCAAGCTCTGTGTTTCGATCATCTCACCTCTTCCCTTCATGGCTTTCTGCTGTTTCAATTCTCCAGCCCCTGTTAGGGCAATTCCCTGTATTAAATTTTCTCTGTTAAAACAACTAGTTTAGCTTCTGTTTCCCTGACTGGATCCTCACAGATATTGAAGCAAAATTTATTTATAAGCATGCAACTAAGAAACAGCCAGCGATATGCAAAATGAGGACATCTGTTTTGGTGTGGCAAGTTCATGGCTGCTTGTTTATCTCTCTTCAAATATTTCTAAAGTCCTGTAGTGATGCAGTTTTGTAAGTCCACTTCCTTTTCAGAGGACAGCATGTACCCAGGGCAGGCTGTGTACGACTCCTGTGTATAATGATGGGTAAGGAGACCAATTTATGTAACTTCACTGGTAATTGCCAGATGGGAGGAGAGAGAAGGCAAGGGCTAGAAGAAAAGGTAAATAGCACACAGAGAAGATGCTATCTAATGGATAGAAAGAAAAAGTGTTTTCTGGTAACAGAAAAACAACCCCACGGTTCAAAGAGAGCACAACCTTTTATTGTATTAAAAGTTGTTTTTCTTTCCCTGCCGTATGGAAGTAGATGGGATACACAAGCAAACAGGGATACCCAGGCGGAACAGGCTGTGCGTCCAGGAGCATTCTGCAAGGGAGACAGATCTCACCTGCCCCTTCCTAGGAGCGGGGATACAAGCATTGGTGTCCTCTGTTGGCCAAGACTGTGAAAATGCAGCTCCCTAAGTGTTATAGGCTAAATTGTGACCCCTCCACTCCCCTCACCAAAAAATTCATATGTTGAAGTCCTAACCCCCAGTACTTCAGAATGTGATTCTATTTGAAGATCAAGTCTTTAGATATATAATTAGGTTAAAATAGGGTTATTCAGATGGAACCTAATCCAATATGGCAGACGTCCTTAAAAGGAGCGATTAAGACACAGACATGCACAGAAGGATGACCTCGTGAGGACACGGGGAGATGGTGGCCATCTGTAAAGCAAAGAGAGAGGCCTCAGGAGAAACCAGCCCTGCTGGCACCTTGATCTCAGACTTCCAGCCTCCAGAACTGTGACAAAACAAATGTCTGTTGTTTAAGCCACCCAGTCTGTGGTACTTTATTATAGCAGTCTGAGCAAACTCATATTCTGAGTCCCTGATTACTTTGGCCACAGCCCCTCCTGCTACAACCCCACTCCAGAAAAAAAAAAAAAAAAAAAAGAACGCATACTTTGTTTCTAGATAAGGCTGTGTCCCCAAATCCCCATCGGGTCTCCTGTCCTGCTGAACTGGGCTGGACAAAAGCACCCACTGCAAGGACTTGGCCCCAGGTCGTCTCAAGTCCAAGGTTATTTCCAAGAATAAGGACCACAGGACAGTTGGCATACAGGGAAATCAGGCAGATAGGGTTTCAGTCCTAACCACAGCACTCATTGCATGAGAGGGCAAATCAATCCCTTACAGGCACTTCCCGAAAAAAAGCCCTAACTCCCAGTCTGGCTGTATTTGGAGAAGGGGCATCTAGGGAAGTAATTAAGGTTAAATGAGATTAAGTGAGGGCTGGGGTAGAGGAGGCCTGATCTGATAGGATTATTGCCCTTCAAGCCTTCAGAAATAGAATCAGCCAGAACATTGATCTCAGACTTCCCAGCCTCCAGAACTGTGGGAAAATACACTCTTTGTTGTCGAAGCTCCCAGTCTATAGTAGCTTGGGATGGCAACCAGAGCTGACTCATGCACCTACGGGGGTAAATATATAGGGGATTAAATAAAACACACCTGAACCAGCTCCCGGTATTCAGTGTATACTAGTGATGATTATTTTAAAATCTAAGACTAGTGGATACAAATGAAAGGTGACTTTATTTTCTAGGGTTTGGAGTTACCCAAAATGGAAGGAAATGCCTTGTAGGTATGACAGGTGGGCACCGCGAAGATCTCAGGCATAGGCCAGAGAATCTATGGGAGGGTGTTGTCACAGAGACAACTCAGGCATCAAAAAGAGATTGGAGAACGTGTGTTTTAAACTCCCTTTCAATCCCTACAACTTTTGAAAGTATGCACTGAGGCTGGGCATGGTGGATCATGCCTGTCATCCCGCCATTTTGGGATGCCGAGGCAGGCAGATCACCTGAGGTCGGGAATTCAAGGCCAGCCTGGCCAATATAGTGAAACCCCGTCTCTACTAAAAATACAAAAATTAGCTGGGCATAGAGGTGCGTGCCTGTAATCCCAGCTACTCAGGAGGCTGAAGAAGGAGAATCACTTGAAACTGGGAAGCAGAGGTTTCAGTGAGCTGAGATGGCGCCACTGCGCTCCAGCCTGGGCGACAGAGTGAAACTCTGTCTCAAAAACAAAAAGCAAAAAAAGAAAGAAAGAAAGTATGCACTGGGATTTTAAAGTCTCTCCAAGCTGCCTTAATGTTCATTTTCTCTGGATAATATATCTTCAGACCTATAAATTAATGGTCAGTGCTATAAACAATTATCAGAAAAGGTATATTTGTTGAACTATCCTTATTTTATTTTGATTTGTATGCTTGCAGCATTGCAAATTCTACTCTTTCAGCTCCTTCACGTTCCTTTACTATTGTTGGAGCAGATTTTTCACAGACTGCCTCCTGCCTGGTGATACAATAAAGTCACACACATACACACACACACACACACACAGAGAGAGAGAGAGAGAGAGAGAGAGAGAGAGAGAGAGAGAGACAGGGAGAGAGCGAGGCCAACAATAGCTACTCCGCGGCTTCCTTCAACAGTCTCCAACACAGTAAGGCAGCCCTTCCAAATCCCACCCTTTTTGGCTTATCATGGGAAATTCCTTCCCCACCTGAGGCACTGCACAGGCGTGGAGGGTTGATTTATTAACAACTGGGGGTGTTCATCAAGGGGCACACTCTTAGCCCCAAATATGTCTTGACATTTTCCTTATGCTGGGAGATCCCTGCCTGACCTGCCTCCTGGGCCCCCATCACCCCAGCCGAGTGTGCGCCTGCCTATAAGACATCCGTTTAGGCAGCACAGAAGGACATCTGGACATAGGACACAATCGTCACTGAGGGTCAGAGTTGGGTCCCCTTCCCTGCCCAGTTTTCTCCTCTTGAGAAAAGGCACAAACAAAACACTCTAGTGAGAGAACACCTTCCTTTCTAGCGTCTCTGGCATATGCAAGCTACTTGGAAGTAGCAATTCCTTTGTGCATGTTTGGGTACCTGTGAATTTTGTCAAAGATGAACAGTTGTCTGTGTGTGTGAGGTTGGCTACTCTCATGGATAGCTTCCTGCAAAGACCCAATCCCCCGCTATGGGAATCACGGGGAGGCTAACTGTGGACTTGGAGTTTGTGCTGGAGGCGCCCTCTGGTGGACAAACAGAATGCTGACTGTTGGTGTCTGCAAAACTGCCCTAAAAACTATGAAATCGTAATTTTTTTAACACTCTATTTTAAAACTATATTAAATCCATTTGAAAACTCTAATAAAATGAGGTATACTTACATCTATTCCAAAATTTACTGCTACGTGTATTTAATGTTATTAAAGTAGCACAATGGCTAGGAACGCAGGATTTAAAGACAACCTAGTAGCTAGGAATGCAGGATTTAAAAACAACCTAGTAGCTAGGAACACAAGATTTAAAGACAGCCTGGGTTTGACTCCCAGCAAAGTCACCCTCTAGCTGTAGAAACTTAGGCAAATTATTTAAACTCTCTGTGCTTCGGTTTCCTAATCTATATACCTCATACTGTTTTGTGATCATTAAATGGGTAAATACATGCAAAGTGCTTAGAACAGTACCTAACGCTAAATAAATGTTAATTCTTTACCTTAAAAGATGCGGAGAAGGCAGGTGTCTGATTGAAAGTCGCCTTCTCCAGAAACCTTCCTTGATTAACCTAGGGCCCAGCTTTAAAAAGTCCCGTAATTACGCAGATTCCTACCTTTGAAACTGACATAATCTTTGTATCACCCTTCAGTAGGTGTCCCCTACCCCCATCTGCAAGTTCAGCAATGCAATTCATAATGAGGTATGTATACCTTACATTCATAATGTATGAGTGGAATCATACAATATTTATGTTTTTGTGACAGGCTTATTGCACTCATTATTCATGACTATCTTCAAGGTTCATCCATGTTGTAGCGTGTATCAGAATTTCATTTCTTTTATGGCTGAATAATATTCTACCATATGTATATACCACATTTTGTCTCAGTACTGAGGTGAACCTGCATTTTTTGAATATTCTATCTGATGGCATATGAATTATGAGATTTTTACTCTGTTTTATGGGAATAGAATTATTCCTGATAATGAATTCATGGGCCTAAGTAATGGCTGAGGTGGGAGGGTTGCTTGAACCCAGGAATTGGAGGCTGCAGTGAGCTATGATCACACGACTACACTCCAAGCTAGACAACAGAGTAAGATTATCTCTTTAAAAAAAAAAAAAGAAAGCAAGAAAACCAGTGTTTCATATATTTTGTCTAATTTGAAAGTCTTTTTCAGGTGGGAGTACACATCTTGTTCCTGTACTGTACCTTGGCTGGAAGTGAAAGAGGCCCCAGATACATGGTTTCTACATCATGGTTTCCTAACGAAGGCACTACTGACATCTTGGACTGGATAATTATTTGTGTGGAAGGCTGTCCTGTGCCTTGTAAGATGTTTAGCAGATCCCTGGCCTCTGCCTTCTAGAGTCAAAAGCGTCCACCCCCAGTTATGACAACCAAAAACTATATCCGGAAGTCACAAACGCCCCTAGCAAGAAGGGGCAAAAATTACTCCCTGGTTGAAAACCACTGCTCTAGACTTATGTACACATCTGTGTGTGTGCACGAGCCCATGCACCATGGGGTAGAAAAGTTTATGCTGTGTGTTCAGGGGGCAATAATATATAGAGGCCTGGCCAGAAATGATGACTCATATCAGCAATCCTAGTACTTGGGGAGGCTGAGGCGGGAAGATCTCTTGAAGCTAGGAATTAGAGACTAGCCTGAGTAACATAGTGAAACCCCATATCCACCAAAAAATTTCAAAATCAGCCGAGCGTGGTAGTGCATGCCTGTAGTCCCAGCTACTCAAGAGGCTGAGATGGGAGGATATCTTGCGCCTGGGAGGTCAAGGCTTCAGTGAGCTATGATTGAACTACTCTAGACTAGGTAACAGAGCAAGAATCTGTCTCTCAAAAAAAAAAAAAAGAAAAGAAAAACATGCACATGTATGTTTATTGCAGCACTATTTACAATAGCAAAGACATGGAACCAACCCAAATGCCCATCAATGATAGACTGGATAAAGAAAATGTGGCATACATACACTATGGAATACTATGCAGCCATAAAAAGAATGAGTTCATGTCCTTTTCAGGGACATGGTTGGAGCTGGAAACCATCATCCTCAGCAAACTTACACAGGAACAGAAAACCAGACACCACATGTTCTCACTCATGAGTGGCAGTTGAACAATGAGAACACATGGACACAGGGAGGGGAACATCACACACGGGGGCCTGTCGAGGGGTGGGGGACAAGGGGAGGGAGAGCATTAGGACAAATACCTAATGCATGCAGGGCTTAAAACCTAGATGATGGTTTGATAGGTGCAGCAAACCACCGTGGCAATTATATACACAAACCTGCATGTTCTGCACATGTATCCAAGAACTTAAATTTTTAAAAAAGTGAGAGAGAAAAAGGAGGGCTGGTTGAAAATCTATTTAAGAAGCAATAAAATACTGATTTCTTACTTCCCTGTGCATTGCAGAGCAATTGGCCCTCCCTTTCCTTAGAAAAAGACTGAAGAAGATGACACAGTGTTTCTGTACTGTGGGACACAAGGCATAATTCAGGCCAGCAAGATTAAGGAAAGAGCCAGCCCCTTAGTTTCCAGGCATGAATTTGAGCAGCTAAAGAGGAAAATATTAAAGATACTCTCATAAGAGCACCGTCAGTTAAACAGCCCAGCTCAGTCATTTTAGAGTGACACTCAGATTGACAAGTCCCACGTATGACCTCAAAGCTTCTAGCAAACATTCCAGTACCTCTTAAATATGACCAAAAGCAAAGATTGCCAAGCATCTGAGAAAAGCCTCTAACATAGAAGATAAAGATTAAAAAAAACTGAAAAAGATCAATATAGAAGAAACAGATACTATTCAAGAAGAAGAAAGCCTGAAAAAGTAATCATTAAGACCCTCAAAGAGATTTGAGGGCATTACAACCATGAAGCAAGAATGAAAGGCCTGACCAGTGGTTGAAAATGGATTTGCATCATTGTGGAATTTCAAAACACCAGGCACGTAGTGATCTTATGCTTCCAGACAGATTGATTAAGATAAATTATCTGTAATCAGCATGGCATTGGAGCCTGTAAAACACCAACACTAAAAACTAGAAGGTAGTGGAGTGATGTCTTCAAAATGCTGAAGAAAAGTCATTTTAAAACTAGAATTCTATGCCCAGGATTCCTTTATGCCATCTGATCTGAGGTACTTTGTTATCACAGTCCAGCAAAGTAATACACCAGTCAAAATATCAGTCATGAGGCTGGGCGCGGTCACTCATGCCTGTAATCCCAGCACTTTGGGAAGCCAAGGCGGGTGGAACACCTGAGGTCAAGAGTTCGAGACCAGCCTGGCCAACATGGTGAAACCCCATCTCTACTAAAAAAATACAAAAATCAACCAGGCGTAGTGGCAGGCGCCTGTGATCCCAGTTACTCAGGAGGCTGAGGCAGGAGAATCACTTGAACCTGGGAAGTGGAGGCTGCAGTGAGCCGAGACTGTGCCACTACACTCCAGCCTGGGCAACAGAGTAAGACTCTGTCTCAAAAAATATATACTTTTTTTATTTATATAAAAATATAAGTATATTTTTATTTATATAAAAATATAAATATATATTATATATATTATGGTTCAAGGTAAAGACATAGTCACACATGTGATGTGCAGTGCTGCCTCTCTACTTCTTTTAAGTTAGGTGTGGTCATATGACCTGCTTTGTCCAGTGAAATGTAAGCAGAAGTGACGTGTGTCATTTCAAGGCATTCACTTTAAGAGGAAGGGCACAATTTGCCATATGTGGTGCTCATGGACGCATGAGAAATAAACATTTTTTGTGTTAAAATACTGATAATGTTGGAATGCAACTACAGTAAACCTCTCTTGATTAATAAAGAAATTGGTACCTAGAAGAGGGTTGCTACCATCACAAAAACTTAAAAATATGTGGCACTAACTTAGCAGTCGAATTATTGGTACCAAGGAAACTGTTCATGGAAAATGGAAAGAAAGTGATCCATGTTCAGCAGTAGCAAAACATGACATTGCCCTCAGTAACTTGGAAAGCCAACAATGAGCCTAATGGATTTTAAGGTCTAGAAGAGGTGGAAACCAAAGCATTAGTTGTATATGTTGGTTTCTGCACATTTCATCTGACAATGGACAGCAAGAAATAGAGGAGCTCGCAGAAAGCATTTGACTGTTTACAAGCATGAAAGGGAAAAGAGGAAGTTCAGAAATTGGGGACTTAGAGAGTTTTAAAAAACCTATTGCTTTTCAATCTCAAACAGGAAAAGCTAAAACTAAAAAATCCTGTGGTGACTGAGGTTGATTAAAACTCACTTCAAGGGCTAAGTCAAGTGTATGGCTATCACGTTCACGGTGGAAACGGGTAAATGGTGCTGGTTAAAAGGTACAAAGTTCCAGTTAGACAGGAAGAATAAGTTCTGGAGATCCATTGTACAGCAGGGTGACTATAGTTAATAAGGTTGTATTATATACTTGAAAATTGCGAAGAGATTAGATCTTAAGTGTTCTCACCACAAGAAAATAAGTGTGTGTGATGATGGATATGGTAATTGGCTTGATTTAATCATTTCATGAGGCATACATGTATCAAAATATCACATGTACACTGTAAAGATACACAACTTTAATTTGTCAATTATATCCTAACAAAGAAAGGGAAAATAGATACACATAAACAAATAAATAAAGTGGGCCTACAAAAGCACCATGAGGAAGGCTATCAGCACATACAGTACTGTTGCATCCAATACAGCGTGATACTTCCAAATGAGCTGCCAGCCCAGACTAAAATAGCCTGCCCCCCTCAGCCTCAGCCACTTGCCTGTCTTCCCAAAGTGGCCCTAGCAATAGTGCGTACCACTCCCACGCTCATAAAACCCCAGCCACTGCCACCACTACTCCACCTGTTTTTTCTCATACATTTTCTTAAGATATGATTCACATACCATAAAATTCACCCCTTAAAATGTACAATTCAGTGGCTTTTAACATATTTACAAAGTTGTGCAACCATCACCTCTAATTCTGGAATATTCTCATCACTCCAAAAAGAAAGCATGCACCCATTAGCAGTCACTCCCCATGCTCCTGTAACCCTACTACTAGATATGCCCCAAGAGAGCTGAAAACATATGTCCCCACAAAACCTTGTACATGAATAAACATTATTCATTCATAATAGCCCCCAAATGGAAACAACACAAATGCCCATTGATTGATAAATGAACGGGCAAAATGTAATAGATGAATACAATGAAATATTGTTCAGATATAAACAGAATAAAGTACTGATGCTGCAACACAGAAGAACACTGAAGACTTTCTTCAAAGTGAAAGAAGCTGGATACAAAGGCCAAATATGAAAGTTTTGTAGACAGAAGAAGTGGGGCCCAAGCGACAGAGCAGAGCAAATCTGCACTTTTGTCAGATTGGATGCAAATCCTTGAACTCCTAAGAGCACAAGCAGAGCCAACAAAGCTTACTTTAGCTGTAAGGAAACAAGTAAAAAGAGGGTGGTAAGGAGAACAGGAGATCACGCCACAGCCAGAGAAGGGTTTGTGAAGCTCTTAGGGGCCTTGTGTTTGTTTGCTAGGGTTGCTGTGACAAAGGGCCCACAGCCTGGGCAGCTTAGACCACAAGAGTTTATTTCCTTTATTTATTTTTTCTTTTTTTGAGACAGAGTCTTGTTGTCACTCAGGCTGGAGTGCAATGGCTCCATCTTGGCTCACTGCAACCTCCGCCTCCCAGGTTCAAGCGATTCTTCTACCTCAGCCTCCTAAGTAGCTGGGACTACAGGCACCCGCCACAACGCCTGACTAATTTTTGTATTTTTAGTAGAGACAGACTAATTTTTGTATTTTTAGTAGAGACAGGGTTTCACCATATTGGCCAGGCTGGTCTCAAACTCCTGACCTTGATCCACCCACCTCGGCCTCCCAAAGTGCTGGGATTACAGGTGTGAGCCATGGCTCCTGGCCCACAGGAGTTTATTTTCTCACTATTCTGGGGGCTGGATGTCCAAGATCAAGGTGCTGGTAGGGTTGGTTTCTTCTGAGGTTGCTATATGGCTTGTAGATGGGCATCTTCTCCTCTCTGCCTCTTCACATGGTCTTCCCTATATGTGTGTCTGTGTCCAAATTTTCTCTTCTTATAAGGACACCAGCTACATGGGATTAGGACCCATCCTAATGAGTTCATTTTACCTTAATTGCCCCTTTAAAAAGAGCCTATCTCCAAATAGTCACATTCTGAAGTACTAGAGGGTAGGGCTTCAATATAAGAATTTGGAGGCCGACACAATTCACTCCATAACAAGTGCAGAAGTGTGCAGAGTCAGGGGAGCCAAGAATTCTCAGGAAGTCCCCTCAGCTTTGAGCCACCACTCCTCCAGAGGGGAGAGACTCGAGTGGTATTTTTCAACACAATAAGACATAAACACATTAAGGTGTTTATGTTACTCCAACAGAACCCATCTGATCGCTGTCAGCTGATTTGTGACTTGGGATGACAGTCCTCATGATCGAAGCCAGTGTTCCTCACACTGTCACATGCATGCAACTCTCCTGGGGAGCTTGTGAATACCAGACTCTGATTCCATAGGTCAGGGTGGGGCCTGAGACTCTGCATTTCTGACAAGCTCCCAGGGGATGCCTGTACTGCTGAACTGCAAACCATACTTTAAGACACAAGACAGTAGTTCTCAACCCCAGCCATGTTAGAATCTGGATAGCTTTTGAAAATCCTGAGGTCCAGCAATATACCAAACCAGCTAAGTCAGAACACTGATTCCCAGGGCCCAGGCATCAGTATCTGTAAAATTTCCCAGGTGACCGCCCCATCTGGGAAGTGTGGAGCACCTCTGCCCGGCTGCCCCGTCTGGGAAGTGAGGAGCATCTCTGCCCGCCCGCCCATCGTCTGGGATGTGAGGAGCACCTCTGCCCGGCTGCCCCGTCTGGGAAGTGAGGAGCGCCTCTGCCTGGCCACCCCGTCTGGGAAGTGAGGAGTACCTCTCCCCGGCTGCCACCCCGTCTGGGAAGTGAGGAGCGCCTCTGCCTGGCCACCCCGTCTGGGAAGTGAGGAGCACCTCTCCCTGGCTGCCACCCTGTCTGGGAAGTGAGGAGCGCCTCTGCCCGGCTGCCCCATCTGGGAAGTGAGGAGCTCCTCTGCCCAGCTGCCCCATCTGGGATGTGAGGAGCACCTCTGCCTGGCCGCTGTGCAGTCTTCCAAGTGTGAAGTGACAGCCTTTCTGCAGGTGTACCCAACAGCTCGGAAGAGACAGCGACCATCGAGAACGGGCCATGATGATGATGGCGGTTTTGTCAAAAAGAAAAGGGGGAAATGTGGGGAAAAGAAAGAGAGATCAGATTGTTACTGTGTCTGTGTAGAAAGAAGTAGACATAGGAGACTCCATTTTGTTCTGTGCTAAGAAAAATTATTTTGCCTTGGGATGCTGTTAATCTATAACCTTACCCCCAACCCCGTGCTCTCTGAAACATGAGCTGTGTCAACTCAGGGTTAAATGGATTAAGGGCGGTGCAAATGTGCTTTGTTAAACAGATGCTTGAAGGCAGCATGCTCGTTAAGAGTCATCACCACTCCCTAATCTCAAGTACTCAGGGACACAAACACTGCGGAAGGCGACAGGGCCCTCTGCCTAGGAAAACCAGAGACCTTTGATCACGTGTTTATCTGCTGACCTTCTCTCCACTATTATCCTATGACCCTGCCACATTCCCCTCTCCGAGAAACACCCAAGAATGACCAATAAATACTAAAAAAAAAAGTTTCCCAGGTGATTCCAACGTGCAGCTGAGGTGGAGAGCCATTTTCGTTGATAAATTCCCACCATGCAAGAGTGAAGGAGTTGGGGAAAAAGGTAATTCTTCCACCTGCAGCCCCACGGTGCCCCCCCACCATGGGCAACTTTGACACCAGGCAGTCCTGGAGGTGGCAGCCAGTGACAGAGGTGCTGAAAACAGGTGGTTTCCAGTATGGGTGCTGGAACTCTGCCAGAGACAGAGGGGCTGACTTGCACCAGAACCCATGGGAGGAATCTCGGAGACTCCCAGAAATAACTGAGGGAGCGTTGGAAGAGGCTAAAGTCTCACACCAGCACATGAGGAATATGAAGTTGGCAAAATGAGGGTGTCCATTTTAAAGTGACCTCTTTCACACCCACAGTCTGGGGAAGTAGGGGGATATTCAGTTACATGAGGGCCAAAGATCTGGGCAATCAATATAGCAAATGGAAATGTGGTCATAGACAGCAATCAGTGTGTCCACTAAGGGCTTGTCCAGCATTCGGGGGATGTCAAAGGGTTCACCAGGAAAAGGCTTGACTGTCTCTTCTGCAAAGTGACTTAAGGATTATGACAAGGAGAACTGTCAGGCTTTCTGGTTTAGGCTCATGCAGATGCTGGCTTAATCCCACACAACCCCAGTTCTATGCTTGGGAAAAGCATACATCAATGAACATGTCTCTTTCTCAGTACATCTGGGCAAATACAATGGCCCTTCTAACACTCCCCATATGCAGGAACTTTCATCATAAGAAGGCTTAATTATAGCAAATGGAAGATCAAATAGTAAGTCTACAAACCTTAAAAGGAAACTGTTTCCTCCACATATCGATGTTCTAAATACCATTATGCTGCCCTTGGTTGCTGCATGAATAAAGAGTATTTCTGGCTGAGATCCTCCATGTGAAGACCCCACCTGAACCTGAACTGTTGCCTTTGCTCCAGGCTCTCTGGCCTCAATCTAATGACCTGGAGCCATGTTCCTTCACTTTTTGGGCTTCCTCAATCCTAGAACCTGCACTAGAACAACACAACCAAATCCTAGGACAAGCAGGCAGGAGTGGGAAGAGGGTGGAGGGACTCCTATTTCTGATATGTCAATGGCATTTCAATTTTCTTTCTCTCTCCTTTTCCAGATTTTTGAACTAGAAGCCTTCTGCTCACCCTCGACTTGGGGGCATACAGAGAACTTTCTACAGTGACCTGTATCCTTCATCTAGTAGGTGATCACTTTGTATTGTGTGATGTATAAATAGTTCATTCAGGCTGCTATACAACAGGGTACAAAATACCTTAGACTTATAAACAACAGAAATGTATTTCTCTGGGGGCTGGGAATTCTATGATCAAGACACTGGCAGATTCAGCATCTGGTGAGGGCTTATTCTGTGCTTCGAAGATGGCGCCTTCTTGATGCATCCTCACATGGTGAAGGGCAAAAGGGCTTCCTCAAGCCTCTTGTGTAAGGGCACTAATCCTATTCATGAGGGTGGGGCCCATGACCTAATCACTGCCCCCACCCCCGCCCCCACAAAGGCCCCACTTAACACTATCACTTTGTGTGGTTCCAACATATGGATTCTGGGGACACAAACATTTGGACCAAAGCACACACCATCCCTGGGCATGGAGGATAGGACATGTGGACACCTGAGCATCTGGGCCGTGTGAGGCCAGATAAAGCCCTGGTCTTAGCATCTGGAATTAGGGACACATCAAGTAAGACTTTGATCTGAAGGGAATCCAACAGTCAGGTCATGAAGAGTTGAGGTCTGTGTCAGACCAAGGCAAAGCCACCTGCAAACCAAACTACCAGTGTGTCACAGAGGAAACTAGGCTCAGAGAGGAGAATGGTCTACCTGGGGAGAGGGAGGCAGAGCCAGAGATGCATGATTTCTGAGAGCAGGAGAGGTGTCCCCACCCTAGGCCAGGCACGGTGGCTCAAGCCTATAATCCCAACACTGTGGGAGGCCAGGGTGAGAGGATCTTTTGAGCGCCAGGAGTTTGAGAGCAGCCTGGGAAACACAGAAAGACCCTATCTCTACCAAAAATTGTTTAAAACTTAGCCAGGTCTGGTGGCACATAAGTGTAGTGCTAGCTACTCAGGATGCTGAGGTGGGAGGATTGCTTGAGCCCAGGAGTTTGAAGCTGCAGTGAACTATAATTGTGCCATGGCATTCCAGCCTGGGAGACACAGCAAAGCCCTAAACCTTGAAAGAAAAGAAAAGAGAGAAAAGGAGAAAAGGGAGAAAAAGAAAGAAAGGAAGAAAAGAAAGAAAGAAAGGAAGGAAGGAAGGAAGGAAGGAAGGAAGGAAGGAAGGAAGGAGAAGGAAGGAAGGAAGGAGAAGGAAGGAAGGAAGGAGAAGGAAGGGAGGGAGGGAGGGAGGAAGGATGGAAGGAAGGAAGAGGGGAGGGAGGGAGGGAGGGAGGGGGAGGGAGGGAAGGAAGGAAGGAAGGGAAAGAAAGAAGGAAAGAAAGAGAGAGAGAGAAAGAAGGAAGGAAGGGAGGGAAAGAAAGAAAGAAGGAAAGAAAGATAGAAAGAAAGAAGGAAGGAAAGAGAGAGAGAAAGAAAGAAAGGAAGGAAGAAGGAAGGGAGGGAGGGAGGAAGGAAGAGGGGAGGGAGGGAGGGGGAGGGAGGGAAGGAAGGAAAGAAAGAAAGAAAGAAGGAAGGAAGGAAGGAAGGAAAGAAGGAAGGAAGGAAGGAAGGAAAGGAAAGAAAGAAAGAAAGAAAGAAAGAAAGAAAGAAAGAAAGAAAGAAAGAAAGAAAGAAAGAAAGAGAGAGAGAAAGAAAGAAAGAGAGTCTCAGTTTTCATGAAGCCCAGCCAAATTTTATGTCCTTGCCTTGGAGTCCTAGGAGAACACAAGCTTTAAAATCAGCTTCCTTGGAGTAAGGGCTCCCAGGAATAGTGAGCTGTTGGCCTGGAATGGAGCACCAGGGAATTTTTCCTCCCTTCCTCCTGTGTGCTCCATCCTTCTACCCCCTTCCAAACCAAGGCAGAGACCCAGAACACTTCCCAAAGATCAGATGCCCTGTAGGGGGAGAATGGGTTCTCCTCACTGCCTAGGATACTTGCTAAGCTGTGAGAACTTGCAATTCTTGCATCTGATGCCCATCTGCTTGCATCAGAGCACAGCACAGTAGGGAACTCCTGGGGTGACTGAGGGGTGTCTCTCAAAGTTTAAGAGATCCATGAAACATAGAGACACACATACTTCTTGCCTAAATACTTCTGACGTTGGAGGCTTTCTGGAGCAGTCCACAGCTGCAGGACAAAGGACAGAGCAGTGCCCAGGGATATATGTTTTCTATGTTCCAGTGGACACTGCAGAAGGTACCCAGCCCAAGAAGGGGCCAGTTGTCATGGGGGGATGCAAGCCAAGAGACTGTAGGGTGTACGCCAGAGCACAGGGGCTGAGTGTCCAAGATACCAGCCACACAGTGTACCCCTCATTCAGGGACATCAACAGTGTATCTCCCCCAGCCCACAGGTCAGTCTCTGAAGAAGCCACACCTGCACCCCATGGATGAGCCAGAATTTAAATGCCTGCCACAGAGAATGTCTCCACCATCCTAAGCCAGTGTTAGCCAAAAGCAAACTATAGCACTATAGCATTTAAGTTAAAAAAAAATACTTTTTGATCCTTTCCTCTAGCCTCCCTTTCCCTTCCTCTGACCTTGAAAACAACAGAGACAAAAGGAAGTGAGGGAAAAAAGAAGAAATAGAGAATGTGACCATGCCCCCTTCCTCACTGTGAATCCTATAATGGGGCTGAATTGTGTCCCCCAAAATTCCTTTGTTGAAATCCTAACTTCCAGTATCTCAGAATGTGACTGCATTTGGAGATAAGGCCTTTAAGGAATTAACTAATGGAAAAGGAGGGCATTAGGATGGACCCCAATTCAATATGACTGCTGTCCTTATAAGAAGAGGAGATTAGGTCACAGGCACACACAGAGGGATGACCAAGTGAGGGCACAGGAACACGGCAGACATCCGCAAGCCAAGAATAGAGGCCTCGAGGAAACCAACCGTGCCAGCACCTTGATCTTGGACTTCCAGCCTCCAGAACTGGGAGAAAACAAATTTCTGTATTTTCAGCCACCCACTCTGCAGCACTCTGTTATGGCAGCCTGAGCAAACTAAGACAGTTTGCAAGCCAGAGATCAGCCTGGAATTGGGAGGGAAGTTAACATGTGAAGTTGAATGTGGAGTTTGGGGCTGGTCTTTTCATTTGTAAAATTAGGTGGTAGTTATCAAAATGGGATTTGGTTTTGGTACTTAAAGCAGCCTAAGTATTACATGTCATGTAGGACAAGGGTTCCTAATCCCTGGGCCACAAACTGGTACTGGTCAGTGATCTGTTAAGAACTGGGCCACACAGCAGGAGGTAAGCAGTGGGCAGGCAAGCATTATTGCCTGAGCTCCACCTCCTGTCAGATCAGCAGCAGCATTAGAGTCTCACAGGAGCATGAACCCTATTGTGAATTATGCACGCGAGGGATCCAGGTTGCACACTCCTTATGAGAATCTCATGCCTGATGATCTGAGGTGGAACAGTTCATCCTGAACCATCTCTCCACATCTCCTGTCCATGGAAAAATTGTCTTCCATGAAACTGGACCCTGGTGCCAAAAAGTTTGGGGACCACTGATGTAGAAGATTCCATCAAAGAGCAGGAAGGAGACCCTCAGAACTGCTATCTCTGAAGCCGGTCTTGGAGGAAACACAAAGTTACTTTCTGTTTGGGCCCTGTGGCAGTCAGTCTATTCAATAAAACCATTACACTTAGCATAATTTAGTGTCTTTCTTTTGACCTCCTTTCTCTTCTGAGTCTTTCTCCGCTAATTACATATTTTCAGAAATCCTTTTGCTCATTTTTCCTGATTCTCACAATTCTTTAAAAGAAAAAGGAATCTTTAAAACATAACTTTTAAAAGCTGAGTATTCTTATGTCATTTCTGAATTTTTAGTGTTTGTCCATCATAGGGTAAAAAGACTTCCCATCTCAACAAAATTTTTCGTGAGTAATATCCTATTGCAGTATAGTTTTCCTTGCTTATTTCAAGCCACTGTTTAGTGAAGCATGTATTCAATTTACACAGTCATTTCAGGTGTGAATTATCTGCCTGGATCTGGACAGCAGCCTACTCTTAGCCATGAAAAACAACGATGCTAGCTTGTTGGTGGTGATCAATTTCAGTGACACTCCCTGGATGAAATGTATCCTAGGTTAGAGTAGCTAAGGCTCATCTATTGTGAGAAACACATTCTGATTAACTTTTCAAAGCAAGAGTACAGAGAAGCTTATTGGGAAATATTAAACAAACTTTAGAATCAAAAGAAGAATTATGGAGTTAAATGTTAGGAAAGATAAATTCCAGGGGCATAAGAAGCAGGAATATACCAAACTGTTTCCTGTACGCCATCGCTGAACTCCAGTAACTTTCAAACTCTTTGCCTCTCTGTTCAAGTTTTGAAAGTCTTTTAAAAAGAGTAGATTTTTTTTCAGATTTTGGTCAGGGTTTTCTGTCTCTGGAGAGCCTCATGCATAGGTCTTGGAGTGTCATTGTGGGTAGAAATCTACTCGCCTCTAAGTGGGTAGAAATCTACATCATCTCTAAGATGTGGAGATGATACAAATGTCCAATAAGCACAGGAAAACATGCCAAAATCACTAATCATTCACAAAATGCAAACAAAAACTACAATAAATTATACCATCGGATATAGCCATTCGGATGGCTATTATCACAAATATAAATAAATAAATAAGTAAATAAAAGACAATAACCCCACTTTTTGATGGGGTTGTTTGTTTTTTTCTTGTAAATTTGTTTGAGTTCATTGTAGATTCTGGATATTAGCCCTTTGTCAGATGAGTAGGTTGCGAAAATTTTCTCCCATTTTGTAGGTTGCCTGTTCACTCTGATGGTAGTTTCTTTTGCTGTGCAGAAGCTCTTTAGTTTAATTAGATCCCATTTGTCTATTTTGGCTTTGGTTGCCACTGCTTTTGGTGTTTTAGACATGAAGTCCTTGCCCATGCCTATGTCCTGAATGGTAATGCCTAGGTTTTCTTCTAGGGTTTTTATGGTTTTAGGTCTAACGTTTAAGTCTTTAATCCATCTTGAATTGATTTTTGTATAAGGTGTAAGGAAGGGATCCAGTTTCAGTTTTCTACATATGGCTAGCCAGTTTTCCCAGCACCATTTATTAAATAGGGAATCCTTTCCCCATTGCTTGTTTTTCTCAGGTTTGTCAAAGATCAGATTGTTGTAGATATGTGGCATTATTTCTGAGGGCTCTGTTCTGTTCCATTGATCTATATCTCTGTTTTGGTACCAGTACCTTGCTGTTTTGGTTACTGTAGCCTTGTAGTATAGTTTGAAGTCAGGTAGTGTGATGCCTCCAGCTTTGTTCTTTTGGCTTAGGATTGACTTGGCGAAGGACATGAACAGACACTTCTCAAAAGAAGACATTTATGCAGCCAAAAAACACATGAAAAAATGCTCACCATCACTGGCCATCAGAGAAATGCAAATCAAAACCACAATGAGATACCATCTCATACCAGTTAGAATGGCAATCATTAAAAAGTCAGGAAACAATAGGTGCTGGAGAGGATGTGGAGAAATAGGAACACTTTTACACTGTTGGTGGGACTGTAAACTAGTTCAACCCTTTTGGAAGTCAGTGTGGTGATTCCTCGGGGATCTAGAACTAGAAATACCATTTGACCCAGCCATCCCATTACTGGGTATATACCCAAAGGACTATAAATCATGCTGTTATAAAGACACATGCACACATATGTTTATTGCGGCATTATTCACAATAGCAAAGACTTGGAACCAACCCAAATGTCCAACAATGATAGACTGGATTAAGAAAATGTGGCACATATACACCATGGAATACTATGCAGCCATAAAAAATGATGAGTTCACATCCTTTGTAGGGACATGGATGAAATTGGAAATCATCATTCTCAGTAAACTATCGCAAGAACAAAAAACCAAACACCGCATATTCTCACTCATCGGTGGGAATTGAACAATGAGAACACATGGACACAGGAAGGGGAACATCACACTCTGGGGACTGTTGTGGGGTGGGGGGAGGGGGGAGGGATAGCATTGGGAGATATACCTAATGCTAGATGACAAGTTAGTGGGTGCAGTGCACCAGCATGGCACATGTATACATATGTAACTAACCTGCACATTGTGCACATGTACCCTAAAACTTAAAGTATAATAATAATAAATTTAAAAAAAAAAAGACAATAACAACTGTTGGCAAGAATGTGGAGAAATTGGAAAACTTATGTGCCATTGGTGGGAATTTGAAATGGTGCAGCTGCTATGGAAAACAGTATGGTGGTTCCTCAAAAAATTGAAAGTAGGATTACCATAAGATCCAGCAATTTCATCTAAGTATATACCCAAAAGATTTAACAGAAGGCACTCAAACAGATATTTATACACCCATGTTCATAGCAGCATTATCCACAATAGCCAACATGTGGAAGAAACCCAAGTGTCTATTGACCAACGCACAGATAAACAAAATGTGGTGTATACTCACAATGAAATGTTATTCGGCCTTGATAAAGGAGATTCTGACACATACTATAACATGGATGAACCTGGAAGATATTATGCTAAATTAAATAAGCCAATCACAGAAGGACAATGCTGCATGAGTCCACTAATATGAGATAGCTAGAGTAGTCAAAATCATACAGACAAAGTGGAGTGGTGATTGCCAGGAATGGGGGCCAGGGGGAAGGGGGAGCTGGTGCTTAATGAGGACAGAGTTTCAGTTTCACAAGATGAAAAAAGTTCTGGAAATGGGTGGTGGTGATGGTTGTACAAGAGTGTGAATATACTTTATGCCATTGAACTGCACACCTAAAAGTGATGACATGCTTAAAAATAAAATAAAATAGAGATGGCTACTAAGAGGTTAAGTCACAACCCTGAAGCCAGGAGATATTCTCACTCTAAAGGCCCCAGGTTCATGTTTTAATTTTCAAATACACAAAGGGGACCCTAAGAAACAGGCAACAGGAGGCCGGGCGCAGTGGCTCTTGCCTGTAATCCCAGCACTTTGGGAGGCCGAGGCGGGCAGATCACCTGAGGTCTGGAGTTCGAGACCAGCCTGACCAACATGGAGAAACCCTGTCTCAGCTAAAAATATAAAATTAGCCGGGCTTGGTGGCACATGCCTGTAATCCCTACTCAGGAGGCTGAGGCATAAGAATCACTTGAACCCAGGAGGCAGAGGTTGTGGTGAGCAGAGATCACGCCATTGCATTCCAGCCAGGGCAACAGGAGTGAAGCTCTGTCTCAAAAAAAAAAAGAAAGGAAGAAAAGAAACAGGCAACAGGAATTGACTTGCCCGTAAAGAAGAACATCTTGGCTGGGTGATGACAAGGTGCTCGTCTTAACATGGATAACTGGATGTTTATCGCAGGAATTTCATGCACCTTGGTGCATGCTGGTCCTGCTTGTCTCAAGGCAGGGATTCTCTTGCATAGATGGGATACTCTGTTCCCATCAGCCTCCTGCTTGCTCCGGGACAGGGATTCTCCTGCATAGATGGGATGCTCTGCTCCCATCAGCCTCTCTCAGTTTTACTCACGTTGTGACAGTGTCAAGTTCTCTAGTCCTGACTAAGAAGGGTTTAATTTCTTCTGTTGCTGGTAAAGATGTAGCCAGGGGCTTCTGTCTTGGTCAAAGTATTGCTTAGATCAATTACATAAAGCTATACCTGATCAATCCTGTGTTTATCTCCCTGGTGAAAGAAAACCCTAAGTCAGGCCGGGCGCAGTGGCTTACACCTGTAATCCCAGCACTTTGGGAGGCCGAGGCGGGTGGATCACCTGAAGTCAGGAGTTCGAGACCAGCCTGGCCAATGTAGTGAAACCCCTTCTCTACTAAAAATACAAAAAATTAGCCAGGCATGTTTGGGGGACACCTGTAATCCCAGCTACTTGGGAGGCTGAGGCAGGAGAATCACTTGAACCCAGGAGGCAGAGGTTGCAGTGAGCCAAGATCGTGCCAGTGCCCTCCAGCCTGGATGACAGAGTGAGACGAAAGAAAGAAAGAGAGAGAGAGAGAGGGAGGGAGAGAGGGAGAGAGAAGAAGAAGAAGGAGGAGGAGGAGGAAGAGGAGGAAGAGGAGGAGGAGGAGGGGAGGGAGGAGGAGGGGAGGGAGGAAGGGAGGGAGGGAACACAGAGGAAGCACATGTTTCCTTGTAATTGGTGTCAAGGGGCTCTATTACTTTAAGGAAGCCTCTCCCACATGTCAAGTATTTAACTCTCCTCCACTCTTTACACATAAAACAAACCAAACATTCCCTTAATTACACGTATTTATAATCTAATTATGGTTCTGGGCTCAGACAGTTTTATGGGCAAGTCTTTTTAAGCTTTCAAACAGATAATTTTTATGTTATATAAACTATTCTGCAGCCCACAAACATGGAAACAATCCTAATTAATTTAAGAAGCCACCCTAGCCTTAAGTGTCAAAGCCTGACAAAACTAACATACACATTCAAAAACCCTTTGACCTGTCTCAACTATAGATATTGATCTAACATTCTAAATACAACTCTACACAAATTGATATCAGCTTCATTAGAAAATAATATCCATGAATTAATATCATTTGTCACTTCAGTAGTGGCAAATGAAAACCACAAGTTCATCCCATTAAGATTTGTTAAAATGTGGTACCTGCTCTTTAAAAAAAGGACTTACTAAAATAGGAATGTAATAATACTTTTACAAATAAAAAGTATCTATGTGACCACAAAAGCTAGAAATGTATCTAGTACCTACTAGATACTAGCCATATCTACATATTTCTCTAAATGTATCCCAAATAATTTTAGTTCTGAAGGATTTTATAAGTGTCACGTAAAAAAATGATGCTATGATAAAATAAATTTGAGAAATAATTAACCAAATTAAACAAGATTTCATATATGTATTCTAACTCCCCAAGTGCTTCATACCCATTTGACCTATATCACATTGTTTCCACAGAGCATCTCCCCAGACTGGCATTTTATAGAAATTTGCTTTGGAATATGTTACAGGGATGGTCTCCCAACAATGTGGAAAACCAAATAATGATGCTGCTGGCTCCACTTTGACACTGTCCTAAAATTTCAGATCCAGTCATTCTCAGCTAATAGGCTGGTATGGCTTGATATAACAAGTAGATGAATAATCACTGTGGACATTAGGATATTTCAAGAACTCCATCAACCAACTTGGCCTACCGACATTTATAGAACCCTCCATTCCCTCTCAGCAGAATACTCATTTTTCTCAAGTGCATTTGGAACATTTTTCAAGATGGATCATATTTAGGCTCATAAAATATGTCTCCATAAATTTAAGGTTATTTAAGTTCACACCATGTAAGTTCTCTAACTACAATGACTTTAAGTTAGAAGTCAGTAACAGAAAAATCTCTGGATCATTCCCAAATACTTCGAAGCTTAATAGCATATTCCTCAATAACTCATGGGTAAAAAGAAAATGAATACGGTAACTTCAGTGAAACTTATAGCACTAAATGCCTTCATTGGAAAAGAAAAAATACATCAGATTCCACTTCAGAAAACTAGAAAAAGGAGAGCAAATTAAATTCGTCCTAAATAGAAGAAAAGAAATTATGAAAATCAGAGTGAAGTATCAATTAAATGCAAAACAGTAAAACAATAGAGAAAATCAACTAAACTATTAGCTAGTTTTTTCAGATCAATGAAATTGATAAACTAACCATTGTGATAAGGAGAAAAAGGGAGATGATGCAAATTACTAACATTGGGAAAGAGAGGATGACATCACTGAAAATTCTATTAATATTAAGAAGATAATAAGGAAATATGATTAACAATTCTATGCCAATAAATTCAACAACTCAGACGAAATGGACAAATTCCATGGAAGACACAAACTACCAAAGCTTACTCAAGAAGAAACAGATAAACTAAATAGCCCTATGCCTATTAAAGAAATTGAATTTGTAGTTTAAAAACATTCCCACAGAGAGAACTCTAGGTCCAAATGGTTTCAATGGTCAATTCAACCAGTCAAGCAGTTAAGGAGGAAATAATACATTGAATACATTCTTGCATTAAATTAAAAAAGAAAGAACACATCCCAAATCATTATAGGAAGCCAATATTATGCTGATACTTTACTTTTTAAATATGTTCTTACATTTAACATACATTACTTTTCTTTTGTTTTAAATCGTTATTTTAAAAAGCTTGTTTGGTCTATGTTCCATTCACCTAAGGTGCTAAGTCTTAATTAGTACAGATAAATGAATCAGCATGAATAGTATATAGGCAGCTAATATATTACCTATTTCGGGTATCATAATACCTGTAATCCCAGCTACTCAGGAGGCTGAGGCAGGGGGATCCCTTGAGTCCTTGTGGTTTATAGTTCATCACAACACTGATCAGATGAAATAACACAAATGCAGTGACAGTGCTGAGCCTCATTCCCCATACATCCAGTGTGATACGAAAGCCAGGCTTGGGTACGAGAGCCAAATTCAGGGACAGGAGGGAAGGAGATAAAGAATGGTCACAAATTTGACCAGTCACTGGTAATTTACAGTGCCTCTGTTGACAGAGAGAGAGAGAAAGGGAGAGAAAGAAAGAGAGAGAGAGTAACTACAGGATTTTAACATGAAGCACCGAAACAGGCTGCAAGAGGGAATGAAAGCCTGACTCCTATTGCATCTGGTTAGCTAATTTGACAACGCTGCAAACTGTGAAGTCCTCATTAGGGAAAAAGTCAGGCTGGTGGGAGCAGGGGAAAGCAAAAAGAAGCAAACAAGCTACAAGTCTGCCTTTCTTCATGGTCCAGGACACACAGCCCTCCTGTGTAAATAACTCACAATCTTCCTGCGCCCGACTTATACCACCAGACACCTGCAAGCTCGCTCCCTGCAGCCTCGGCGTGATCGTAGTGTACATAGCCCACTCCAGCACAGTACCATCCTATGAAAGCCCCAGCAAGCCTTTGTCTCCTTGCAGTCAGCTCTGCCACACAAACGCTATCTGAACACAGGGCGCCTCTATCAGGAAAACCAATTTACTTAATAAGGGGATCTGAGATTTTGGCCCCTAATAATCAACTTTTTTAGTGTCTCTTGCTAAATCTACACACCATTATGTTTAATACGTAGCTTTCTAAACTCAGAGTCACCTGTTGGTCTCCTCATGGACCGAATGCAGGTCCACATCCAGATACAGCTGGCTGGGTGCTTGCTTAGGAACAGATACTGCATTCTGTCCTTTTCTTGCTTAGGAACGGAAGTTGCATTTTGTCTTCTTGAGAACTTGCTCTCGCACAGCTTGTACACTACTGCCACCTACTGGACAAACTAAGCTAAGCCGCCAGAGGTAAGCTTTCCACAGCTGTCATTCCAAATTACCTGACAAATACTTTGTCAACCAAGACTACCATTAATTAGGTCACCATATTATCCTAACTACTGTCATCTAGGAGGAAAGGGGCAAGAGCAGGCTTTATTTCCACTTATGAAAGTAGAATTAAATATTGAAAGGCAACCAGGCCAATGACTGTTTTTCTAAATAAGGACCTGAAGGACAGAATACTCATTTGGGAATGGCTGGAACCCTCATGGCAGGGTGGGGCGTGGAGGGGAAGATGGAGAACAAGGAATGAGGGAGAGAAAGAGCAATAATAATCCCAATGGAGTAGCCCTCCATGAACTTTATAACATTTCAATAAGATCAGATGTGCAAATAAGCCACTAAAAACTGATAGAACGCACTATCACTATCAGCTCATCAGGGAATGAACAGCAGGTCCACACACACCTTGGTCCTCAAACAGTTTACATAAAAAGCTGACGTTCAAGGACCAGATCAGTGCCCTTGGAGATGAACTAGGCCCAAGACACATATGGAACGGGCCTGTGGGTCATCGTGCTGCAGTTTCAGACTTCCCTGTTTTTGTCTTTATTCAATTTCACGAAGGCTTGAGAACTCTTTGGGAAGTCTTTTTCATCCCCACAGTTAGCTGCATCCTCCTAATTATGTATCTATGGTTTATAGCTTATCACAACACTTATCAGAATTTTTTTGAGACAGTCTCAAATTTATGAATTTATCAATGAAACACTGAGGACAATTGAGTCAGGAGCTGAGGCCATGAGCCAGGGAGCCCTCAAATGCAGCTAGAATCCATGGAGCCTGGCGTAGATAAGTGCAACACTTTGGGAATCTATTCCCCATTTTTCATAAGATGAAAGTGTTAAGATCATCATCTAGTGGGGGGACACTTGGACCTTGTACATAATTTTGTAATTAATCTGAAGATGAAACCGCCTTTGCAAAAATCGTATCAGTGATAAAACTGTGCCAATGAGGGAAATCTGATCTAGCCAGCCCCCCTCTTGCCTTTGGCCTTCAAGCTGCCAAGCTAACTTTGGGAGACATTTAGTTTATAGTTTAAATGATAATAGCCCTTCCCTAGAACTCAGCCACCTATGTAAAGCTAATGAGAGACCACAGGGCTAGGAGGAAGAGAGGAGCCTGAATTCTGCTAAGGTGTAGACATAAAGGATTGCCAGTCACTATTCCAGAGGTCATAAGATATGTAACTTCCCCAATTACTCCTGCAAATAACATCACTATTGTAGAAAGGCCTTTTAAGATGTCTTTTCAGGTATTTTGTATGTCTGACACCCTGACTCAACCTGGACCTGCCAACTGCTCCTGTGGCCCCACCCAGAAGTAACTCAGCTCAAGAAGACAGCTTTGACTGCCTGATTTTATCTCCAACCCAACCAATCACCAGCAAGCACCCATTGTCTAGCCACCCCCGTCCCTTTCCCCAAGCTGCCTTTGAAAGACCCCTAACCTACAAGCCTTTAATGAGATTAATTTGAGTAATAATTCTGTCTCCCATATGTCGTTGAAGCGGCTTCGTTGTCTGGGGTGGTACCCGAGATTCGTTGTCTCACAGTCACAGAAAACTGCGAGGCAGACACACCAAGAGTGAGGTTGAGAGCGGAAGTGTTTGTTTGTTTGTTTGTTTGTTTGTTTTTTGAGATGGAGTCTCTGTCACCAGGCTGGAATGCAGTGGTGCGATCTGGGCTCACTGCAACTTCCACCTCCCGGATTCAAGCCATTCTCCTGCCTCAGCGTCCCGAGTAGCTGGGACTACAGGCACGCCACCACGCCCGGCTAATTTTTGTATTTTTAGTAGAGATGGGGTTTCACCATGTTGGCCAGGATGGTCTGGGTCTCCTGACCTCATGATCTGCTCTCCTTGGCCTCCCAAAGTGTTGGGATTATAGGCGTGAGACACCACGCCCAGCCAAGAGCGGATGTTTAATAGGCAAAAGAAAGAGAATAGCTCTCTCTGCTGCAGAGAGAGGGATCCCGTATGAGTTTTCCAGTCCTCGGTGAAATGCAGGGGGTTTTACAGATGAGCTTGAGGAGGCGGAGTCTGATTTACATAGGGCATGAAAGATTGGTTAGACCATGTGTGCTACTTGCATAGGGCGGGAAAAACTGATTACGGTTAAGTGTACCATACGCCTAGGGCGAGAAAAGCTAGCTGCCTCCACCTTAATCTTTAATTATGCAGATGGGCTCTCTACCTGGCCGGTGCCATGTTGCCTCCCTCTTTACTGTACACGTGGTAACAAAGAAAAGGGAAGATGGAGGCTCCATGTTGGATATGCCTGGTTCCCAGGTAGCCCTTTTCTATTGACGCAGCTGCCTGCATTCCCCCGTGCAAACTTGCAGCTTGCTTATCTATATTTGCAGCTCGATTTTTCAGGTTACTTTTAATTATGAAAAAATAATTTTGGGGGCTGCTTTTTGTTAGGAAGGAAGCCCTGCCAAGGACTCTTTTACCCTCAGTATCTGCCTAAATAACTTATTTCTGGCTCCTGTATCAGTGTGGCCAGCCTTTCATCAACTAAACTCTTTACTGCAGTGTTGTGGTCTTTGCGCTGCGGGCAGGGGGAACTCATTGGGCAGTTACAAAGGTAGTGACATCAGTAGTGTTTTCATGCCCAGCATCCATGCGTGCTGAGGTGGAAATATACAAAGATGCGTAACCCTGCCCACAAATGTCGTCTCAGCCTCAGTCTATTTTAAGAAGTAACTCAGTCTTACAGAGTCAGCTCATTATAAATACACCTCGTGCAAGATTTTCTTTATTATTCTCTGGGTTGCCTTCTATCAGTGGTTCTGTTATGACAGGGGTCCAGATCCAGACCCCAAAAGAGGGTTCTTGGACCTCTCGCAAAAAAAGAATTCGGAGAGAGTCCACAGAGTAAAGTGAAAGAAAGTAAAGGATTAAAGAATGGCTATTCTATAGGCAGAGAAGCCCCGAGGGCTGCTGGTTGGCTATTTTTATATTTTATATTCCTTGATTATATGCTAAACAAGGGGTGGATTACTCATGAGTTTTCAGAGAAAGAGTTGGGCAATTCTCAGAACTGATGGTTCCTCCCCCTTTTAGACCATAGAGGGTAACTTCCTGATGTTGCCATGGCATTTGTAAACTGTCATGGCACTGGCGAGAGTGTCTTCTAGCATGCTAATGCATTATAATTAGCGTATAATGAGCAATAAAGACTACCAGAGGTCACTTTCGTTGCCTTCTTGGTTTTGGTGGGTTTTGGCTAGCTTCTTCACCACATCCTTTTATCGACAAGGTCTTTGTAACCTGTACCTTGTGCCAACGTCCTGTCTCGTCCTGTGACTTAGAATGCCTAAACTCTTGGGAATGCAGCCCAGTAGGTCTCAGCCTCATTTTACCCAGCCCCTATTCAAGATGGAGTCGCTCTGGTTCAAACGCCTCTGACAGTTCTTTCACACTGATTTTCCTTTGGGGAATCACCCCTCTTCTATTGTGATAGAGACAATGCTCAGTGCTAACCAGGCAATTTCATTGTCCTCCTGGGCACACAGGAAGCCTATATTTCCCAAGCCATTTGCATGTAGGTGGATCATGTAGTGAGTTCTGACCAATGGAAGGTAAGCGAAAATGATGAATATATTTCCAAACCTGTGCTAAAAAAATCTCTTTCTCTCTTCCTCTTCTGGTAATGCTGAAGGCCATGTGTTGAGGACAGTGGTTTCTGAGAATGGAAGGAGCCAGGGTCATGGTTAGCACTTTGAGAAAAGATGCACAGGGGAGAGGAGCCTCCTAAGCTGGAATTTACATGGTGAAAAATAAACTGCTAATTCTAGAACAGACAACACTAAACTATGGCTCTAGAAATCAGAAAATTGGTTACCCCAGAATAGATCTAGAATTATTGTGGCAGAGATTGACTGGAAAGGCATACAAGGAACTTACTAGGTGATGGAAATGTTCTATATCTTAATTGGGGTACTGTTTACGTGGGTCCATACATCTAGAAAGTTCATTGTATTGTACCCTTAACCCTGTACAATGTTTTGTCTTTATACCTCAACCAATAAAACTTAAACAAAACAGGCCAGGTGCAGTGGCTCACGTCTATAATCCCAGAACTTTGGGAAGCTGAACTGAGCAGATCGCTTGAGGTCAAGAGTTTGAAGCCAGCTTGGCCAGCATAGTGAAATCCCATCTCTACTAAAAATACAAAAAAAGAAAAAGTTAGCCTGGCATGGTGGTGGGCACCCGTAGTTCCAGTTACCTGGGAGGCTGAGGGAGGAGAATGGCTTGAATCCGGGAGGTGGAGTTTGCAGTGAGCCAAGACTGTGCCATTGCACTCCAGCCTGGGCAACAGAGAAAGACTCTGTCTCAAAAAAAAAAAAAAATTAAACAAAACAAACAAATGGGTGCAATAAAACAATTTAAGAGATTCTTTAGTTACCTAGAAAATGGTAGTTGAAAGTAATGGCAGAGGAGCAGAAGGAACAATAATAGTAAGGACAGAGAAAAGATAATAGACTTGAGAACTAGTGAAAAGGCAGAATGAATGGACCTTGGAGATAGTTTATGTAGAATGAGTGAAGGACAGCTAGGGATTGATGATGACCACTAGATTCTTGGTTTGGAATAACTGAATGGCTTGTGCTATCCACTTTATGAAACACTAAAGTTGAAACAGATTGGTGAAGGAAAGAAGACAAAGAGTTACATATTTCACATGTGTTTGGGGTGACCATAAACCACACAACTGAGGTTTGAGTAGCAGTTGGGGATATGTGGGTTTGACCTTGGAAGAGAGGTCATTATCACCTAGTGACCTCTTGGGAGTTATTCGCACAGATGAAAAGAGCTGTGAAAGTAGAGGAAATTGCTTAGGAAGAGATGTAGAGTGAAGTGAAATAGAAGGGCCAAAGGACAGAGCCCCAAAGGACTCCAAATATCAAGTTTACTAGAGAGGAAAGGGTTGGCAAAGAACACTAACGAATCATCAGAGAGATAGGAAGAAAGTATGACCAGTAATGTGAAAATCAAAAAAAAAAAAAAAGCGAGAAGTCAACTGTACCAAGCGCCCTAAAAGGCCAGGTAAGATAAAGATGGAAAATGTTCTTTGGATTTAGTAACAGGAAGGTCATTTTGTGGTTATTCAGGATTTGAATAGCTTAAGTGGTAAAAGGGAGGTGGAAAAATGGACCCAGTGAATGTAAACACCTCAGCCATGAAAACTAGCTCTGAAGAGGAGAGGAAAAAAAAAGAAAAAAAAAAAAAAGCAGACTCAGGAGACAGCTTTTTGTAAAAAAAGATTAAAAAAAAAAAAAAAGATTTTCAAAGATGCTTATGTGTTGATAAAATTAGCCAGGAGCCAGCAGAGACAGGGGCTGAATGGACTGAAGATAGAGATAAGAAATTTTTCTGAGAAGGTGGGAGGCTCTGACTTGGATAACAGGTGGAATTGGAGAGGACAGGTTGGGTGGGTGTTGCTGCAAATAGTTTTATCCCTGGTCGAGGGGTATTGAAGACATTTCTGCTTGGTGGTTTACATATTCCTCGTGAAGTGGGAGGCAAGGACATCTCCCGAGGGAGACATGAGGAAAAGAGGGACAGAGATTCAAAATATAAAGAGTAGAACTGCAGCCTATGAAGAAAACACAGTAGGATTCCTGGGACGTGTTCAGGGCACAGTGTTAAGTTGAAGTCAGTGACCATGATTTTGTCATGAGAACAACCTGCCAAGTTCTGCCATTTTCTCAAGCAGAACTCTGTGGTTCACGCCCAAGCTAGAGTGGAGAACGGTTGGGTTCATCTATGACTGCAGTTTGACAAAGAAGAGACAATGAAAGGACAAAGGGTCAAGGGATTGGGCTCTTGGTATGAGAGTGAATGAAATGATGTCCCACGGAATCCAAAGAGGGCAGAAAGGGAAGACAGGAGGAAGCTGGTGAGCAGGGGGAACACAGAGGGGACAGTGACAAGAGGTCCTGGGGCTGCCAAAGCACAGACATAGTGGAAGTGCTTGAACAAACAAACCCAACAGGACTGGTGGATTGACAGAGAGCAAGGTGCCTGCATGTGTGATTTCAGCAAATAGAACATCTCGGGGAATAGAACACAGGGAGTGGATAGCTGAGACAGCGTAGAGAATGCATCACAACAAAAGGTTGGGCGCAGTGGCTCATGCCTGTAATCCCAGCAATTTGGGAGGCCGAGGCAGGTGGATTCCCTAAGGTCAGGAGTTCAGGACCAGCCTTGCCAACATAGTGAAACTCCGTTTCTACTAAAAACTACAAAAATTAGCCAGGTGTGGTGGCGGGCACCTGTAATCCCGGCGCCCTGTACTCCCTGTAAACTCACCTGTAATTACTGTGCCTGTAATCCCTGTAAACTCGGGAGGCTAAGACAGGAGAATTGCTTGAACCCGGGAGGCGGAGGTTGCAGTGAGCCAAAATTGCACCACGGCACTCCAGCCTGGGTGACAAGAGCAAAACTCCATCACAAAAAAAAAAAAAAAAAAAAAAAAGAATGCATCCCAAAATTGAAAGGCTAATGACTGGGTGATCCACCCTTTAATAGGTATTGAAGTATTAATAACTTCTATTGATGAATTGATGAGAGACATGGTGGAGAGGAAACCTATGCCATGGTTTGATACCAAAGTCTTCCATGAATGAGCAGCAGCTCCCCCGACATCAGTAGATAACAGCCGGGTGCAGAGTGTGAGAGTGGTGTAACCAGATGGCAGAGGACAAAGGAAGGATGGAGGCTTGAGCAACATGTCAACCTCCCCTGCCCTGAAGAATGTGGACAGTGAGATGCAGAGAAACCTCCACTGAGAGAACTAAGGATGAATTATGTCTTAGAAAAAAAGATGAGGGTTTTTTAAGGCAAAGAGGTGGGAGAGAATGAACAGAGAAGATGGAAGTTTATTGAATAATACGAGTGCATTTATTGATCACAAAACATACAGAGTTTGAGAGTGGGAGGTTTTGTCAAGGGGAAGGAGCACAGAGGAGGACAGATGCCCAGAGGGACAATATGTAGATGACAACTGAGAAAAGAAGACAAGGTGCAATCACTGGATTTCCAGAGCCCCAGTGGCACTGGGGCCTCACAGAATTTAGCCATGGCCAGGAGGGAGGCCAGGCCCTGGGGCTGGGTCATGAATTCCCATTCCTCATGTTCTGGCACAACAGGTCTAGCACCAGGGAGCAATCAAGCAAGAGTCAGAAGATTCTTCGCTGTACAGGCTGTCCCTGTCCTTTGGAGTTGGTGCTCTGGATTAAGACAGAGCAGGCAGGACCTGCAACCTACTATGGCTGGGGGAGTTGTTGTACAGGTACAGTTGACACTGACCAGGTTGGTTCTGCCCTTGAGCAGTAAACCAATCACTGTGACAGCAGGTTTGGCAAAGGAGAAAAGATTTATTCACAAGGCAGCCTAGTCAGGAGGTGGGAGAACAGCTCTCAAATTCACCTCCCCAAAATAAGGCTTAGGGATATGTGTGGGTTAGCAAAGTGGGATGGTCTAAGGCATAGGCAGAGGTGACTGGTAGTTGGGGGAATGAAGTAATTAGTGCTCTGCACAAGTGTAGTTGGGGTTCATGGCACTTCACTGAACACATGTTCAGAAAACGGTGGTATTAGCATATCTGAGGATGGAGTTTTTGTCCTTCTGACATCAAAAAGCCACCTCTTGGGCACTTGCACAGGCCCAGTTGAAGGGTCAGTAAGTGATTTCAGCTGGTTTGAACTGGACAGGAGCAGCCCCAGATTCCTGAAAAATAACTTAAGCGGCCATTACCATGGTGACATATAAATGTTTTCCTTAAGGAAGCCAGCAGGGTTAAGTTCCAGTGTTCTGCAGTGCAGCCTTCAGCTACCTGGGGAAAAAAGTAACAATATGCAAGTGACCGAATCAAGCAGGGCAGGCTGGCAGTGGGGGACCTCATCAGATTCACCTCTTGGTTTCACAGTGGGAAGACATGGGTTCAAGGAAACTGAGGGAACTCGCGAGAGAGTTGAAGTACCTGCCATGGGGTCCTGGTGGGGTGCGGAGGACAGGCTAGGTGGAGGTTTACGACCAGAAAACCGAACGGACAAGAGACTGGTGGTGCAGGATGTCAAAAGTGGGCGCAGTGGGAGGGAGTGGGTGAGAAAAGTGGCCAGAGTTGGGGATCGGGCTGAGAGCCCTTCTCTCTGCCTCTAGGCAGCTAGGCCTGGGCATGAATTCTCACAATTCCTCCTTGTTCTCCTGAGAGATAGGGTCTTGGATGCAACCAAGAGATGGCGCAGTCCTGGACTAGCATGCGGTGCTTTCCTCACTAACTGCTGGAATCCATAATAAAAGGTGAGAGGCAAGGCCAGGTGCAGTGGCTCATGCCTGTAATCCCAGCACTTTAGGAGGCTGAGGCGGGTGGATCACTTGAGGTCAGGAGTTCGAAACCAGCCTGGCCAACATGGTGAAACCCCGACTCTCCTAAAAATAAAATTAAAAAAAAATTAGCCAGGCATGTTGGCACACACCTGTAGTTCCAGCTACTTGGGAGGCTGAGGCAGAAGAATTGCTTGAACTCATGAGGCAGAGGTTGCAGTGAGCTGAGATCACGCCACTACACTCCAGCCTGGGCGACAGAGACCCTGTTTCAAAACAAAAAAAAAGGTAAGAGGTGTGTGTCTCCAGCAGAGGGAGCTCAGCCCTACGGAGAAGTTGAACCAAGTGGGCCGCTTCCCTGGGGCCGCTGGGGAGAGGCTCACCGAGGACTAGATGGACAGCTTTGGAGAGACAGGAAAAATCCAGAGACACGCCCGCCAGTAACGGGAAGCCTCAGTGTCAAGGCCACGGCACATCTGGACTTCGAGGAGGAGGCATTGATCCTGAAGGAGCTGTAGGCAGCGAAATAGGGAGTTCCCCCCTCCCTGCCCACTTCTTCCTTAGGGGTCCACACTGGGTTTTCCAGGGTCCCTGGGGTCCCAAGAGTCCCAGGATAAAGCTGCAAAAAGCTGGTACTGGGCAAGGTCACAGCTGGGGGAGACCTCGCCTTCATCCTCTGTGATCACAACCCTGTTCCCGTTGCACTTGCCAGGTTGGCTGGATGGTCCTGTGTGGTGCAGAGATGTTCGTTAGGACGAGGACTGTGTGTGATCCCTGGCAGGGATGAGGTGTAGCTGCCAAAGCTAATCACGTGAATAAACTCAATGTAATAAGTTGTTTGAACCGTAGAACTTTATAAGCTCTTGTGTTTAGTCTTTGTCAACCCCCCAGTGCTTCTCCCACGGGCCCCTCAGGTTCTGTCCCGCCCTGAGTGGAGGCCCCACGCCTCATGGCCTCAACAAGACACTTACTGCTAGACAACCTGCCTGTTGTCTTCTTGTCTGCCCAAGCCCTGTCCTGATACCAAGGCTTAGTAAAATGATGATGCATTTGTGTCTAGGTCCCTTTGTCACTCCTCAAAGAATTTTCAGACATTATTTTATTTATTCTTTTTTTTTTTTTTTTTTTTTGACGGAGTCTTGCTCTGTCACCCAGGCTGGAGTTAAGTGGCACGATCTTGGCTTACCGCAACCTCCACCTCCCAGGTTCAAGCAATTCTCCTGCCTCAGCCTCCCGAGTAGCTGGGATTACAGGCATGCACCGCCAAACCCGGCTAATTTTGTATTTTTAGCAGAGACGGGGTTTCGCCATGTTGGTCAGCCTGGTCTTGAACTCCTGACCTCAGGTGATCCACCCACCTCGGCCTCCCAAAGTGCTGGGATTACAGGCATCAACCACCACACCCGGCCTATTTTATTTATTCTTTTGAGATCCTTATAAAAGTTACATACATACGTTTGTGTATAGACACACATTTGTAATTTTTTTGCCAAATCAACACAATTTTCTCAATTCTTATCTATAAAACTTGGCCGGGCGCAGTGGCTCACGCCTGTAATCCCAGCACTTTGGCCGGGCGGGCGGATCATGAGGTCACGAGATCGAGACCATCCCGGCCAACATGGTGAAACCCTGTCTTTACTAAAAATACAAAAATGAGCTGGGCATGGTGGCGCGTGCCTGTAGTCCCAGCTACTTGGAAGGCTGATGCAGGAGAATCACTTGAACCTGGGAGTTGGAGGTTGCAGTGAGCTGAGATCGTGCCACTGCACTCCAGCCTGGTGACAGAGTGAGACTCCGTCAAAAAAAAAAAAAATGTAATGCACTCAGATTATTATTGCTTTCCTTTACTTGTCTCGTCCTCCTCTAGGCCATTTTTCTCCTGACTCCTCCTCTTGTCTATTTTATAGGCTTTTTCATTTCTTCTTAACTAGATCCCCACTATTTCCAAATTTGTGTTGGCTTCCTGAGGTCATTATACTCTTTTCTGCAAAGCTCTCATTTGACCACATTTTTCTCCTGTGGGCTTGCCTGACTACCTGCTCAGTCTTATTCTCTAACACTCCCTGTCCCCTTTGCTCACACCCTTCTAAATAGGAGCTTTCTAAGAGACAGTGGAATAATAGTCATTAAAAACATGTGGGAGGCTGAGGCAGGAGGACAGCTTGAGGCCAGGAGGAGTTCAAGACCCAGGCTGGTCTTGAACTCCTGAATATAGTGAGACCCCCAGCTCTACAAAGAGAAAAAAAATTGACAGGAGTGGTGGTGGACGCATCCATAGTCCTAGCTATTCTGGAGACTGAGAGGCTGAGGCAGGAGGATCACTTGAGCCCAGGAGTTCGAGGCTGGTCTACCTGTAGAAGCCCTCTCTCTGGGCCCCCTCCAGCATGCCTTTCACCACAGAGTGAGGAGTTCCCAAGGGTCAGTGAGATGTTGCCAACCAGAGCCCTTCCAGGCCAGCTTTGGTACCTGGGTCCCTGCTCAAAGGGACCTAAGAGGGACTCTGTGCTGGCTCTATTCTTTGGAGGGAAGACCTCACAGCTGCTGTGGACACCTCACGGGGCAGCTGTTTGCTGGGCTTGGATGGAACTTGGACACGTGGGCTGCAGTGTCCACAGGTATGGGCATGAGGCCCATCTTGGTGTGAGATGAAGCCATTATGAGAATAGGAGGATGGGCTGTGGGCCTGGAGGCTTCATGTTAACTCTTGTCCCAGGTCCCATCAATGTTAAGGTGAGACTTTTTGTCCCTTTCTTGTGGACAGACTCGATTTGACTGGTTCACAGTGCTCTGCCATCAGCATGCAGTGAAAGGCAGGTAAGAGCCAGCCCCAGACGCTCAACACTGTGGTTCCCAGGATTTGCTGTATTCCTTATGAAGGACTCATTTATCTTCTTTACCTTCTGGTCACTGTAAGTGTTGTAAGTGGCCATACTTCCCTTTTGTGTACGTGTTGCCAGGACACTCGGAGCTCGCTAACAAGTTTACAGCCTCGTGGCAGGTGTCACACGCTAACCCCTGCAAGGCCTTATCTTATTTTTCTTGCTCTTATTTTCCCTTTACCCAAACACTCTTTATTTATAAACTGTGGCACTGTGTATGTGTTTGTATAAGTCACCTCATATCCTGTTTGGACAGGGCTGGACAGAAAATAAAAATGGGCTGGCTGCAGTGGCTCACATCTATCATCCCAGCACTTTGGGAGGCCGAGGTGGGTGAACTGTTTGAGCCTAGGAGTTCAAAACCAGCCCAGGCAATATGATGAAACCGTGTCTCTACAAAACAAACAAACAAAAAATTGCTGAGCATGATGGTGTGCAACTTGTAGTCCCAGCTACTCAGGAGGCTGAGGTGGGAGGATCGCTTGAGCCCAAGGGGTCAAGGCTGCAGTGAGCCAAGATCGTGCCACTGCACTGAAGCCTGGGCAACAGAGTGGAACCCTGTCTCAAAAAAAAAAGAGGGGAGGAGGAAGGGAAAAAAAGATAATGACTTCATCAACCCTATGATAGGCCTGGGGGGCCCAAGGCACACACTCTCTTCATTCAGTCTTCTCAGAATCAATAATGTGAGTGCCAGTTATCAGGGTAACCACGGAAACCAAGCATCTGGACTGCTGGGGTGGGCGGGGCTCCTGGCCAAAGTGCATTCTTGACACTTGCATGAAAGTGGAAGACCAAGCCTTTATAACCTGGTTTCCCACAAGTTTCCGGACTGAGGTGTGGATAAGGGCCAACACACCTGCCTCTTATCTTTCATGCTGGAGGATTTTCCGGGGTAAACAAGCTGGAAGGAAGCAGAGAGCCCAGAGGGGTCACCCACATGAAAGCATGTGGTCCCACCCCATTCCCAGTTTCAAGCTTCAGTATGCAGCTTGATTCTGGAGGGCTCTCCAGGATAGAGTCTGTGAATTTCTGACACTTGGTTTGCCATGCACCCGCAGGCTGCATCTTTGCTTAGAATTAGAATCCCGTGGCCTGGACGTAGCAGCCTGTGACATGGAGTGAAAACTCTTGAATTGGTATATTCACCAAACTGAAGCCGAGGGCTCCGTGAATG
This sequence comes from Homo sapiens, assembly GCF_000001405.40. NCBI lineage: Eukaryota > Metazoa > Chordata > Mammalia > Primates > Hominidae > Homo > Homo sapiens. The sequence continues at coordinate 26,658,250 of NC_000008.11, read as the reverse complement.
CTTGTGGAGGGGAAGTCTGGTTGGAGGCCCAAGTCAAGCAGCCGCCTCCCGAACATCTCAATACAGACACACCCCTGAAACAACCACATTTTGCTTTATTAGGCGTTCCATGGTAATATAACACAGAGTTCTTAAGGAATAATAAACACGAGACTTGTTTTTTACCATAATTATTTTGCCATCAAGACAGTGGTTACAAAAAAAAAAGTACTCTTCTGGCTACACACTTTATCAGCTTTAGAACTGAAAGTTCCTCCACTCATGGGTCACAATCACAATTTCCAGGATTAAAAACCATCTATTCTTAAATCCTACACTGTTTTAGAGCATCAAGTCACTGCAGTTATTCAGTTCTGAGACACTGTCGATTTATTTTAGCATTTACATATGACATTCATTTAACAGACACACAAAGCAAGCCAACAGGTAAACATGCTTACACAGCCTGCAGAAATCGTCAGGTTTTAACTTGTTTTTTAAGAAAACAACCAAAACAACCAAAAATTACCATGACCCGGTACAGGAAAAACAGGAAGACTCAAGTGAATACTAGAGCTGCAAGTGTTTCTTAGAATTGAAACAAAAATTGTTTTTTTCCAACTTGTTCAAATTTCCTCTAAGTGCAGGTGAGAAAAAAAGCAAATATATTAAGTCAACCAATTATTTTTTTAAAAGTGCAATTTACCTTTAAAATAACAAATAAACAACAACAACAAAAAACCCAAAACCCCAACCAGATCCCCAAAGGCAAAATGTGTAGAGAGACAAGGGTGGTGATGGAATGACCTACTTTGTGATGTTTTTACGCTTTACAAAAAGCAGATTTGGTATTCAGAAAAGCCTGCAAATACAACATTGCTTAAGAGAACCTGTAAACACGTTTGGAATACAATGCAACACAAGTCAGCAAGGACAGGGGTAGGTCCAAAGGAGCCAGCTAGGGGGAAAGGTGACAGAAAAGGAGAGGGAAGGATGGAGACAGACATCACCTGTGGTCTCTAAGGGGGCCATGTGTTTAATTTATAAGGTTTCCTCCCCACAGGAGTTCTGATGTGATCTATCGTTCATAAAACACATTTCTCCTCTTGCAAAGTAGAATAGACTTTAAGTTTCCCAATGACTTTTTGAGTTTATAGGGCCTCTTTCTATGTAGTGTGTCTTTAGAAATAATTGGACAAGAAAAAAATACGGTTTTTCCCCGAAAATAAAAAGCTCCCATGTGTTCTAGAATCTCAAAAGATACTTAACCAGGAAGCAGCAGGCCCTCGGGTCAGACTCCTATTAGCTTAGCACTTCTGAACTGGTGACTTTGGTTGGTTCACTTGGGTTAATGAGGCTCGGTGTTTAGGTTTGACCGTGACTTTAGCCAGAGAGCACTGCACAGAGGAAAATCTCTCCGGTTCTGCAGCCTCATACCTCTAAAGCTTCTGGGCCCTGTCTGCGGTTCCACGTGTGATACTGTGGGTGAGACGGCATGGCCCATTCCTGCACTTGGCCAGGGTCCCACACTCTAGCACACATCCTCATGATGGCAGGTGGTTAGCACCAGTCCTACATGGACCAGGATGACACAGCACTATGCTTGCAATGGCAAACGCTCAAATCCTTTAGGCGGACCCAACGACCACCATGAAATGGTAGACCTGGGAGGTGAAAAGATAATGGGGCAAGGGAGGAAAACACCGTCTCCGAGACAAGGGCTGGAGGAAACACAGAGAGAGAGAGAGACAGACACGAAAATATTCATGAATTAAAAAGCTAGAGAGAGAAAGAGAGAGTGAGAGCACGCAGAAAAATGGTAAAAGAGAAGAGAATCCTCAAAGGATTTAATCTGCAGCAAAATCTAGGCCAATAACGCAAGCCTGCCCCTTTATCAACAGCTGACCCTGAAGACTACAGAATGGCGATGCGGGTGGGCATTGTGGAGCCTCTCAGGACAGACACGATGAGTTTGCCAACCACCCGGAATCAGCTGGGTGATGACGTAATTGCATCATTAGGATGTCCAGTTCAAACCCCTTGTATTAATATGGAATTAAATGTTCCAATTTAGTATTTAAAAAAAAAAAAAAAAAAGACTCTCCCTGACCCCGGCCCCTCCCCAGCCCCACAAAGAAAACTTCTTAAAATTTTTAAAAAGAAAAGAAAAAGGCAGCTCTGGGCAATTCACTTTATCTTCCCTCCCCCCATGAAAAGGAAGATGCTAACAGACACTAGGAGGTTGAAGGCGAAGGAGACCCTCGCTGGGGGCTGCTTGTTCGCATGTCTAAGTGTTGGGTGTGGTTCCCTGTATGAGCTTGGTGGGTAGTCTTGGGTGTGATACCCATAGATGTGTAGGGAAGTGGATGAGCAAAATCAGTAACTCTTGGTGAGAGACGGGGTGTGGGGCCCCAAGGGGGACCCCATGAACTGGCTGCTCCACAGTAACTATCACAGGCTCTTAAAAAAAAAAACAAAAAAAAAAAAAGGAAGGAAGAAAGAAGTCTCAGAATGTCCTCAGGTGTCCCATCCCCAGTCCCCAGTGGACGGCACAGCCCAGGAGCTCTAGCCCAGGCTGGTGATGTTGGCACGGCCACCGGGGGGCGCCACGATACGCTGGGTGGTGCGGCGGGGAATGTTGTCATCAATCTGAGCACCTGGAGGGAGAGGAGAAGAGAGGAGCGGGTGAGGGGCCAGGACAGTCACACAAGATCCTGCTTGAAGGTGAAATCTCACAGCTCAGGAGGAAAAGTGCTAGTCGCATTCTTTTTTTTTGGAGACAGCGTCTTGCTCTGTTTTCCAGACCAAAGTGCTATGGCACCATCATAGCTCACCACAGCCTCAATCTCCTGGGCTTAAGCCATCCTCCCACTCGGCCCCCTCAAGAAGCTGGGACCACAGCCACAGGCCCCCATACCTAGCTAATTTTTAAATTTTTTGTAAAGAGGGGTTTCGCTATGTTGCTGACGCTGGTCTCAAACTCCTGGGCTCAAGCAATCCTCCTACCTCTGCCTCCCAAAGTGCTGGGATAAGAGGTGTGAGCCACCCTGCCCGGCCTCACATTCTTTGTTCTTCTCTTAAAACCTCACTGAAGTTTAGACTACAGAAGGGAGGTGGAGAGCAGGCATGGTGGCTCATGCCTGGAATCCTACTAACAGCACTTGGAGAGGCTGAGGTGAGAAGATTGCTTGAGTCCAGGAGTTTGAGAACAGTCTGGGCAACACAGTGAGAGCCTATCTCTACAAAAAAAAAAAATTAAAAAATTAGCCAGGCGTGATGGTGCAAGCCTGTAGTACCAGCTACTGGGGAGGCTGAGCTGGGAGGATCACTTGAGCCCAGGAGGTCGAGGCTGCAGTGAGCTGTGATTGCACCACTGCACTCTAGCCTGGGTACTGGGTGACACAGTGAGATACTATTATATCTCTAAAAATAAAAATAAACTTTTTAAAAAGGAGATGAGCCTAAGGTAACCAAAGAATCAGACACTGTATAAAGGTTGTTGGATCTATTACTGGAGAAAGTAAAACTATATACAAAATATCACTACATCTTAGACTCTGTCCTGTCCCCTGTTCTGATTAGTCAAATTGGCTGTGGCTTTTCTGAGGACATAGCCCTCTTCTGGCATTCTAATCCCCTAATCCTACACATATAATCACAAGTAGGAGGAACGATGGCACCTTATATTGGAACAGCTTTGAGAGATCAGAAAACACAGACATGATTATACACGTTTTACTTACAACAAAGTAAAGTTCCTTATTTTTAAATGTTTTGAAAACTGGTAATCCATATATGGGACATAGGTTACTTTCTAAAAACCCATACAACCACCAAGAAAAAAAATTCTCTCTGGTTTAACAATTTCTTTAATACGCCATAGGAATCTGTGGCCCAGGGAGCTGGAAGAGTGGAATGTTCTAGTCATGGGACAAATGAAAGATGGGAAAGAAGTTTCAAGCAAGGAAACTTAAAAATCTGAACCCTTTCCTCTCACCAAGGGGATATCACACAAATTACCCAAGCAAATACAACTAACAGTTCTCAAATGGCCCCATTCTAAGCACTGTACATATATATTAACCCATTTAACCCTCACAACAACCTCACGGGGGAGCAACTACTATTATTGCCATTATACAGGTGAGGAGACTGAAGCACAGCCAGAGCTGAGCCCTGAAGTTAGGCTGTTGAAACTCCAAACTCCACAAGCTAAACTACAATATACTGTAGGAGAGAAGAGAAGTCCTGAAATACCACAGTGTCCTTTCTTATGATGGACCTAATAAATTGAACAAATGTCTTCTTAATATATTAGGTAAAACACAGTATGGGCATTGTGTGACACAAACTGATCTCAAGATTCTGAAACCCAACCAGTCATTAACTATGAAAATACATCTCCAGGCCAAGCTAGGCTGGGCCCGGTGGCTCACACCTGTAATCCCAGCACTTTGGGAGGCCGAGGCGGGCAGATCACCTGAAGTCAGGAGTTCTATCAGCCTGGCCAACATGGTGATACTCCGTCTCTACTAAAAATACAAAAATTAGCCAGGTATGGTGGTGCATGCCTGTAATCCCAGCTACTTGGGAGGCTGAGACATGAGAATCACTTGAACCAGGAGGTGGAGGTTGCAGTGAGCCAAGGTCGTGCCATTGCACTCCAGTCTGGGTAACAGAGCGAGACCCTGCCTCAAAAAAAAGAAAAAGAAAATACATCTCCAGAGATCTGAGTCCACTGTATTTCTCACGTTGGAGAGAAAGGGAATATCATTCACTTCTATTTCTGTGTCCTTTCCAAATGCAACTGTAGCCTCGCCAGCACCAGCGAGCTGGCCCTGCAGAACTGTGCCCTCCCCAAGCCCCAACCCTACCAGACAAACTGAATCCAGACTGGTGCAGGTTCCGGACAGGTGGGGCCTGCTGCTTGGCAGGAGACGTCTTGGCCGAGGAGGCTGGAGTGACTGTCTTGGGCGTCACAGACACTTCACACACAGGTCCGTCATACAGGCCACGAGGAACCCCTCTCAGCTCAGCCAGCTGCAAAACACAAGAGTCCCCCCAGCTCAGGCCACAGCCACAGAGGATACCTCTCTAGAAACCCTCCTGGAGGGAGGATGGGCCTGTGAGATCTAGGGATGGAGGGCTCTCCTTACAGACAGGTGGACAGGTGTTGTGTGGGGCCAGCTCCCACCATGCCAGGCCAAAACTCCCCACAAGGTCCAGTAACTGGTTAACTCTACAAAAACTAACACACCTTACAATTTTTCCCCCAAGACACTTCAACTTTAAACCCTGTAAGAATCCCCTAAGCATGCTGTGAGGCGGATCTGGTATCATGTTCAAGATCTGGCCCCAAACTTTCTTTCCAATTGCATTCTCTCCTTTTAATTCCCTTATAGCTCCATCTCTTTCCTGCTTCACATGCCCTGAATACACTGTACATTTTCTATGCTCATGATACTCTTATCAAATTCCCTCATCTCCCTTCTTTGACTTGACAAACTCCTACTTAACCTTCAAAGCCCAACTCAAAATGTCCTCTCCCCATGACACTCTCCCCAACTACAGCAGTGGCTCCCTCCTCTGGGTCCTTACTCCACACTCCTTATCATAGCATATACCATGATCTCACTTTGCTAGGGCTCTCTGTGGACACGACTGACTCCTTCTCCAGTATTTTAAATGCCAGGAATAAAAAATTCAGGCTCCCTCTTATCCCTGGAATCCACTAAATTCATCTTAATATTCTGTCTCAAGGTGCTTAATAAATGTTTGTGGCCTTGAACTTAATTCGTGATTTAACAAAAAATTCATCAGAACAAAACTACTCACCCTGCTCCTTGCCTTGATACGCTTGTAAACAAAATCAGGGAAGGGCTTCCGGGGAATGTAGCGTCCAGAGCCTTCGGTGACATGCAGGGTGCCGTCCTCCAGGACAATCTTCCCCTGGCTGATGACCACCAGTGGGGAGCCGCGGCACTCCATGCCTTCAAAGATGTTGTACTCGAGAGACTGAGAAGAAGGCAAAGTAAACTCTAGAACAGGCCACTCTGGCTGGACTCAATCCACCCGGCAGCACCCACTGCCCCAACCCCACAGAGACAAAAGAGAGACTCAGAGACAGGGATCCTGTCCCAACTGGGCACCCCAGCAGGCACTTACTTGCTGTGTCTCCATTTCCCTGTCTAGAATATGAAATAACTTTTTCTACCTCTCCACATTAGAAAGAAAAATAATTAAACAGAATAATTGTGTGAAAAGGGTGCATGTTTGTAAATGCTACACAAATATAAAGAAAATGATTCTTCCTATTAACAGAGACTGTGTTCCCACCATCTCCAGCTCCATTCCGGTTGAATTCCAAAGGCCTTCTCTGACCAAGTTCTAAATTTAATCTTGAAATGAGCCATCCACAAGTAGGTTTTCCCACTGGCTAGCCTGGTTTTCTAGTCTGTTTGCGGTGTGGTTAAACTGAAGTCCCTAAATGAAAGGATTGTGGTCACTGAAGAGACATGCCTCCGATAAAATGATTGAGGGCTAGTTAATTTCCAGAACAATGTAGCTATGTAGCTATCCTTCTGGTTTCAAGTTTTTCCGGGTAAAACAGAGACATATCTGTGTGCCCTCTTGGAAAATAGGTGGGGTCTCCATATGGATGTGAGTTTGTGGTTGGTAATGAAGCAACAGAACACAGGAGTCATTGCACAGGAGTCATTCCATCCTGCAGCTTCTGCTAACCCAGTGCTACTTCCCAGATCCCAAATGCCTCCCGCTTCTTCCTGCCTGTTTGGTTCACGGGGACCAATGGCTGTGGCTGAGTCTGGACTAGAGGATTAATAGGTTGCTCCAACCATAAAAAGCACCCTGGGCTTCTGGGAAAGTTCAGACCAGGTTATCAGCACTCAGGGAGCTGGCCTCTGAACAGAGAGCTGTGCTAGCACCCTGCAGTTCAAGATGACATTTCTGCTTAGTGCAGCGGCTGGTAACACGGATTCGGCCAGCTCAGCAGCTCACATCAGGCATGTAAATGCACAATGCCCCGCATACAATGTTGGGTGAAAACAACCACGAGGGCTGTCAGTACATTGCTCTGAGTCTCAAAGCAGTCATGCAGAAGCTACCAAAGGAACCATAGCAGAGAGGCGCCAGCAGGGAGGGAAGAGGACTCTGCACTTGGATTACTGAGACCCAAGACTTAAAATTGTCTTTCATCAATTCTAAGACACTCATCCCTGAAGTCAGAATGTGTCTTATAGCAGCCGGAGCCACGCGGGTACTGCCAGCCTAGACTAAATCCAAGTTCTTCTAGGGGGATATGGGTTTGTTTGTGCCACTGGGTTGGGGGACAACCCCACTGAGGGCATTTTACAGTAAATTCTCAGCTTGACATTGTTCTGGACCACACAGGCGGCATGCATTCAGACCACAAGGCTGGACAAGCACCCACTTCCAGTTCCAATTCTTGGGGGAGACATTTTTCCCTCTTGGCAACCAATGCCAAGGTCGAGGCCTGCGAGATTTTCTGCCACCCCTGTCTGCACAGCAGATGGTCTCCCCAGAGATGCCATAATAAGCACACGCTGGCCCTTGGTGGCCCAGTCTCCTATGAGACTCCTCGTCTTGGGCATGTTTTCTTTCATCGTGGTACATAACCTAATGGAATATCTTAAAATCGATGGCATCTCAGATACGGTAAAATCCAGAAGTTGTGTGACTCTGGGGAGATTGCTTTAATCCTGTCTCAGCTTCAGTTTCTTCATCTGCACCCTCCCGAGGTGTATGTGAAGATGACAATACAAAAAGCCTCATCCCTGGTCATCTCAGAAACAACCTTTGAAAGGGTGTGAGTCATCCTTTAAGGCCTGGATCAAGAGCCATCTCTTCCACATCACTCCACAGCTAACAGTTTATGCCCTGACAACCTCCTCTTGTGCCCTACTGGGTAGAGTATGGGCGCAGCCTCGGCCATGGAGACATCTGCCCTGGGTTCACACCCCAGGTATGCCATTCACCAGCTATGTGACTTTGGATGCATCCCTCACACCCCTGAGCCTCCACCTCCTCATCTGTGAGGGGTAAGTAGGTCCCCCTTTGCAGGACTCATGTGAGAATCAAATGAAATAAAATGAACAAAAGCATCTAGCTCACTATTTGGCTCACAGTAGGCATTTAGAAAATCTTCACTCATTCACTGTCTGGCTCTTTATTGCACTTTGCTAACACTTGCCAGCCCTGCAGCATCCAAGATCTCACACAATGCATGCGTTGAGTCTTGTTGCTTATAAATGAGCACCTAGAAGACCTCTGGGGCCATCTATCATTTTTAAAAGATGGAAGAACCAGCCCCATGACTCTCAGTGACTTAACATTGACAAGTCCAAGGGTCAGATCACAATTCCCAGATACTCAGAGCCTACTCTCCATCAAACCATGATGCAGGGAGGCTTCCTCACTCACCATGCATAGACATTTTTAACCTACATCCACACAGGCTCCCTAAAATTACTCATCGGGCCAGATGCCTGGAAAATCCAAGCAAAGGCTTAGCAACAGGGCTGTCGATAATAGTTAGCTAGATGCTCTGAACTAAAGCTAATTAGCCTCATGGTAGGAAACACTGTACTATGCAGGGAAAGTCTCCTGGTTGCATTTTCCCAGAAGATGAACGAACAGGCACATGCTTAGTGCTGGCTCTTTAAAACAGGTGGGGATGGAAAAGCACCGCTTTGAAAGTCAACATTTCTTCCATAGGTCACCTGGAGGTAAAAGCAGGGTAGGTTGGGGTGAAAATGTCTGGAGGGCAGAATCTGTCTTCCCAAATCTTCTCTCCTTCCCACTGTCTCGTCTTCTAGGTTAAGAACTCCAAATGCAAGTTCCCCAGCTAGGTCATTTGTGTCTTAAATAACGAGCCCAGCCAGCCATTTATAGCACCTCTGGGGGAAGCAACCTTGCAAGAGAGGGGAAGCATTTTCCCCGTCTAAGCCTGACCAAGAGGCTGCATATGCAGTCTGGCAGGGAAGAGTCCTGAACAATTTTGGGTTCTAATTCTGGCTCAACCGCAAAATCGCTATGTAACATTAGACTGGTCACTTAAGCTCTCTAAGCCTCCGTTTATTTATTTTCCCAAATTGGGATAATAATACCAGTCCCTTTATTGAGAAGGTCAAATGAAAGAGTCAATGAGAATGTGAAGTTACAGGCACATGAATAGGGAGGTTCATGGGGCAGGGCCCTAGGATCCCTGACCATAAAATAGCCAGTCAGGACACCCAAGAAGTCATGATCTGGGCTGTAAGGGGCGCGATCATAAGGCTGCGCTGCCAGGCTGAGCCAGTGAGTGGTGGTGGGAGAGGGAGAAAGACAGCTTTAAACACAGACTTGAACAGTCTTCTGAGAAACACCCACCACCCTGGTCCTCACAGGTGGCAGAAGCCAGAGCTGAGCCTGAGCCCATTGCAGCCCAAACACCTCTGTGTGTGCAAATGAGAGAGGACTGGGACAGGGCAAAGTCCCAGGGTTGTCCCGGAGAAATGCCAGAAACCTGCCCTAAGCTGTCGTGGTGTGTGGGGGAGGTGTCAGTGCTTGCTGGCCTGAGCTGTCTTCAAGATTCAAATGAGTTCCTGACACGAAACTCTTCTGCCCGAGGCCCATTTCTTTTCCAAAGCTCTCCCTCTGGGCATATTCCTTCAGTTTTTCTGCCTATACCATGTTGCTTGTGAGGAATCGGCAGTGTCTAACAACTCTGCTTAATGTCTGCTGACCTCACAGAATCACAGGACACTTGGAGACCTCGTCTGAACCCCTCACTCTCAGCTGAGGAGCGTAAGACATTAACAGACTTGCCCTGGGTCCTGTTAACAAGAGAGGACATCTCTAAGCTCTAAAGCCCAGACCCAGAGGGAAGAGATACCCAAAGCGGCAGATCCTAAAACAACAATCAAATGGCTGGGGGGTACTTCTGTTAGGGAGAAGTCAGTCAATCAATTCCTTTAAGATAATAAGAATGGCTGTCATCCAGTTTTCTGCATGGATACTGGCCTGAGAAAACAATGGCTTAAGAGGATCAAAGTCCCCAGTGGGCATCTCAGGAGAGGACATCTCACTGCTTCATTGAGGTCCCTTGCACCAAGTACTGCCATGAGAAGTGCTGTGCCAACCTATGAAAATGGAGCGGTGCCTGACTTCTGGAAGCTTTGCACATCCTGACATCACTTTAGAGGCTCTAAAGGTCTATAGATAGAGAGGCTGTGGTATTCCAAAATGATTATGAGAGTAACAATCTTATTGACCTCACTAAAGAAAATGAAATAACTATTCTTTTCCCAGCAAATTGCAAATCATAACATCCTCAGTCGAGCGCATTCCCATCACAGCAAGTTCTTTTTAGAAACCCTGGGGCTCTCCCTCCGTCTGTGTCTCTGTGACTGTAATTCGTTTGGATGGGGTCTGCACAGTTAACAGGTCTTACGCTGTTGTGTGTCTTGGCAGAGATGGTTTTAACGCTGTCGGGGTCCCAGATGACCAGGTCGGCATCGGATCCCACAGCAATGCGGCCTTTCCGGGGGTAAAGGTTGAAGACTTTGGCTGCATTGGTGCTGGTCACAGCCACAAACTGGTTCTCATCCATCTTCCCAGTGACCTGAGGGAGACAGCATAGGTGTGCACAGGAGGCACACAGCAGAAACGAGTTAAAAAGTTACTTTTCAATAACAAACTATTGATACACACGACAGCTTAGATGGATGTCAAGAGCGTTGTGCCAAGTGAAACACAAACCGTCTCAAAGGTCACACACTGTATGACTCCATTTCTATAACATTCTCCAAATAACAAAATGGTAGAGATGGAGAACAGATGAGGGGCTAGATGGGTTCTTCCAGGGTTAGGGAGGGTGGAGGGGAGGAGCAGCAAGAGGTTGGTCTCTGAAATGCTGGACTAGACCTGCATCTTGATTGTGGTGATGGTCACATGACTCCACAGGTGGCCACACAGCCTAGAGCTATACCCACACATTGTGACACTGTCAGTGTCCTGGTTTTGATATTGTTCTACATTTATATAAGATGTAACCATGAGGGAAACTGGGTGAAGGGTACCCGGGACCTCTCTCTGTACTATCTTTGCAACTGCTTCTTAATCTATAATTATTTCAAAACAAAAAAAAATTCGTTTAATTTGCAGGGGTGGCAATCCCTCTTTAGGAAATATCATTTGGCCCAATTGGCTGTCCTTTTCAACAAAATACAGCCACAGATCTAGGCTTCCTTTTTTTTTTTAATCTTTTTTTTGAGACAGGGTCTTGCTGTCATTGAGGCTAGAGTGCAGTAGAGTGATCACAGCTCACTGCAGCCTCGGCCTCTCAGGCTCAAGCAATCCTCCTCTTTCAGCCTCTTGAGTAGCTGGGAAGACAGGCATGCACCACCATACCAGGCTAATTTTTTTTTAAGAGACAGATCTCACTATGTTGCCCAGCTGGGCTCGAAGTCCTGGGCTCAAGCAACCCTCCCACCTCGCTCTCCCAAAGTGCTGGGATTTCAGGCATGAGCCACCATGCCTGGCCAGATGTCATCTTCTAGTCTAGCCAACCTAGAAGTCTCCGCCCCACATCTGGTTTTAGGTGCCAATCACATTTCCTCAAGTGCTTCCCCTCCCAAACCCACTCTAAATCCAGTAAAAAACTGGTCAAAGGAAATAAGCTGGTATTAAGAGGGAGAAAAAAGTACAAATGGCCACTAAGCATAGGAAAAAATTTTCACTCTAATCAGTAATTGAATAAATTAAATGTAAAACAATAAGACACAAAATTCACCTATCAAATCAGCAAACAATGGATCTTTGCTGATGACACCCAGGTGGTAGAAGACACTGGGGAATGACATATATTGGTGGTGGCGTATAAAGCAGTACAAACTTTCTGGAAGGAACTTTGACAATATGTACCAAAAATGTTAAAAATATATGCATCCTTTGACCCAGCAATGCCACTTGTAGAAATTTCTCCTACAAACATAATCAAGAATGTGTCTATTATAAAAATGTCATTCAAGTTAAAAAAAAAAAAAAACCAGAAACAACATAAATGTTCAACCAAAGACATAAATGTGGCTGGGCGTGGTGGCTCACACCTGTAATCCCAGCACTTTGGGAGGCTGAGGTGGGTGGATCACCTGAGGTCAGGAGTTTGAGACCAGCTTGGCCAACATGGCAAAACCCCGTCTCTACTAAAAATACCAAAATTAGCCGGGCATGGTGGCAGGCACCTGTAATCCCAGCTACTCAGGAGGCTGAAGCAAGAGAATTGCGTGAACCCGGGAGGCGGACGTTGCAGTGAGCCAAGATCACGCCATTGCACTCCAGCCTGGGGGGAAAGAGTGAAACTGTCTCCCCCAGCCAAAAAAAAAGAATTATAAGTGAGTCCTGGCCAGGCATGGTGGCTCACATCTGTAATGCCAGCACTTTGGGAGGTCAAGGCAGGTGGATCACCTGAGGTCAGGAGTTTGAGACCAGCCTGGCCAATATGGTGAAACCCTGTCTCTACTAAAAATACAAAAATCAGCTGGGTGTGGTGGCACACGCCTGTAATCTCAGCTACTCAGGGGGCTGAGGCAGGAGAATCGCTTGAACCCGGGAGACGGAGGTTGCAGTGAGCTGAGATCGCACCACTGCACTCCAGAGTGAGACTCCATCTCAAATAAATAAATAAATAAATGAGTCCCAGTTTAGCACTCACATGGAAGAGTCTGTTATTATAAATCAACTTTTTCAAGTATATTTAAGCAGGTGGAGATATTTCCATGATAAAATTTTTTTTAAAAAAGACTACAAAATAGTATGTATGATGCCAATATTATTATTATTATTATTTTTTGAAACAGGGTCTCACTGTGTCCCCCAGTCTGGAGTTCAGTGGCCCAGTCATGGCTCACTGCAGCCTCAACCTCCCAAGGCTCAGGTGATCCTCCTGCCTCCCCCACACCGAGTAGCTGGGACTACAGGCACCTGCCACCATGCCTCACTAATTTTTGTATTTTTAGTAGAGACAGGGTTTTGCCATGTTGCCAGACTGGTCTTGAACTCCTGGGCTCAAATAATTCACCCACCTCGGCCTCCCAAAATGCTGGGATTATAGGCATGAACCTGGGAGTGGGCCCAGCTGTATGATGCCAATATTATTTACACACTCACGCATGTCACATATACATGTGTGTGCCTGTGTAGTAGCAAAAAATGGAAAGACATTTGCCAAAATGTTAATTGTGGTTATATCTGAAACACAGTGACTTTTATTTACTTCCTTATTCTTCTGGAAATAAGGATATATTCTTCATATAATCTAAACAATTCACTAAAAAACAGAAAACCTATTCTGTTAATATATTTTAAAACATTAAAATGAAAAAGCCCAAAGATCCTCTAAAGGTCAGTGTATGTTCATAGCAGGCCTACTGGAAGCTGGCAGTAGAAGACATGCTAAGTCCAGAGAGCCCTAAAAGACACTTTTAAGGAAATTGAGCCCATTTCCAAGAGTAGACGAGGATTAACTGAGTAAGTCACCTGGTTGCTAAGGAAGTTTGTTCCTGACTGACCCAGAGTCACATCTAAAGCTGTGTAGGTTTTCAGTCTTTACTGTTCCATTGATGATAATGATAAGAAATATACAGGTAAGCCAGGCGTGGTGGCTCACACCTGTAATCCCAGCACTTTGGGAGGCCGAGGCATTGCTTAAACCCGGGAACTCGAGACCAGCCTGGGCAACATAGTGAGACCCCCATCTCCACAAAAAATAAAAAAAAAATTAGCCAGGCATGGTGGTCTGAGCCTGTGGTCCTAGCTACTCAGGAGACTGAGATGGGAGGATCACCTGAGCCCAGGAGTTTGAGGCTACAGTGAGCTATGATTGTACCACTGCACTCCAGCCTGGTGACAGAGCAAGACCTTGTCTGAAAAAAATTTAAAAATTGTTTTAAAAAGAAATATATATGTAATATTTAGGAAGAAATGACCTATTAGAAGAGGTCTTAGATTTCCAACCCTCAGAAATATTGTCATATAAGTACTGGCTTCTAGGATGTCCTCCACTGTCTGTCATTTCAAGGCCTCCATGAGCCCCATGGCCCCCAGATGAGGAGGACAAGGAAGGCTGAGAGCCACCAAGGAGTGAGGCCATCGCTCCTTACCACAGCCTTGTCCCAGATGACGGACATCCGCTCCTCAGTGCCATTGGTGCCCTCCGGAATCAGGGTGAAGTTGTCCTTTCCTACAGCCTTCTGGGCAGTGTTAAACGTGCAATGGGCACTGCCCGTGACCTGGAGGTCTCCACTGCAAAGAAAATGCATAACGTGGTGCTGCAGCTTCGTCAAGATGCTGTGCGCCTACACCTATTTGGTGGGCTGTCTCATGAATGGCATCACACCAACCCAAGTGGAGTCCTTTTGACGCCTCCTCTCCCTTCTTGGCTTGACTTTCAACATGGCCCAGGTTTTTATCCAGAATCCCCTCCCAAAATGGTGCTAGAATGACAATTCCCTGTACTCATGTAGCCAACCTAGTTTGGTGAACAAGGGTCTCCCAGTTTTATGGCTGCTCTTGGCCACCATGTTGTTTTCGCCTAACAGGTCAGTCTGGTCTGAAGAAAGACAGAATGTGAAGTGTGAACAAGTCGCCAGGACTCACCAGGACAGCAAGGAGTTGAGAAAGTCTGGAGTGGTTGGATCAGGGCTCAAGGGTGGGGAGGTGACAAAGGCAGCAGCCTTGGCCCAGTTCTTGCTCCAGTAATGGGAGCCGTCCGTTCCCAAGCTGGCAGTGATGGGCTCGCCATACACCACAGTTCCTGACAAACAGAACACACAAGGTTCAGTCCAACACAATGCAGGGGGAAGGGAACCACCCCTATGAGGAGCCACTGCCTGCCCAGCAGCACCCAGTGCACTCACTATCCCTTTATAGGAAATATCAGGCTCATCTCGCAGATGAGGAAACTGAGACTTGGAGAAATTCAGTACCTCTGCCAGCCTGTCATGAGCTCCCCAAGATTCCACCTTCAGCCCCTGCTCTTCAAACAACACACCCTCCCTATAGGATCCCAGACATCCTGAAGGCTTCTGTCTCCTACGTTGCTGATTTTCAATTCCATTAATCTCCTGCTCGGATGGTGTCCAGGCATCCGGTCCCAGGTGCCATCTGGACTGTTCTTTATGCATGGCCTATGGCACCTCAAATTTAACCTTCCTGTTCATTCACACAATCTTTTCACAATTCCTAGCCCTTCACAGTGTCTAGCTCTGACTAAAGGTCTGCGGGAGGAAATCACACATGACATCACCAGGGCGAAGTATTTCAGGGCAAATACATAACCCCCCAGATATCCTCAAGAGACAGCCTGGATCCCTGAGTCACTGCCTGGAAGAAGCTGTCCGTTACAGCCACCATCTTCACAGCTGACTCTGTGAGAGAGAAACAAACTGGACATTATGCCACTGGGATTTCAGAGTTTCTGGAAGCCTAGCCTAACTATATTAATGCAATGTCCAAGACAAACATCAACTCCCTGATGCTCAGATCATGTCCTCTTCTCTGTCCATTCAGATGTAAACCAGAAAGTTGAGACTCATGTACATTCGCTGAATGCCAATACCTTAGTGCCTTCAATACAATCGTTCCTTAAATCAGGCCCTCATCATCTCTCGCCAGCTCATTCCAACAGAGCCTCCCAATTGGACCTTAGATTTACGTTTGCTCTCCCAACCCCGCTTCCTACCTCTCCATTCATTCCGCATGACACTTCCAGAGTGATCCACTATAATATAATCTTTCCATGGCATTCTCTTGCATAAAATCTTCCAAAGGAGCCCTTCTGCATTCAAGGACTTAAAAGAAAATCCTCCTCACCAAAGCATCAGATGCTCTTCACTACTGGAAGCTGATCTCCTCCTTTAACATCGTCCAAAACACAACTCGGGTCTCACACCCTTCACCTGAGAATCCCATCCTCCCCTCCAGTCATTGCCCAGTTCTGAATTTTTGACTTTCCACCTGATGGAGACACCTTGAAGATCATTTACCTGCCTGCACATAGTAGGCACTCCAAAAACGTGTGTTAAATTGATTAAATGGTCTAATATGTTATTAATTAAAGGCATCCAAGCTGGAATTTGATCCCAGGTCAGCTGAATTCATCTCTCACTAGCTCCCCCCAGCACAGGGCTAACTCCCACCCCACAACAATGCAGCCAAGCTTCTCTACTTCCCCAAACACAGGGCCCTCAAGGGCAAACACACCACAGTCAGGAATGTGTTTTCCTTCCTCTCCACAGCCTTTCCGAAGGCCTTATCACTTGATGATACACCACAACACCCTCCCTGTCGGCCACTCTGAGAGCTGGCTCTGCACAGCTGCCCCCTCCTGCCTCAGGAATTTCACAAAGGACTCGCTGTTCAGCTGGGGAGTGCTGGAGGCCACAGCAGGCAGCTCACTCCAGGCCACCAGCAACCACGCCCCCACCCCCAGCAGGAGGGAGGACTCCAAACCCAGGGAAACCTCCTCCAGAAGGAAGCCCCAAGGAAGAAAAGGGCCAGTGCTAGGTGCTCGGAAGGCCTAGGAGGGTCCCCTTGGCTCCTGGCCTGCTCAAAGTCTCCCATGCAGAAGCTGGTGCAAAGAGCTATCAGGTGGCTGCACAAACCACTCCGGTTCATCCCGAAGTGGAAAAACACCACATAATGAGAAGGCCTTGGCCGCTGCCAAAGACCTTTATAAAATGCAAATGGCTGGGCAGGACCCAGCAGCAGTCATCAGTTCTCAAAGGATCTCTCTGGCTCCCCGCTTTTGGTTCAAGGATCAAACAGATCTGGTTAAGCAAAACTCTCCTGACCCAGCCAGGCCTGGAGGTCCCGCTGGCCACAGTCCATCTAAGCACAAAGGTGAGGGCTGTGTAAGTCACAGGAAAACAAGAGATGCGTGGCCCTAAAGGCTTCCTGCTTTTGTCCACATGAAGAAGTTCATGAGAGCAGAGGCACTTGGAGATAAAGAATGGCTGGATAGTCTCTGAAAATCCCTGGACACACATAAACATTTTCCTGAGTTTCCTGTAACTTGCCGACGCTCATCCTCTCCCTGTGCCTGCTCCTCGGCCCTGCCTCTAGAAACTTAAGTACAAGGAGGGGCTGGTTCTTGGAAAGTGGCCTGAATACCATGGGGATGAATGCTGCTGACCACAGGCTTATCTCTCCCTGCGAAACACAACTCAGCTTGGGGTGGGGAGCTGCTCTATGAGGAGCTGGATTCCCCTTCTCTCTGTGCACAGGAATATCTACCTCACTTCAAGAGAATGAACTTGGCCTTCTGCCTCTAGAAAACCCAAAATGGGGTCTGAGCTCTCAACGCCACTGCTGAGCAGAACCTGCCTCTTTAGACAAAGGCTGAGTGGACTTCTGGGCCACAGCTAAGCAAAGATAGGGACATTCAGGGGCAGGGGCAGTGGATGCCAGGGGAGGGATGGAGCCATCCTGTGGTTCATTTCTACTTTGCTCTGTTCAACTTCCCTCAGGGATTCAGAGGTCCTTGCTGTCTTTTGGATTTTCTTTCTTTCTTAGCCCAGAATCAGCGACAGGAGTTTAGCCATCATGTTCCAGGCCTCTACCTCCACAAGAGTATGATCTATACATAGAGTCTCTGCCTCCCATCCCCAGTGGTCTGGAGCTCCCAACCCAGGGCTCCCCTCCTGGGTCTATAAACATTCACAGGAGGGTGCTGTGGATGCACTTCCGGAGCTCAGCCAGGCCACAGACACCCTTGAACTGCATGCCAGAAATAATTACCACTAATAATAATAAACCACGAAATGGGCTTAATTGGCCCTTCTGCACTTCTCTAAATACACTGCTGATGCTATCTGGGTGCCCGTTAGACCTTTGTGATTTTCTTCTCCAGGTAAAGTCTAAACTGAAGGATGTGACCAAGCCAGCCTCTGGCAGGCTCTCTATAAGGCCAAGAACTGCAGGGGATGGGAGCTGGTGCTTATTTACAACCAGTCTGGGGCCCGTGTGCATTCATGAAGAATAAATGGAAGGCTGCGGTTTAAATATGCTTGATAGCTCCCAGCTCTGGCAGTCATTTCCCATGGACGAGAAGCAGGAGAACAAATCCAAAGTGGGAACTGTGGGAAATCAGTATCTGTAGCTCCATATGCAGCCACCAAAGCACAGTGAAAACCAACTGGGATGGACAGACAGACAGACAGTTACACACGCTCTCACCATTCTCCTTTGCCTTTCCAAGAATTTATGCCAGACCCTAACAAACAGCCTGGGGACTGTGCTGTCAGGTTTTCGTAGCAAGAGTGGTTCTAGAAGAACATCATCTTAAAAATGAGTTTTCTGAATGGGTTCTGAGGTTTCTGAAATTCGTTCTCAGATCTGATTGGGTTGAAAGGCACTAATGATTCTACGTCCAGTAGTAAAAAGAGGAGAGTACAGGGCATGATGGGACAATAGAGACACAGAAAATATTATTAAATACTCCCAAAGGCTTCTAAGAGGCAAGGTTCTAGGTGGGTGTGTAGCAGATACCTTAAACATTTTTGTAAAATTAACAAGTATAACGAGAGTGGTTGGTTGCTCCTAATTGTACTAGACAAAGTGGGGGAAAAAAGAAGAATGAATTCAGGGATTCAAATTCCCAGCTCAAGCACCACATGAATGAATCAAAAGTTTCTATGTCTGCCCTTATGTCCCATAGATGCAGAGCTGAGATGGCTGAAAACCAGAAGTAGGATCTCATCCTGGCAGTGGCTGAATTACAATGCAAATTGAATTCCCAACCTTGCAGACCATCTGCCGTTAAAAGTGAGGGCATAGATTGGGAAGGAATTCTGCCTTTGGACTCCGATGCCAACATCAGCTCTTCCTTGGTTCTCCAGTCTGTGGCCTGATCTGCAGATTTCAGACTTGCCATCCCCACAATCGTGTGAGTTGATTCCTTAAATATAATTCTTTAAAATAAATCTTCCCCCTTTCTCTACTGTCCTCTCTCCTCTCTCATCCCCCTTTTCTGTTCAAGATTGCAACATCAAGCATAAGCTTAACTAAGGACTCATCCCCAAGCTGAGGTGGTCCTCACAGGCCCTGCGACCATGTGCTTCTCATAACGTTTGAGTCACTCCTATTGACCCACAGGACATAAGAGGTCTTATCTCAAATTGAGGTTCCCAGGGTTTAATGTCCTGAATGTTTCTGCACCCGGGTTATGGGAGAGGGGTGAGGAGGAGGACGGAAAAGAATGTCCATCAGATGAGGTCATCAGGCACTGCCCACGGCCACCACTCACACATGGAAGGCATCAGCAGTCATGCTGGATTTCACACATGGACAAAATGTGGTCAGAGGGAGCCCATTCTAGAGAAGAAATCCCCACAAGGGGCCCTCCATGGAAAGAGAGGTGGCCAGGAGCCTGGAATCATGGTTTCTAATTCCCACAGGCTACATGAACCAGGGCAAGATTTTCAATTTCTGCATTTCTACTTCTTCCATGAAATGAGCCTATTAAGTTGATCAATGTCTAAGTTCTTTTCAAGAGTAAAAATGCCCCCAGGTCGTCTGGTCCTGGCTCTGTGTTCATTGCCTCAGCTGCCAAATTGGGTTGATGACACACCACTCCCCGGCTGAACACGCCATCCTGCTGAACAGCCACAGAGCGGCTGATGGAAGCAGCGTGTCTCTCAGCGTGTCTCTCAGGGAAGGCAGGATGCAGTCGTGCTGGCTCAAGCAGGCACGTGAAAACAGTTCTCATTCGTTTCACCTCATATCCTCACTTCCCCGAACTTCTCTTGTCTTAGATTCTGGACCAGCAGGTCTTGGCTGGGGAGGTTCATGTGGATCACTAAGAGAAGGAGACATTACTACTCCTCCCAGGGCAGGATTATCATTTTTCAAAGCTCACATTTATAGCAAAATTTCGAGTCTGCTTACGCAGCCTGACCTCTCTGAGACTCCCTTCTGGGCTCAACCTCTCCTGACTTGTACCCCTTTTGTAGCCCCGACTACCTCCCAATGTGACTTTCCACTCAGCATCCTTCCCCTGCAAGTCGAGGAGCTAACTGTGGTTGGGACCATTTATTTTCCTGGTACGCAGGCCTAAAGTATCACATCATGAAAATGCATTCAATGAATTCAGAATCTCTCCATTCACAGAGGAAGAAATGCAGCATCAGAAAGGGGGCTGTGGCAGTGCACACACTTGCCTCAGGGGGCCAGAAGAACCCACCTGAAGTGGACAAACAATTCTGAGCAGAAAACCCTTGTCCAGGGTCAGCAGGCATCTTTACTCTGCTTTCCTCGCAAGCTCAAGGTTAGACCAGCCCCTTCATCCTGTAGTCACAATAACTGGTCACGCTTCTCATCTCCATCTTTACCTGCAATATCTCATGTACACATCATCATCACCCTGTGAGATGAGTCATGGTTACTATCCTCCCCTTGCAGATGGCAAAAGGACATGTGGAGATGATGAGGAAGCACCCAGCATCACGTGGCTGGTGTACAGTGGAGCTGGGGTTTGATCCAAGAATGAATACTGATCCTGGAGGCAAACAATTAATACTCCCTTACAGAGCTTTCCTTCTTGGTCATTTGGGAATCCTTGTGTGTACATTACCCATATCTCTGCTGGGTGTCAGGCCACTGTTTCAATCAGGATTCTTAAGGAACTAAGCCCCAACAGACACAGGTCACAAGCATCACCGTATTAAAATAATCTCAAAGCATGAAGGTAAGTCAGTCAAACATTTACACGGATATTTGTGGCCTCAAGTTAGATGCCTGACAGTCAAGCCCCAATTCCACTATACATGAGCTCTGAGCTTCAGTTTACTCAGCTGCAAAGTAAAACAAAATATAAAAATTCCTGCCAGGGCTGCCTCCCAAAGTTGCTAGGAAGTTCCAGCAAGATGGGAAAGAGCCTAAGAGCCTAGGAAGTTAGCTAGGACTTCTCATTCCTGCTCATTAGCACCTGAATGCACTGGAAATTCCTTTCTGGCAGCTCAGGTTTGTCTAAAGCTCAGGCTTTCACAGATTAATGGGTAACAGTTTGAATGCAAATGCCATCCTGGGAACCATGGTGTGGGCACATTTGGACTCACACTCAGAAGGCTCTGGAAGGGAACAGACTAAAGTCCCCTCCTACTGCTCACCCCATAAGACACACAGTGTGTCAAGGTTATAAAGACAATAGGGGTGGCCAGGTGCAGTGGCTCATGCCTGTAATCCCAGTATTTTGGGAGACCGAGGCGGGCAGATCACCTGAGGTCAGGAGTTCCAGACCAGCCTGGTCAACATGGTGAAACCCCGTCTCTACTAAAAATATAAAAATTAGATGGGTGTGATGGGGGGGCGCCTGTAATCCCAGCAACTAAGGAGGCTGAGGCGGGAGAATCGCTTGAGTCCAGGAGGCGGAGACTGCAGTGAGCTGAGATGGCACCACTGCACGCCTGCCTGGGCGACAGAGTGAGACTCCATCTCAAAAATAAAATAAAATAAATTAAAAAAAACAACAACGGGGGCTACCAGGCACTGAGTTGGGGTAATAGGTCCAAACTGGGCACCGCAACAACACACTCCAGCTCCGCAACTCCACCTGAGAAGAACCCTGAGGGACAGAGAGGAGGAGGCCTGCGGCAGGGCTGGCCCACGACTCCACCTCCCCCAACTAAAGTCTGGGACATGTAGGACCCCTCCGTCTTCTCATTTGGACAGGTTTGAATATGAAGTAAACTTTAGACAAGGTCTCTATCCAAAATTACGTTGAAATGTTAGCCTAACTCACGTATCATCATCATCTAGGTACAGCGCAGTAGTAAAATACAGAAAATAAGCCGTCTCATTCTTTCCCCCTTTCAGACACTATGCCAACCATCCCCACACTACGTGGGGGCAGCAGTGCTGTGGCCGGCCTTCTGTACAGAGGCTGATTCCCACAAATGCGCTGCCTTCTTGCAAATGCGTGTCTGGGTGGCCCAAGGCCACCGATTCCATCGTCATCCACAATATCTCCTAGAAAACAACTCAAAGCTCATTCTGAGTAGGTTACATTATTTTAGGTGAATGCTTTCTTATTTCTAAAAGGCAATTCCTTCAAGGTGCCAGGAGAAGACAGAAAGGCAGCAACCATTTGATGTGTAGCCTAAGGACAGAGGCCCCAGGAGCACTCCAAAGAACCAGGGCCAGGAGTCGCTGGGTCCGTCTGGAAGTCATCATCTCTGGGACAAGATGACTCAGTCATCATTGAGCAATTTGTTCCAGGGCTTGCAGCAAGTCACCCGCCAGTGAAAAAAATCCCACAGCCCACCTTGATCCATGTGGATTGCATGATGCAGGGAAGTAGAAACCAAGCCATAGAGGTCAAATGGCTCCCTTCCTAACAGGGAAAGAAAGACACAGAGAGAGAATGACAGAGGGACTGAGAAAGAGTCAAATGAAAGATAAAATGAAACAGAAATCAGGAAAGAAGGGAAGAGAAGTGGAGACACAGAGATGGAGAGATCCCAACAGGCAAAGGGGAGGAGGGAACATAAAAGGGAGAAAGGAAGGAAGAAAGAAGGGGACCCTTTTATAATGTTCATTTCAGATCAGCCTAAGATCCACCATCAAAATGAACGACATGCCCTCAGGCTTTCTGTACGAGGAGAGAACTCCCAAGCATAAAAGATGCAGTGTGATTATCGAAATTCATGTTGTCAGCGGTGGGTGACAACAGGGCTCAGCTGCATTCAAAATGCATGAGGTGCCTCATGGGGCGTCCTCTAGAGGAAGCACTGGAAGCTGCACTTCATCAGTTAGTTACAGTGGACACCCTAGTAATACCAGAGACCCAGCCCCAGTTCAGAA
Source organism: Homo sapiens (assembly GCF_000001405.40). Taxonomy (NCBI): domain Eukaryota; kingdom Metazoa; phylum Chordata; class Mammalia; order Primates; family Hominidae; genus Homo; species Homo sapiens. The sequence continues at coordinate 26,635,393 of NC_000008.11, read as the reverse complement.
TGCATCAAGAGAGTTTATCAAGCACCAAAACATCTGGATGTGATAGTGTCTGGGGCAAAATGCATCCCCACACCCCACAAAGCTGCCTTACATACCCCGGCAGAAATCACTCCCAGCCTTGGAGGGGAGGTGCATGATGTGACCAAGGATTCTGGGGCGGATGGAAACTGACGTAATCTGTGTATGTGCCTAGTTTATTTCAACCACATCAAAGTAAGTCCAGCTCTTGCACGGGGGCTGGGGGACATGTGCCTGCCCACCCCGCCTTGGCGTGCACATGGCTTTAAATAGATACTAACAAGGCCGCAGCAGTGGAGCAGAGGAGGAAACTGGAGCTCCTGCCTTGCCCGGCTGTAATTAGGTTAATGCCAGAACATGGTGCAAGTGGCCCACTTGGCATGAGGGTCTGGAAAAGGAGCCCTCCCTAGTGAGGAGCCCCCCTCCCCTCCAAACCTCCCCACCTGCCATCAGCCAGTCCGGCCACAGCACTCACCCTTCTTCCGTGCCTGGGCGATGACCTCAGCAGAGCTTTTGCTCATCACCTTGGTGATATACAGCGGGCAGTTGGTCTGGTTGGCGATGGTGATGGCACGATTCACGGCTTCGGCCTCGACCTGCAAAACAGCAGCAGAGCATGAGAATGTGGCTCAGCCCACCCCACGAGCCGCTACCTTTATCCTCCACCCCAGAGAGAGGCTAAGATGAAGGCGAGGCTGCTGGTCTCCAAGGTCCTACCCCAGGGGACAATTCAAAGGAGTATGACTTGCCTTGTGTCTCTCAACATTGGTTTGGTTGAACTAATTCCCTCCTGTGGCTGGACACAGTGGCTCATGCCTGTAATCCCAGCACTTTGGGAGGCTGAGGCAGGTGGATTACCTGAGATCAGGAGTTCAAGACCAGCCTGGCCAACATGGTGAAACTCCGTATCTACTACAAATACAATTAAAAAAAAAAAAAAAAAAAAAGCTGGGCATGGCAGCAGGTGACTGTAATCCCAGCTACTTGGGAGTATAAGGCAGGAGAATCACTTGAACCCAGCAGGCAGAGGTGGCAGTAAGCTGAGATTGCACCACCATACTCCAACCTGGGCAACAAAGTGAGACTAAGTCTCAAAAGAAAAAGAAAAGAAAACTCCCTTCTGACCCTTCTCCAGGTGCAGGCAGCAAGCCTGTGACATCAGCACTGGCCCAGAGTCTGTAAGAAATGCAGATTTTCTGGCTCTGCCCTGGACTAGAAACTCACAGGCTAGAAACTCTGAGGGCGGGACCCAGCAATGTGGGTGATTTTCACACTTACTAACGTTTGAGAACCGCCACACACAGACACTGATTGCTCTCAATTCCATATATTCATTCTGCTCCCAGGGTCTTGAGTCAAGATATTCAGTGATGTGGAGTTTGTGCTGGGCTCCCATTAAATGCTCATGAATGAAGTCAGCATCACCCACGAAACAATGCAGCCTCACAGGGCTCTAGGAACGGAGTGGGCCCCGTTTGTCTACACCAATGGCCCCCTGTGTGTGAAGCACAGACATGGCCAGCCACAGCCTGGTACGACCTTCAGCACAAGATTGAAGAACTGCTTGAGTAAATAATCTGGCGCTTTAAATCGGATGTTCCAGTCAGTGTGGTGGCTCACACCTGTAATCCCAGCACTTTGGGAGGCTGAGGAGTGTGGATCACCTGAGGTCAGGAGTTCGAGACCAGCCTGACCAACATGGTGAAACTCTGTCTCTATTAAAAATTAAAAAAAAAAAAAATTAGCCAGGCATGGTGGCGCATGCCTGTAATTCCAACTACTCAGGAGGCTGAGGCAGGAGAATCGCTGGAACCCAGGAGGCGGAGGTTGCAGTGAGCTGAGATGGCGCCACTGCACTCCAGACTGGGTGACAGCGAGAGACTTCATCTCATAAATAAATAAATACATCGGATGTTCAGATGAATGATATTTCAAATCCCACATGATGACTGTGGAATATCTGATCAGGCAAGACTCCCTGGATCAAGTTCTATCCTACAGAGGAATCACCAATCAGCAAGGGAAGGAGCAGGTGAAATTGTGGAAGGCAGATCTCAGAACATCACTGGCTCCCTCTCCATCCCAGCAAAAGGGCTCTGGCTTGAACTCTTGGAGGGGAGGGACTGGGGCTTACTCACTGCTTAGTATCTTCCATGCCCTGCCCCCAATAGCTCCCAATGTCCTGTCTGATACACAGCAGGTGCTCAAAAATGTTTGCTAAGCATATAAATGATTTCATTTTATGTTCATGGTATTTCAGTCTAGGCTGCTCCACAGAACACTGTTATTTTTCACAAGAAATAACTGAGCCCCTATAACTGAATTGGTTACCTTGTCTCCACCAGAGCTTGGCCAAAAGATTAAATTCTGTAATTGCATTAACTGGTAATCTAATTTAGCAGAGCTGAGACAACTTCATTCACATTTGGCCTTTCAGGCATCAACTATGTGAAAAGGGATGTCTAGAAATCCACAATCCAAGCAAAGGGCTCTTGAAAAAGCATATTAAACACCCAAATGTTTTTCATTCCTAAGACAGCTGAAGGAGAAGCCCTCTCTCTCCACTTACAGCAGAGATGCCTGTGGCCCGGCAGCACCAGGCGGGGACAGGGACGTCTTGCATGGGTGTGAAGTGTGAGATGGACTCCACTAGAACCCTCAGCACCTCCCAGAGATACAGGTGACTACTCCATTTATTGTCCCAACACGGGGTTTCGCCATGTTGCCCAGGTTGGTCTTGAACTCCTGGGCTCAAGCAATCTTCCCACCTCGGCCTCCCAAAGTGCTGGGATGACAGGTACAAGCCACTACGCCTATCTTCTGATTTTAATGATGAGGTAACTCAGAAAGGGAAATGACCTGTCCAGGGACACAGAGCAGTGTCAGGACATCTGTCATTCTACAAGGCCTGCTGGAAAGTGCCCGTCCCTGTGAAGGGTTCTTCATTATCCTCATCTCCAAGTCCCCACTCTCTTCCCAGACATCAGTCTTACAGCTCAGAGCCACTGTCAAATTCTATCTCTACACTCACTTTCTGTCTACCTCTTTCTCCTCGCCTTGTCCACAGTCCCTTCAGAAAGGATCACTTTCTTATCTGTTTTGCATCCCCACAATGCCAGGCACTGCCCGGATTGTCACGCAGGCTCAGTCGCCACTCCTCTCAGCCACAGATGGTTCAGTTCCAGATGTCTGCACTCCCTAGTGTCCTTTCCAATCCTCTGGGTGGAAAACGAGGGAAAATCCTACTGGGTGGTCTCACATGGTGGGTTGGGAAGAAAGGCCTAGTGGGTTAGGAACATGTTTTGGAAAGTTCAAATCCAAGAGAACCATCATGCTAGTGATGGATAGGTCACCAAACTACAGAGAAGTTACACTGGGATGTGTTTCATTCCATCAGCAGCACCTCCCCAAGTAGACTGGGAAGCTAAAATTCACACAAAATTGTTCCATACTTGTTCTCTTTATCACCCACACAGGGTTTAACACACAACAGATCCCTCTTGACAAACTCACCATGAGAGGAGACGTCAGCCGGCAGGTGCCTGTGGGCTTGAGTTCTAATCACGCTCTGCCACTATCCAAGCCTTTCAAACCCCCTGCATCCCCCCTCCTCGCCTCACTGGGCTGTCATATGGCTAAAAGGACTCAGGGCCTGGCATACAAGAGGGGCCTCTAAATCAGCTGAAAAACTGCATCCCATACTGGTGCATCCCTGGATCTGCCAGCCCTCAAGGAGACTCCATAATCAGTTGCTGGGGATTCTGAAGTTCTCAGGGCAACAGCTGCTGGGCCTAATCACGTAAAAATGGTTTCAATTTCTCTGGTTGAAATAGCAATGACATGGTTTGGCTCTGTGTCCCCACCCAAATCTCATCTCAAATTGTAATCCACACATGTTGAAGGAGGGACCTGTAGGAGGTGACTGGATTATGGGGAAGGTTTCCCCCATGCAGATCTTGTGATAATGAGTGAGTTCTCACGAGATCTGATGGTTTAAAAGTGGCAGTTTGCCTTCTGCTCACTCGCTCTCTTGCCGCCACATAAGACGGAACCTGCTTCCCCTTCACCTTCCACCATGATTATAAGTTTCCTGAGGCCTCCCCAGCCATGCAGAACTGTAAGTCAATTAAATCTCTTTTCTTTATAAATTACCCAGTCTCACGTATTTCTTTACAGTAGTATGAAAATGGATGAATACAAGCAACCAGAATAACAACTCTCTGAGAGCATTTTCCTCTTCAGCAAAGCCAGGGCCCTTTCTTTCTGTGTTTGTGTACTTCTCTGCAGAAAGCAGGAGAAAGAAGGAATGCAAGCCCCTCAGAAGGCTCTAAAACTTGAAGAGTGAGGGTCTCAGCAGGAGCCTCATGTAGCATTTGCAGAAGTGGCATTTGCTTTTCTCAGAGGACATCTTCTCACCTCCTTGTACAGCTGGTACATGGCAGGCAGAGGGACTGGCTCCCAGTCACCAAACGGGAGGAAAGCAGGAGGAAACTTTCTAATAAAGCCCAGGTCCAGGTGTGGCTTTAAGCTGAGTATGTGTACACTGCGGGAGGGGTTGGGGTAGCAGGCAGGACCCTGCACTTTCTAGCTCTCTGCTTTGATAACTGGGCAGTCACTTAACTTCATGCTTCTGGAGTGTCCTCATCTAAAGAGAGATAACCAAGGAGCCCACTGCAGCACAGCTCTGGTACCACCACTCATGGGCAGTAGAATGTAAATGGTGCTCCCTGAATACAGCCATGCAGCCTGCATGAATGGCATCCCTGGAGTTGTGGGAAGGAGATGTTGTACCTCCTGCACAGGACAGTTACAAAACTGAAATGTGGGCCAGGAACACAGTGTCCAGCACACGTGAGCACTAAATGAAGGCAGCTTTGAACAGGGCTCACGTGAGAACTGTGTCAGCCCTCCACCTCTCCCGGACTCTGTGCATTTCCAAGGCCCAATCCCAAGACTGTTTCAGGGCGGAACAAAGCCCTGGGAACAAAGCCCTGGGAACAAAGCCCAATTCCAGGGAGGTCAGGGCTGAGAGCAACCATGGCTTATGCTGCCATGGTTTAAACCACCCGACAGGTGGATCCTGGGGAATCTGGCGAGGGCAGTCACAGAAGCCGGCCCAGAGGGAGAAGTGAAACCACAGAAACGAACCCTTGCGGTGTCTGCAAAGGGGGATGGTGCCTGCATAGGTGTGTGCAAGCGCATATGTGCATGTGTGTGTGAAAATGTGTGTGTACACCTATGCGTGTCTGTGCTTGTACATGTGTATATGTGTATGTGAAAATACGTGGGTACAACACATATGTGCGTGTCTGTGCCTGTGCACATGTGCGTATGCTAAAATGTGTCTGTGTGTGTACACGTGCATGTCTGTGCCTATGGACGTGTGTGTATGTATATGTGTGTGAACGTGAGTGTGTGCACGTGTGTGTGCTTGTGCACGTGGATCTGTGTGCACACAAATGTGCATAAAATCAGCCTCGGCCGGGCGCGGTGGCTCACGCCTGTAATCCCAGCTCTCAGGGAGGCTAAGAGGTGGGAGGATAGCTTGAGCCCAGGAGTTCGAGACCTGCCTGGGCAATATAGTGAGACCCCGTTCTCCAGAAAAAGGAAAAAAAATAAAATAAAATAAAATAAAATCAGCCTCAGGCATGTTTATGGTCGGCTGATCTTAGCCTGCTCTCGCCTGCAAGCTGTCCCCTGCAATCACTGTCCACCAGCCACGGTCTCAGCATGGGGCTTCCCTCAGCTGACACAGGGGCTTGCCTGCCTCCCTCATCCTCGGGCCTGTGCCAGGCCACCCTTTCAGCCTTTAGCACGCATGAGAAGGTTGATAGCTACAAAAGGGCCTGCATCCCTGGCCTGAAGCAGGAACGTGCAATCCTGAAAATGTCACGGCTTCCATTCTGTCATCTGGGGAGAGGAAAATGTCCTCAGGGCCTCAAATGCTACTGAAAGTGTCTTGGAGCATGCAGTTCTGTGTATCTGCCTCTGCATGTGTATGTGTCTGTGTATGTCTGTGTCTGTGTCTGTATGTGTCTGTGTGTCTATGTGTATGTGTGTGTGTGTAGGTGTCTATGGCTGTGTCTAGCTGTCTGTGTGTCTATGTGTCTGTGTGTGTTACTATGTGTATGCATGTGTGTCTATGTCTGTTGTGTGCCTACCTGTCTGCGTGTGCCTATGTCTGTGTGTACATGTGTGTCTATGTGTGCATATGCATGCAGCAAGAAGGATAGAACAAAGCGTGGACCCTGACTGTGTGCAAAGCATTCCGAGTGGCTCCCACTCTCGTCTTTCTGCCTGTCTTGACTCCTTTCTCCTCTTCCAGCCTCATCCCTTCCCCTCAAGTCTGAAAGGATCCCAACCACCCCCTCCTGCACCCGAGGCAGTACACAGATGGTGCCTTTGCTTCCAAGCCCTCCTGAATCCACTTCCTTATCACAGGGACCGGCTCCCCTCCCACACTGGTATGAACATGACCACATCCCAAACTCAGGGTGGTGGCACGGTGCTGACACTCAGTGACTCAGTGGCCACAGCCCTGCAGGGAGCTCTTGCCAAGCTCCTCCCTCCCAGGCTTCTGGAGCCTCCTCACTGTCAGCCTCCACTCAGGCCCTTGGTGATCTTCCCCCACTGCTCGGCGCCAGTCCCTTTTCTGCCACTTCCTCCCATGAAGGGGAAATCCTGGTGGTTCCCTGGAGATTCCCTGATTGCACGCTTCACTCGAAGCTGCAGGCTGCTCCCTAGTCAGGGCCCCTAGAGCCTGACATCCAGCCTGTCATTAAGGAACCAACTTCTGAAAAGTATTTCACAGCCACAAATTCTAACTGATGAACACAGGTTCTCCATTACCTAAGACGTGTGCACCCTCCCTTCGAACTCACACACCTCACCAAGACGGTGAGTCTCCACCTTTGAGCCAGCACAGGCCCCTGCTCTGAATCTTCCCTCCATAATTTTAAAAGATTCTGTCTACCAAACTCTGCATATCATGTGATATCCTGTGCAGGGTTACCTTGGAAAAACAATTCCCCACACGCCTTCTAGGCATTTAGAAGAGCTTTTCCATCCTTCCAACTACGTTTTGGTGAATTTTGGTAAGATATTGGAGACCATAAGTTGTGAACCACTAAAATCTACATTGCAGGATGCCAATGAAGAACTGTTTGTGTCTATACAAGCAAGGGCTTGAAGAATTACAGACAGAAAGAAGAATCTTCTGGCGAAACAGTCCACACCACCTTACCCTCAGGAGCAATCTAACACTTCACTTTGCCTGCGTAGACAGACAGACACACACGTGACCCACAGCTTCTCAGAAAGACCACAGTCAGCATCAGAGAAGCCCCCTTCTCAACAGGCAGGAAGCAGGTTCCCTGAGGCTCTGCACAGTGCCCAAGGGACACTGATTCACGCATTCCGCTTGGTGAACATTCACCTCCTCAGGTCGGCTCAGCACATGTCCCTCGGGGCCCGTGATGCCCAGATCCAGGATCCTCTGCTGCTCCTGCAATGTTTAGAGAAAGTCAGGCTGTGAGGGAGAGTGGATTTTGCACAGCTCTGATGGCAGAGGCCCGGGCATGCAGTTATCCGGGCAAGATGGAAAATTACCACTGCCGATCGTTCTGCCCTCATCCCAAGACCTCATGAAGAGAAGGGTTCACTGCCCTGTTCCCAGTCCCGCCTGAGCAGGATGGATCAATTACAGCCTCCCAAAACCCATTCAGCTGTTCCCTGGGATGCTGACGACTGGTGCATTTGCAACCCTCAGCCACGGTGTAAAATGCCTGTGTGTGACGTGAGGGTTCCCGTACCCCACCCAAGGCAGCTGCGTTACAGCACCGAGAGAAATGGCCTCTCTCTGCAATAGTAACTGACTTAGATGTTCTGTGGCACACACGGAGAGGCACGTGTGTCACTGGCATTCATGCCATGGGTGAGACTGAGCAGAGCTCCAGCAAGGGAACACCAGGTCCCTCTGCTTTTCCACCTTGGTGTTAAGCTACAGATGCAGCTTCCCTTTCTTGAGCCTGCCTCTCACCCTCCAGGTGATGAAGAAATGACGAAAAAGAAAGCCCTGTACCTCTGCAATGATGTCGCCATTTTCTGCGTGGACTTGGGCTATGGCGCCAATATCCCGGATCACACTCAGTACTTCATAAATCTGAGAGAGAGACAAGGGTGGGATCAGAGACAGGGACTTCCATCTTCCTGTTCACAAAGACAATCATCTCCCCACCAGAGGCATTTCTGGGATGAGAAACAGGACACCTAGGCGATTCTATTAGCCTGACTTTTTTTGATATGATGAGGGCAATGTTACTGGCCACATTTGATGGAGAAAGACCCCTCAGAAATTAACAGAGGCAGTACAACTTAGCAGGACGTGGACCGGGAGTGAGAAGCTCTTGGGTGACACCTGGCTCTGCACCAGGTTTGCTAAGGAGGTTCTGAGTGCCGCTCCCACACACGCCGTGCGGGGCAGAGCCTCAGATCCAGGGCGGCGGAGTGGCAGTGCTGGGGGCCAGGGCACTGCGTTCATACTCTCTTCCAAGGCTCAGTTACATCAGTAACTGCATCCACCAGCCACTTCCCAGGAAGCTAGGAAACATGCATACATCGGAGACTGCTTTCCCAAACGGCCACAGCCTGAAGGTACCAAATGTCAGGGTGCCTCTTCCGAAAAGCCGACTTTCTTACCTGGCAATCCGTTAGCTGGAAGCGATCTTTGAAAGCCATGTACACGAGGAAGGAATTTACCCCTAGTGCGGACAAAATAGAGAAGTGGACTTTTAATAGATAAACCAAATAACCAAATAAGGGATAAGAAAGTGATAATACTGTCTGTGTGTGTACGTGTGTGTGTGTGTGTGTGTGTGTGTGTGTGTGTGTGTGTTTCAGTACAGAGAAAGAGAGAGGAGAGAAATGGAGACACAGAATGGTAAAGGAAGCAGAGTACCATATAAATAACCTGTGAATGTGGGAGGAAGAGGCACAAGGATGCTTTTTAGTATTCTTATAATCTTCCTGTAAGTTTACAAGTATATCAAAATTAAAAGTTGCCAGTGTTTGCACATCCATGTTCATAGCAGAATTATTCACAATAGCCAAAAGGTGGAAGCAAAAATCAAGCCTCCATTAACTGATAAATGAATAAACCAAATGTGGTCTATCCATACAATGGAATATTATTCAGCCTTTAAAAAGGAAAGACACCCTGACACATGCTACAACATGGAGAAACCTTAAGGACATCATGGTAAATGAAATAAGCCAGTTGCAAAAGGACAAATACTATATGATTCCACTTGTATGAGGTCCCTAGAAGTCAATTTCACAGACAGAAAGTACAACAGCAGTTGCCAGGGACTGGGGTGAAGGACAGTGGAGAGTTAGTGTTTAATGAGTGAGTGTAGCGTTTTAGTTTTGCAAGATAAAGAGACCTGTGGATGGAGGGTGGTGATGGTTGCAACAACATTATGAGTGTATTTTAAAACAATGAACTGCACACACACTTAAAAATGGTTAAGATGGTAACTTGAATGTTATATTTATTTTACCACAGTTAATTTTTTAAGCTGCCTCTACCAAACAAGTCTGTTGCGACTGTAACAAGAAAATGAATTAGAAGTTTCTGCCTATGAAGAACTGTGATAAATGTCTTTTCTTTGGCAGACAGACTGCCTTCCATGCTGATTTTTAAGCAAATGATTTTTTAAGTAAGAAAAGGTCCATTAGTTCAACAAGCAGATGTCGCAATTCTCATCCTGGCGTCTTGGAGTTCTTGCCTCCCTAGGCACCAGACCAAACATCCCTGCCCAACATTCATCACAATTTTAAACAATTGTCCTGACAACCTCGCAGCCTTGGAGTTTAATTCAAGCCACCTGGGGGGTGCTGGGAGCTGCCTGAGTTAAATGCCTCTGGACATCCTGGCCCTTCTCCCGTTGCCAGGCAACAGTTACCATGGTAACCCTCCTGCCTGGTTTGGAGCAGATTCAGTCTAAGTATCCACAGTTAAACCACTTGGAGTCTCCGCATGATCAAAAGTGAGAAAAGTCAAAGTTTACCTATTTTCTTTTATGTGGAAGCTTTGTGCTGGAAAGAATCTTAGAGGACATCTAGTCCAAGACCCTCATATATGAGAAATGTTTAAAAAACTGAGACCCATAAAATTTCAGCAAATTACCCAGGGTCACACAGTTAGTCTGTGGAAGATCAGAGAAATAAACCCAAGACTCTTGCTTTTCATTCCGGGGCATTTTCTATCATTCTAGTACCTAGAGATTTCCCTCTTGCCATGTCACTCACAGCACATGGTGTTTCTAAGCCTGGAAGTCCCCAGAACCCTAAAGCAATAGGTGTTTCCCTGAACACTAAGATCCAGTGAAGTTAATCTGGTCTCTAGCCAAGCCCAGCGAGACCCAGGAAGATGATGTGGCCTGGCTCTTCCCCGCAAACCCCCGAGGTTCTTGTTGACAAGAGTCCCAGAGGCACCTTGAGGTGGTAAAGATTCCTCCTGCCTCTCTGTGAATCTTCCCAATCCCTGGAAATTTGTTCTCCAAAATAATTCTAGGGAAAGGAAAAGCCCTCTCAGGTTGTCACTCAGTTTTGAAGTGTCTCATAGCCCTCAAATCTATCCTAGATCCATCCAGGTTTGTAGGAAGGGGCTGCCCAACACTCTCCTGAGACTGTCAAATCCTCACTGAGATATGTATTTGTTATCTTTTGAGGGTAAATCTCTCTCTCAGCAGCCTCAACTCCCCACCCTGGCTAGAGAGCACGGTGCTCACAAACCAATAAGCTGTGAGCAGCTGTCACCTAAGAACAGGTCCCAGCAGTAAGCCTCATCTTCTCTTATCATCAATGAAGGCTCATGTTACTGCACTGGGTAAGGCCACCTCCAAACAGCATAAGCTGCGGCCCAAAGCCCTCTCTCCTTCCCAGGGGCAGGCATGGGCATGAGGCACAAATGGGATCTGGAAGCATTATCACTTTCTTCCCAGGGCTGTGCCAGTTGATGGACTGAAGCGGAAACATCTGCAGAGGGCATTGACTCAGTGCAACCTACCGTGATCCTTCACAAGCGCTTCCATCTCCTCCTGGATGCCCTTATGCCACTCACTGATGTCCACATGCAGAGAGTAGTCACAGCAGGACTTGCTGTCGGCCCATTCCCTCCACTGGTCAAAGGCAGCGAGCAGGCTTGTCCCAGGCTCAGGAACAACGTGGTCAACTAGAAAGAAACAGACATATGTCATCATCACCAAGAGCCTCAAGGGCCGTGGGCCAGCAGGTATTTTCCCACTTGAACCCTGAATAAGGCTTCTTGGGTTCAAAATCGAGATGGTGATCTCTACAACCAGCTTCTAAGAATCCATGTAACCCAGCTGATTATCCAAGAGGGAGAAAGCAGAAAGCAGAAACTTGGCATTGGATGATGTCTCCAGCGAAACCACACATGCACTGCCCAGATCTGATTTCCCAAAACCCCTGAAAGCTCAAGCTTTGGGTGCATTTCACGGACAACGAGTCCTTATGGACAATGGCAGTGTCAAATGGCCGGGGAGCAGCCAAACCCTTCTTTGTGTTGAAAGCAGCTTATGAGACGCCCCCCGCCAGACGGCAGGGAACTTGAAGGTGCTGGAGCAGAGCCACACGGACCGGGCCTTTCAAAAGTTCCCGGGCATTACCTGCTCTCTCATTACCGCTCACATTTCTGCAGCATAATACCACTTTGTAATTTAAGGGAAATCTTTCATCTTAAGAGTTCAAAGTGTTTTAAAACTGCAGTCATTGTTATATTACTATGGAGGTACGCTGATCTGGAAGACTGAGGACTTTGGATGCAAGCTGACCCGAGTTGGTTTCCTGGCTCCATCATTCACCTGCATGGTGTCCTGGGGTAAACTCCTTAATCTCCACTGCCCTAATTTCTGTGCTGCTTTAAAACGGGGATATTACCTAGCACATACATTTGTTATGAGGATTAAAGGAGATAGCATATCCATCAATCTTATGTCATTCCCTGATTTAAATCCTCCAATGACTTCCCCCTGCTCTTCAGATAAAGATTCAAGTCCCCAGTAAGGTTTGCAAAACCCCAACCAGTGTGGCCCTGGCCTACCTCTATAACATGACCCTGGACCACCTCTCCCTTGTACCCTGCTCTCCAGCTACACAGACCGTTTTTCAGCTCCTAAAATATCTACCTGCTGCCTCCCACCACAGGGACTTTGCACCTGCTATTATCTCTCCTAGGTCTTGAAGAGCTCTCACCCAGTTAACATGATGGCAGGAGGATTACCAGGACTATTACTACCCATCTTCTGCACACAAGCACTAAAATACAAACTGAAATGATTTGTCCAAGGTCAAATCAAACTTGTGCAACAATAGAAATAAAAACCAGGACTGAACACTTAAAGCAATGAATTATTCTTCCTAAATATTAGATTTTCTACACACAGGTAAGCAGTTCTGAGCTAAGAAAACATCAGTCCATGTAATGCTAGAGAGCTCAGATTTCTGAAATGGTTCAAATCTTGCAGATACTGCTAAATTCTGATCAACTGGGCTTGGATTTGTATATGTCAGAAATATAGCCGTTGCACTTTGGGAGGCCAAGGCAGACAGATCACATGAATCAAGAGTTTGAGACCAGCCTGGCCAACATGGTGAAACCCTGTATCTACTAAAAATACAAAAATTAGCTGGCCATGGTGACACATGCCTGTAGTCCCAGCTACTTGGGAGGCTGAGGCAGGAGAATTGCTTGAGCCCGGGAGGCAGAAGTTGCAGTGAGCCAAGATTGTGCCGCTGCACTCCAGCCAGGGCAACAGAGCAAGGCCTTGTCTCAAGAAAAAAAAAAATATATATATACACACACACACACACACACATATACACACACACACACACACACACACATACAATATGGCCATCTAAGCTGAATTTTCTTTTGACAAAATTTACTTTTTTGTAAGTATTAGTGATTAGTAAATAAATGGGTACACACATATCTGGTATCTGTAATACAGATAATGTTATCTAATAAAAACAAAAATGATGTCCAGTTCAAATGCAAGCTTATTCCATCAGTAAAATGCTGATGTAGAAAAGTTGACAAAATAATTCCAATTTTTCTTCTTAAGTTGTATGTCCCCTCATCAACACCCAAAACAAAAATAAAAGAAAGAAAGAAAGAAAGAGAGAGAGAGGGAAGGAAGGAAGGAAGGAAGGAAGGAAGGAAGGAAGGAAGGAAGGAAGGAAGGAAGGAAGGAAGGAAAGAAAGAAAGAAAGAAAAAAAAGAAAAGCATAAAAATATCACTGTGTAGCAATCAGTTTGGGCAGAATCTCCCTACCCACTCCCCTGGCTTCATCTCTTGTCCTTCTACAAATCACCCTTCAGAAGCAGCTAGAAGGATCTTAAACCTTTCATCAAACACTGCCATTCCCCTTATTAAATCCTTTAGTAGCTGTCTACCATCCTTAGAGTCCAATTCAAACTCTTTCTCTTGGCCAGTCAGATCCGGTCCTAGTTGATCTCTCCAAGGTACTCTTTATCCCTGACCTGCTCACCCACAATGGCCACCCCGGCCATTCTTCACTTTGACCTGCCCAACCCCTGGGCAACTCCAAGCCTGTGCACAAGCAGCCCTCTCTCTCTCTGGAAACCCATTCCCCTCGCTCTTGACTTGGGCATCTCCTCATCCTTCTCACTGGGGCTATATGTCACCATCCCAGGGTGGCATCGTTTCTGAATCCATTTCACTCATTTACTCTCTGACCCCTGACTAGAATGTAAACTCCCTCTGAGCAGGTACTGAACGCCTAGATCAGGGAAGAGCCAAATGAATGCTCTAAATAAGTGATGGAATATTTCCTTCTGGCTCTCACATTCCACTTGCAATCAGGTCAAGCAGCAAAGGAGGGGCTCTCCTGGGAACCGGACCAGCTTTTGCTGCGGCAAAGACCCCTCCCCTCAACACTGCTCTGCCAGACCCTCACTTATGGAAATGCATTCCTTTCACTGGCCAGCAAAGGGAATGAGCAGAAATAATAATTTTTTTCTGATGATATGATTCTTTGAGTAGAAAATTTCAAAAATACAGAAAATTTTAGGGAAAGTTAATAATCCCATTACCACCACCACCCCAAAATCAACCTATTCAAATTTGGGTGTATTTTTACTGCCTTTTTTCTATATATTATACCTTATTCTATTTCTTTATCTATAGTCCACTTTCTTCCCCCAAAAAGTTTTAAAGTGGTTTATAGAGATACATAAAATACAAGAAAATGTGATAAACCAGAAAGAGTAATGCAAGATAAAGCGGAAGAAAAATAATGGTAAAATAAAATCAGGAAAGAGGCATGTATGTATGTGTATGTATGTACGTGTGTATTTATATGTGTATATGTGTATGTAAAATATGTGTATGTAGATGTGGATGCAAGTGTGTACATATGTGTGTGTTTGTATAGATAAATACTTGACATTTAGTCTTATACATTGGCTAAATTTAGAGTTAGGCTCTCTAGCCAATGTAAATAAGGAAGCCTGATAGGTTTAACATATCTATTTCCTTTAAGATTAAAAAAACAAATCCCTCCTAAGAAGAAGGATAAGTACTGGTGACACTAAGACCCACATGCTCATAGTTACTGAATAATCCTTTCCTTCTATTGATTCATGATGACTTTAAAAAATACTTTATCATTATTATTACTAGATAACATATCTAATAATGTTTTAAATTCACTCATACTTTACAGAGAGACAATACCAGGTTCTGTTCCTGGGCTATTTTGCTCCATTCATCTCAATCAGTACTAAATAGAGCAGCTTTTTGATACATTTTAATATCTGGTGGCAAAAGATCACTTGAGGCCAGGAGTTCGAGACCAGCCTGGGCAACATGATGAAACCTCGTCTCTACTAAAAATACAAAATTAACTGGGTGTGGTGGCAGGTGCCTGTAATCCCAGCTACTCAGGAGGCTGAGGCAGGAGAATCACTTGAACCCAGGAGGCGGAGGTTGCAGTGAGCTGAGATTGCACCACTGCACTCCAGCTTGGGTGACAGAGCAAGAGACTGCCTCAAAAAAAAAGGAAAAAAATAAAAGCTCATTTCCTCCACAAGATTTTCTTCCCTTCTCCTTAGGCCAAGGCACTCATTCCCATTGCAAGGCTCAAGCAAGCCATCTAAAGCCTTACAACCATCACCACAATCTAGATTTAGAACATCACCAAAAAAGAAAGGCTGTACCCACCTGCAGTCACTCCCCATTCCCTCCTAGCCTGCTACTCCCAGCCCCTGGCAACCACTAGTCTACTTTCTGTCTGTTCCACTCACCCTTAGACAAAGTGGGGAGGGTGACAGACAAGGACAACTTCAGGCTGGTGACTGGAACCATGACTCCACATCCCAATGATGTGTCGTCAGATCATCTGGTGCTAGACTCCTCAGACTTCAGGGTGCACAGTAATGATCTCCAGTGTTCCTTAAAACACAGGTTCTGGCCAGGTGCAGTGGCGCATGCCTATAATCCCAGCACTTTGGAAGGCTGAAGCAAGAGGAACACTAGAGCCCAGGAGTTCAAGACCAGCCTGGGCAACACAGCAAGACCCTGTCTCAAAAAAATAACATAAAAATAAAACACAGGTTCCCAGACCTTACCCCAGAGTTTCTGACGCTGCAGGTCCAGACTGGGACCCAGTAATCTGCATTTCTACTAAGCAACCCGGGAGCTACTGAGTCTGCCTTGAACTACCTTGAGCATCATTAACTGAGTGCAAATCTTTTCCCAAAACTTCTCCCTCCACCTCCATTCACTGCTCTCCATTTACCACGAGGGGCCTGTTTACTACACAACAGCATCATCACTTACAAAAAATAGCATGTTCCCTGGCTGCAATCCCATGGCTTCCTTGCATATCCAAATTCAGCTCCGGGGGTTATAAACCCTTGAAAAACTCAGGACCCGGACACAGCTGAGCACTTTGGGGAAATAAACATGCTTCCTTCAAGAGCTCATAACACTCAGAAACGTGTCCATGAAATGCCTCCAAATGTTTTCCCACAGTTTTCTTTCCACTGAAGCTCTCCTGGGAAGAGCTGCTCCAAGGGAATAGGGCAGAATGTCATACTCACTTCCGGAGGGAGTAGAGTCCCCACTGAGGACACAAGCCTGAAAATGACTTGCACAGAGCTCACAGGCCTTTCCTCTGGTGACCTCCCTGAGCTATCGGCCCCTCCAAGAGGGCAGCCTTGGCAACCCGACTATACCAGCAGTGAAAAGAGAATAGGCTTGGGGGTCAAGGAGCCCCCAAATTCTAGTTTTTGCTGCAGTACTCCCTTACTGTGGTTTAGCCTTTTGGAACCTCCATTTCTTTTTTCTTTTCTTTTTTTTCTTTTGAGATGGCGTTTCACTCTTGTTGCCCAGGCTGGAGTGCAGTGGCGCGATCTCAGCTCACTGCAACCTCCGCCTCCTGGGTTCGAGCAATTCTCCTGCCTCAGCGTCCTGAGTAGCTGGGATCACAGGCGCGCGCCATCATGCCCGGCTAATTTTTGTATTTTTTTTTTTTTTTTTTTTTTGGTAGAGATGGGGTTTCACCATGTTGGCCAGGCTGATCTCGAATTCCTGACCTCAGATGTTCCTCCCAACCTCGGCCTCCCAAAGTGCTGGGATTACAGGCATGAGCCACCGCACCCAGCCAGGAACCTCCATTTACTCATCTATAAAAAGATAGGCATGAGCTGGGTTCAGTGACTCACACCTGTAATCTCAGCACTTTGGGAGGCTGAGGTGGGCAGATTGCTTCAGGCCAGGAGTTCAAGACCAGCCTGGGTAACATAGTGAGACCCCAACTCTACAAAAAAAAAAAAAAAAAACATTACCCGGGCATGGTGTTATGTGCCTGTAGTCGCAGCTACTCGGGAGGCTAAGTGGGGAAGATCACTTGAGCCCAGGAGTTTGGGGATGCAGTGAGCTATGACTGCACCACTGCACTTCAGCTTGGGCAACAGATAAAGACTGTCTATTAAGAAAAAAAAAAAAGGCGTAAAACCACATACCATGCAGGGCTGCAAAAAGTTTACATAATAAAGCGTAGGTAAAAGCACCTGGCAAAATGCCTGGCACACACTGGGTGTTCCTTCCCTCAAGATGAGTGACTGGAAACACCCTCATGGTCTGCGTGGTGGGCCTGTGAATCTGGTTTATGAGAGCCAGGAACATGCCCCAGGACAGTGGCCTGAATTTGCAAGTTACAAGCAGTCTCTGAAAAAGGACTATTCCTCTTATTATGACTTCTATTAAAACTATCAAAGGACCCTACTGTTTTTTTTAACAGTTTTATTGAGGTATAATTCACATGCTATGCAATCACTCATTTAAAGGGTATAACCCGGTGGCTTTTAGTTCACTCACAGAGCTTTACAACCATTGCAATAATCTAATTTTAGAACATGACTCAAAAAAGAAACCTGGTACCCACTTACAGTCACTCCCCATTCCCTCCTACCCCTGCTACTCCCAAACCCTGGCCACCATCAATCTACTTCCCGTCTCCATAGATTTGTTTATTCAGGACATTTCCTATCAATGGAATCATAAAAGATGTAGTCTTGTGCGTCTGTCTGCTTTCACTTGGCATCATGTCGTCAAGGTTCATCCATGCTGCAGCGAGAATCAGTGCTTCCTTCCCCTCCTGCCTCAAGCGGTTCCCTAATGTTCTGCATTTTGGATATTAGCAAAGTGTGAGACACAAAGTAAATAAGCTGCTCCCTAAAACTTCAAAGAGAAGACCCGTTTGGAGTTTGCCATATTTAAATGACCCTACTTTTAATTTTTTTTTCTTTTATCCTTTTTCTTTTGTTGAGAAGGCGTCTCGCTCTGGCACCCAGGCTGGAGTGCAGTAGTGCAATCACAGCTCACTGCAGTCCTGATCTCCTGGGCTCAAGCAATCCTCCCACCTCATCCTCCCAAATAGCTAGGACCACAGGCGTGCGCCACCACACTGTCTAATTTTATTATTATTATTATGTGTAGAGACAATAGGTCTCGCTATGCTGCCCAGGCTGGAACTTTTTCTTTTTAAAACTCACTATAGACTCACATGGAGTTTTAAGAAATGACACAGAGAGAACCTTCATACCCTTCACCCCGTTTCCCCCAAAGGAAACATCTTGCCTAATTATAGTACAATATTACAGCCAGGGAGCGACACTGATAGAGAACCCAATATCATGAGTTTTTAAAGGGCTAGGCTGGCAGTATTTCTGACAAGGTCTCAAGGGGCCCTTTGTAATTAAAACCAGGGATGTCAGAAACAGCTTCCCTGCAGTTCCAGTTCTGGAATTGAAGCAGTTGAGCAGGTACCACAGTCTGTAAGTCAGCTGGGGGTTACGCACGTGGAGCAGGAGGGAGGGGAGAGGATGTGTAACCCTCCACCCTGCCCTCTGATCCCATCTTGGGATTACACACGTGGAATAGAAGGGAGGAGGGAGGATGAGGAGCCTTCACTCAGCCTGTGATCCCACCTTGGGGTTATACCCATGGAGCATGAGGGAGGAGAGAGGTCACCAAGCCCTCCAATCCCACCTCAAGGTTACACCCGTGGAGCAGGAGGGAAGAGGGAGGATGGGAGCCATCACTCAGCCCTCCGACCCCGCCTCGGGTACCCGCCAGCCCCTTGAAGCAAGGAGGGGCAGATGCTAAAACTCCTGTTGTCAGTGCACACACCTTCCCCTGCTCCCTGGATATTTACTCTATCAGCACTGCCCATCTCCAGGATCTTATTCCAAATAGTCACGGCCTCATTCTCCAGCACCATTCCCTGCTTTTCAATGTGTGTGAATCAGCCTCTCCCTTTTTCATCTCAGATAAATGAATCGACTTGAATTAAAAGCAAACCATCAGGGAGGCAGTAACACAAGCCATCCACTGGCTTATCTATGTGGCTTTCCCGAGCTGGCATCTACCCTGCAAAATGCCCTGCAAAATGCCAGGTGACCTCATCAACCAGGCAGGGAATGGCTTTTTTTGAAGGAGAGATAAGAGCCTTTGTGGGTTGTGCTTGGCAGTTAGGATAACGTGGTTTTGCTCTGAAAAAAAGGGCATAAAAGGAGGAGAAAGCACCTGCCCCTGAGAATTTAAGGGATACCCACTGAAGAGGCACTATTGGAAAGACCAGAGCCAGATACCTGGGGTCCAGGTCAGTTCTACCACTTCCTCACCATGTGACTTTAGACAAGAAGTTCAAACTCTCAGAGCTTCAGATTCCTCAGCCATGAAATGGGACTAATAATTAACTCAGGGTTCCAGGGTGTTGTAAACGAGGGAATATGGGAAATGCTTGAAGAGCATCTGCTACATAGATGTGGTTTGATAAACACCCCCAGGAAGATAAAGCTATGTTCCTTTGTAAGAAAAACGCCCATGCATAAAACACTGTGTAGTATTTAGGTGCCTCCAAAGCACGTGCTGCCTTACAGGGTGAACTACTTGCCTTGTACAAATATACTGTTTCTCCCGCAATGCTAAAGAAGCATTTTCCTAAGAGCTGGAACTATTTAGAATGTCTGTGCCTGAGTTTTTTCATCTTTGAAACAGTAAAAATAACATACATCCCAGCATTTTTCATGAGTGTTCAATAAGATGGTATTTGTAAGCTATAAGAGGCACTGTTCAAATATGACCAATTGCCATCTGTGTTTTCTTCTGTCTGGAAGAAGCAAGCAGGGGGACTGGTATACAGAAGGTGCTCAGTGCACACAGGACAGACCAAACATCACACCTGCCTCTAGACAACTTTAGCCTCTTCCTCCAAGGGAGTCATGGAACTATGTGACTCAATATACCAACCTGAGAACCCCAGCATCCACTGGACACTGAAGTCCCAGGAGTACCCAGCTCTCCCGTCGGTCCTCCCTGCAGACTCACAGGGCCTGGATTTTAAACTCAAGCCCTCCTAATGGATGCGGAGGGGCCAGGCCACCTTTGGTTAGCACACGCCAGTGAAATGACTAACTGTAACATAAGTTTAAGTCACAAACATTGAAAGGTGAGAGTCATAGTAAAAACCATTCTGATTTATTCAGCACTTCCTATGTGTCTGGTACGACTCTAAACATCTTCCATGGATTCTCTCATTTAATCCTCGCAACGGCCCCCTGAGCTCTGAGCCAGGGTTGGCCCTAGTTTTCAGCTGAACAGACAGTAAGATTAAGTAATCCGCTCACATTACTTAAAATGTGCCAGGCAGAGGGCCTGGGCCACAGAAGCTGCGCAACAGCCACACCTCCCGTGCCTCTGGCAGGTAAGGCTCTTGGCAGAACTCTGGATGGTGGTCAACCACGTGGCCTTGGCCAGTGCAGCCACTGACTGGCAGAGCTGGAATCTGACCCCAGAACGTGTGATCAAAAGAGAGCAAGAGGGCTAGTTAATTGAGAAGTGAAATTCAGTCTTATCCCTTCATATATTATAACTAAAGCAAGTGACCCAATTCAATAAACAGATAGGAAAACCGTGTCCTTAGCCTAAGGGTGGCAGGCATATGGAAACATGTTCTTCACTGCTCGGACCTTCAGGCACTTGAGTAGCCCTCTCCTTTCTCTTTCCTACACTTTGTTCAATGTAAGTTTGCTTTTAAAACTAAACCAGTATCTTCATATAAATCAAGTGGCACCATCGGTCATTGTTCAGCATCTAGAAGCCCTGCTAGAATGATTATGACTAACTCTGGGGGAAGTGTTAAGCCAAGATCTGGTAAAACGCTTATAAAACAAACAACCTCCTTTAAGTGATCTGGTGATCGGCCAACTTTGGAGGAAACAAAGAGGTAGAAGATACAAACTGTGCCCTTAAAATGCCAACAATCCAGTTAGGGAAAACAAAAACTCACTAAAAGATACGAAAGGGATACGGATAAAATGATCCTGAAGGACCCTCCAGCTACCGCCTGTCCCCACCCCTCTCTTCTCATCGAGCTATGGAGGGAGCTGAATGTTGCTGACGCCCCACCTTCTCGCTCCCATTCCCTCTTGGCCCACTGCACACTGGCCCCCATCCTGCCAGTGCCTGGAACCTGTCCCTGCCACATCCCAGTTCTGTTCCCTTCCTGTCTGTCCAGCTCCCAGACAGCAATCTTGCAAATTTACTTCCCATGTCTCAGAAGAATCTTCCGCTGGCTCTTCTTCCTCCACCCTCATTTTCTTTATTTTTTATCTTTTATTTATTTTTTTGAGACAGGGTCTGGTTCTGTCACCCAAGCCGGAATGCTGTGGTGCAATCTGGCTGACCGCAGCCTTGATTTCCAGGACTCAAGCGATCCTCCCACCTCAACCTCCCGAGTAGCTGGGACCACAGGCACGTGCCACCATGCCCAGTTAATTTTTAATTTTTTGTAGAGAAAGTGTCTCCCATGTTGCCCAGGCAGGTCTCAAACTCCTGGGCTCAAATGATCCTCCTACCTTGGCCTCCCAAAGTGCTGGGGTTATAGGCATGAGCTACCATGCCCCACCCGCCCTCATATTCAATGCTCACTTGGGAGGTCTGTCCCACTCATTAGATTCCACTCACACTCCTAACATCTATTCAAAATGTCCCAAGTTGGGGTTCTGAAGAGTGCAACAGCAGGGCCTTCCCTGGCTGGCAGGCATGGGGCTCCTGATCTCTCCCTCTCCTCTGTCATTTCCTCTCTCCTCCTTCCTGGCCAGCCCTTCTCCCTTTCTCCTGACTTCCTTCCTCCCGTCCGTCAGCATTCAGTCTTCCTCATCACTCACTGGTCAATGGATATAAGGAGCAGGACCCTCTTTAGTCTCAGGAAAAACCCCATGGTATGCAGCTGAAGCAGGCGGGCCTCTCTGGTGACTGTACCTGCCAGGATGGGCACCCACTGCAGGAAGGGAGCCACTCATCCTGAAGCCTAGAGTGGGCACCTGGAGCTGCCCACACCTGCAGCCTGCATCCCTGCCCACTGCTTCCTTCCTCATGGCCTGGGCCCTGGAATGAGGATGTCCCTTCCTTCCAGGCTGCTGGGAGAGGACCCTGGGAGGCCAGGAGTCAGAGCTGGAGACTGTGGGTAGGGAAGGAGAGGCAGGGAGCAGGCAGAGAGAAGGCCCAGATTCCAAACCCACTGTAATTTCACATTCTGAAGATGATGTCGCAGATGTATCTTGGGCTTTTCATCCCATTTTCCTGGATGAACACAGGCACAACCCTAGCTCCCCACCTCAGGGAAACATATCCACCTCTCTTCAGAAAGTTTCAAAAACAGGAATGGAACAGTTGAATCATTTTATAATTTCCTACACGTTTGCATTTATTGAATAGCAATAATATCAACCTCACATAGACATAGTGTTTTTAAGTGATTCACAAAGTGTTATCACGTACCTTATCTCATCTGATGCTCAAACAAGGTAGGCAGGACAGGTTTACGATCTTACATCACAGATGCAGAGCCTGGAGGCCACGGGACTTGCCTGCTGCTGTGCAGACAGAATGTGGGAGCTCAAACCCCAAACTGGGAGCACTTGGCACCTGCCTCCTTCTACAGCTTAAACCACCGCCTCCTTCTAGGCATTTCTATGCATAGCAGTCACCTCAACGATCCATCCCTAAATCCTTTTCTGTCACTGGAAACACATGCAATGGGTAACTTAAGTGAGTAACTACTGACCTTAACCTAATGTGCATGAGAAAAAGCCAATTCAGGGCATCAGATAATGAGCTCAAGTGATCCACCCGCCTCGGCCTCCCAAAGTGCTGGGATTACAGGCGTGAGCCACCACACCTGGCCCATGCTCATTTTTAATCATGGAGTTTTTTTCTTAATACCACATTATCTTAGAGTCTTACTAATTCAATTTTTAATGGGAGCCATTCTTGCGGAGAATCTACCATCATTTCCTTAACAATTTCCCTGTGGAAGAACCTATAGGTTTCTTCCAAATTTCCTCTATTATACATAATGTTCTTATGAACATATTCATGCAAATAACTTTCCCCCTATTTTAAACGGTTTTCTCTGGAGAGTCCTAGGGTTGGGATGACTGGATGAACTATGGTTCTTCATACAGATGGCCACATTATGTTCCAAATGTGTCACCTCTTCACTCTGTCACCAGCAATGCATCAGGATGTCACCCCAGACAGCGCTGCTTTTTCCATTTTCTTTGCTTACTATCTGAGGGGGTAAAACACAAAGCTCTTTTCACTCTACCAGGCTGTCTGTTTCAAATAAATGTCTACCTTCCAAGATCCAACTGGGGGACTGAGTCCTACATGAGAGATCAGATCAACTAGCCATACAAAGAAGTTACTGACAATTTTACAACCACATGATTAAATGGCTCTGGCCACCATCTTAGGTCTGGTGCCCTCTCAACCCTTCTCCCAGCTTCATCAACCTGAGGCCTAAGCGATTCCCAGCCCAGGCTGCCTTGTTAGGCTAGGCATCCCCGAACCAGGCCAGGCAGCAGCAGCAGGTCTGGAGCCAGGCCCCAGCCCCAGGCGCCTGAGTCCCTCTTTCCGGGTCCAGGGAGAAGCTGTGCTTTGTCTCAGCTCCATGTTTATGTTCACAGACAGACACTTAATAGGAAATGCCATCCGTAAAGCAGGATGACGAAATCGTGGCCTGGGGGGAAGGCAAGGAGAGCCAACTTGGTTACAATGCAAAGCTTCAAACTTCAGGTCCATGCAGAATTTCTCCAAGAGATGTTGAAATCCTTGGCTCAGTGTGGGGCGACATCTCTGTTTCCTGTAATTAGACAGGCATTCTGCATCTGAAAAAAGGCCACGTTTACAGCACCTCATATCCCTTCCACCAGTGGGAGAAACACGAACTTGGCTTCCAGTAAGTGTGTGGTGTTTCATTTCTGGAATTCCTCTAGGCTTTCCAAAGTCCCAAGAAGTGACTTCTCCTGGCCCCACCACCACCGTGTCCTCCAGAGACCTCACAGGCCCTCAAGCCTGCTGGCTCTCAAATACCCAGCTCAGACAAGGGGGCCTCAACTCCACCATCTGAAAAGCTGGGCTGAAACATTCTCTCACTAATGAAAGAAATGCTAGAGAGCCAGTAGAAACTGTGCGTGTGAGAACAGCAAGCACCCAGTGATTCCGTAACTGTCCCCTGGGAACTTTCTCGGAACAAGGACAGGACAGAAAGCCACAAGGAATCTACTACAGATGCTCAGGGCTTTGGCTCCAGAGCTCACCTGTCTGGGTAGAATCCTGGCTCTACCACTGACTAGTTCTAGGACCCTGGGCAAAGTACTTAACTCCTCAGTGCCTCAGTTTCCCCATCTGCAAAATAGAAATGGCAACAGTGCCTACTTCACTGTATAGGGATTAAAAATATGAACTTTGGAGTCAGAAAGCCTGAGTTTACACCCCAGCTCTACCATGGCTAGCTACAGAACCTTAGGACTCCTTACCCTGTCAGGGCCTCAGGTTTCTTATCTGTGAAATGGACCTAATAATAGTATCTACTCACAGCATTGTTCTGAAATAGTATCTACGAACAGCTAACAACAGTAGGGCCTACAAAATCGTGTGTTAAATAGTAAAAACATACTTTAGGGGTGCCTTGAGGAGATAAACCTGCTGAACATAATCCCTGGTACAGAACTAGTTTTCTCCAAGTGTTCTAGCACCTTCCAGTGCTGTTGTGGGGAGACGAGATGCACCCTTCTATGCCAGGGGAGAGCAGGGGGGATAGGCTAGGACAGAGGATTCCAATGAGGAACAGGGCGTGGGAAGGGACTGGATAAAGGCGTGATTGAGGGAAGGAGGGTGGAGGGCCCCAGGCATGGAACTTTGAGTCACTCATCTAGCTAAGTCTTCTGCATGAAACTGCATACGACCCAAACAAACAAGACAAATCTGTCCTGTTCACACAGCAAGCAGGCACTAATTGTAACATAAGAGTAAATGCTAGAAAAGGAAGAAGCATAGAGACCCTCTGTCAACAGACATAAACAGACTTTTCACATCCCAGGGCAGCCCCCAAATACAGGACACTGTGATGTAAACAACCTTCCTATCAAATGGACTGTATCCCAACAGAATGTATCAGGAACAAATCAATTCATCTCTCATTCTATCAAAAATCAAATGCAAGTAAAACCACCTATCAGAGCAGATAACACAAACGATCCCGCATTAACAGACTTCATGTCATCCCAATCAAAAGGAAAGAAACCTGACGCTACAGGCTCTTGCAGATCCCACGAAACATCACGACAGTTACATCTCCAGCAGGCTTTGAAAAACTGAAACTCTTCTTCCAAAACCCTTAGGGATACCAGGAGCCCAGGCTGGGGTGGACACCCTAGCTTTCCCCGTCCCTTTCTCATGTGTGTGCCTGTGTGTGTGCACATGGGTGAGTGTGTACGTGTGTGTATGCCCATGTGCATGTGACAGGGAGGAGGTGAGGAAGGATAGCTCCCTACTTCACTTCCTGGGTTTGAGGAAAGGCTGTTTTAAGGAAACAGACACTTCCCAGTTTTGACCACAAAGTCTGCCAGAAATAAATTCCAGGCGATGAACAAATTACAGAAAGAGTGCAGAGAAGTAATGAGTGGCAGGGACCCTGGGGGCTGGGGGACAAGCCAGAGGTGCTTCCTACAGGGGCCAGGGTCAACAGTCCCTGCCTGGCCAGGCTGCACTCTGGGGAGCTCCAGCTCAGCGACGGGTGGCAGCCGGCAGCGTCCAGCCCGATGAGGTGGCCAGAGAAACATGTGAATAACGACACTTCCTCTGTTTGTCTCAGCTTTTGGTTGCCTGGGGCTACGGGACCACAGATTCAGAGTTGGCTTGCCAAAAATAAGAGATTACAGGGCTGTACAGAACATCACAAAAAAATAACAGTCACGCCACAAGCTTCCACGTGCAAAGACTGGGTTTGACTTCGTTTTCCTTCCTGTTGGTTCCTTGCTGGGAAGGGAATCCAACTATAACTTAAGGACTTGCAGCCCCCACAGAAGAACATCTACTTACATACACAACGTGCAGAACTAAATGCGCCCCAAAAGCCCCAAAGCCATTGTTAATAACAGGAAAGAACAAAGAGCAAATGAACGGACAGGGTCATGATTACTTCTTACTGAGTTCTACACACAAACCCCATGATTTGATTACAAAAATCCTTCTGTACAAATATGGGTTGAAATAAATGAGGTGATGCTCACCCCTCTATTTCAAGACATCATTTATGGGCAGACAATACATAATAAAGACAAGAGCACCTCGTTCAAATAAAAACTAGCGTGTACACAGGGTGCTCGTCAGCAAATGGACACCCACTCCACCCTTGTACAAAAGCTGCAGCAACAGTCCCATTACATGGAGTAAAAAAACAGATCCGCTGTTGGATTGAAACTAAACTCAGAAACACAATGAGTGAGGAGTCGGGTCTCTATTCTGTTTATTCCAAGGTTGCACAATTCTTGCATCCCCTCCAAATAAAGACCAGCAGGGAAGGAAAAGTCGGTGATGTCATCTGTTGACTGAGATCGCTCTAAAGCCAACATAATTTGATGGGTGTTTTCCTCCTAGGAACCTGGACTGAATTCAAAACATAGCATAACATCTGAGTCTGAACCACGGCCATTGTACCATCATGCGCTTCTCATCTCGGGCTGAGGGCTAATGGTTCAATGGGTCTTTTTTGTCCCCAGTTGATTAGTAAGACTATGAATAAAAGCCAATGTATCTGAACAATAAGGTTTAAGGCTGATAAGGGACCTGTTGTTCAGGGAGCTTTTAATTACTCTTTATAACTGTGTGGACAGCTGGGAGTCCAGGGTCCACACAAACTCAGCCCAGCACCACCGTAACAAATGTAAATACTTCCTCACAGGTATTTTCTCTTCGTCCTCAAGAATGATGTGGGTAAGAGATAACAGTCCAGATGCAAAGTATCCCTCAAAGGGAACTTTTGTTTTTTATAAAACTCCTCTAAGTACAAAAGTACTTCAATGCCAAAACCCTGGAACACCAGAAAGAATGGAGAAAAAAAATAAAATCTTCCATGACTCATCCAATCATCCAAAAAAAGTCACTATTACTATGTTGATGTATGTCTAGACAATCTTTTTCCTATCTACTTATTATACACATATACACTTTTTACAAAAGTAGCATCATAATGTTTTTATGTTTCAAAAAGCTGTTTTTTAAAAAAGTATCAAATCAGACATAATGAAATCATGGTCTGCTTATTTCCATCAATATACTGTGAACATGGTCATATTAATAAATATTTTCCACAATTTTTTTTTTTTTTTTTTTGAGATGGAGTCTTGCTCTGTCACCCAGGTTGGAGTGCAGTGGCGTGATCTAGGCTCACTGCAACCTCCGCCTCCCAGGTTCAAGCGATTCTCCTGCCTCAGCCTCTTGAGTAGCTAGGACTACAGGTGCGTGCCACTATGCCCGGCTAATTTTTTGTTTTTAGTAGGGACAGGGTTTCACCGTGTTAGCCAGGATGGTCTCGATCTCCTGACCTTGTGATCCGCCCACCTCAGCCTCCCAAAGTGTGGGGATTACAGGCATTAGCCACCACACCCAGCCGATTTTTTTTTTTCTTTTTGACACAGGGTCTTGCTTTGTGAAGTTCGTGGCAGGATCATAGCTCACTGCAGCCTCAACCTGCCAGGCTCAAGCAATCCTCCCACCTCAGCCTCCTAAGTAGCTGGGACTACAGGCACACAAAACCATGTCCAGGTAATTTTCAAATTTTTTGTAGAGACAGGGTCTCCCTACGCTTCCCAGGCTGGTCTTGAATTTCTGGGCTCAAGCAATCCTTCCATCTCAGCCTCCCAAAGTGCTGGGATAACAGGTGTGAGCCATCACGCCCAGCCCCACAATGATTTTTTTTTTTTTTTTGAGACAGAGTCTCACTCTGTTGCCCAGGCTACAGTGCAGTGGCGCAATCTCAGCTCACTGTAACCTCCACCTCTCAGGTTCAAGTGATTCTCCTGCCTCAGCCTCCCAAGTAGCTGGAACTACAGGCGTGCAACCATGCCCGGTTAATTTTTGTATTTTTAGTAGAGATGGGGTTTCACCATATTGGCCAGGCTGGTCTCGAACTCCTGATGTCAGGCAATTCACCCACCTCAGCCTCCCAAAGTGCTGGGATAACAGGCGTGAGGCACCACCCGGCCCCCAAAATAAATTTTAATGACTATATACTACTATTTTCTAGGGATGGCCTTAATTTACTATACCAGTCACCAATTTTCATCATTCAGCTCATTTCCTGTTTTCCTCATTATAAATAATGCTACAATGAACATCCTTAGAGCTAAATGTTTACATATAGATTACTCTAGGTCAAGGCGTATGAATTTTTTTGTTTACACATTTTTACAGCTCTTGTTAGATACTGTCTGTCTTATTACCCTCCAGAAAGGGCCATGCCAATGTAAATACCTATCCGCAGTTTGAGTGTTCATTTAACCACAACCTAGCCAACACTGGGTATTACAACTTCTACTTATTTAACTCCTTTATTCTTCCCCCCTCAGAATTGACATTTATTAAGTTTATCATATTTGCCTGAAGTATTATTTATATAAAAGAAATTAAATAAAACAGATAAAAGTGAATCCTCCAACATAGTTTCATTTTTTTCAGCTTACTTAACCCCTTTTAATATTTGAAAGTTTAGTAGATAAAAACTTAGCTCAGTGAAACTTCAATTTGTATTTCTTTTATTACTCATTCAGTTGAATATTTTTTATAGTTCAATGGTGGAATTATTTCCTTTTTGTGAATACCTTGCTCATACCATTTACCTTTTCTATTAAAGCATGCTTTTTTTATTAAAATGTTAAAATTTCATATTTTAAATGCATCAACCCTTTATCATATATTGCAAGTCGAATGTCCTACTTCGTTATCCTTTTATTATTAAACTGTTAGTAATGTTTTTAATTACTATGTAGTCAAGCATCTCCATCTTTTCTGATTTCTGCCTTTGCTGAAATATCTAAATTATATGGCTTTTCATCTGTATTTTCTTCTGGTCTCTTCTGACTTTACTGTTTAAATGTAATTCTTTAATCCATCTGGGATATATTTTGGTATACGAACTAAGGTAAGATGTTTACTTTGGTTTTCAAAATAGTTAACTTCTAATATAATACTATGAATATTTTACAATTTTACCATGAGTGTGAAATGTAGCCTTTTTTATATACTAAATACCTAGATACAGTTAGTCACATTTGCAGATTTTCTACTTTAACCTGCTTATATAGCTGTCTCTTCTGGAGCTAGTACCACACAGCTTTAATTATTATATTTTTACAGTTTGTTTTAATATCTAGCCAGTAGTGGTCTCCCAGCCTTATTCATTATGACCTTTTTGAATATTTTTTGGTTCTTATCACCTGTTTAATCTTTCACCTGTACTTAAGAATCATTTGGTCAAATGGAAAACAAAACAAAAACTCAACCACCTTTTGAGGTTTTCAATTTTAAAATTAATCTAAAGTATACACTTCTTTACAGTATTGGGTTTTTCTGTTCACTAACATAGCATTTCTTTTAATTTATTTAAGACTCTTCTTGGATTCCATATATAAGAATGTATTCTTATAATTCCTAGTAATTTTATATTTTATGTTGCTATTGTGTATGGATTTTTTAAATTATGTTTTCTGATTGGTTATTTATGACATACAGGGAAGCTATTAATTTTTAATACATTATTTTTAAGTCAGTCATCTTCATAAACTTTCTTCTTAGATCAAATATTTCTTCATTTAATTCCTTTGAATGGCTAAAGTAAACCATCTAAAAATAGTAATAATCACTTAGGGAGGCTGAGGCAGGCACTTGAGGTCAGGATTTCAAGACCAGCCTGGCCAACATGGTGAAATCCCATCTCTACTAAAAATATAAAAATTAGCTGGGTGTGGTAGTGGGTGCATGTAATCCTGGCTACTCTACTTGAGAGGCTGAGGCAAGAGAATCACTTGAACCCGGGAGCTGGAGGTTGCAGTGAGCCGAGTTCACACCACTGCACTCCAGCCTGGGCAATAAAAAAAAATAGTAATAATCTTATATTTTCTCCCCATTATTATTACTTCTTATTTTTCGTATCTTATTACACTGGCTAACATATCCGGAACCATGTTAAACAGTAGTGATAACATGTATTCTGGCCCCTCCCTCATCAGGGAGCAATATATTGAGGTACTTGATGGGCCAGCCCTGGTGCTCCTGCCCAAGTCCCATGGCCAGGGACCTGATGTTAAATGGAAGTTCAGGTGACTGGGTGACTGATTTCCGCACATTTACAATGCAGAACATAACGCCTTTGAGAAACATAAAAGATACTCTCTACTAAAGCAGACCAAATGATGACCACGCTAACAATTTCCCATGGTAAATGCAAGACGTGGCCAGGCACAGTGGCTCAAGCCTGTAATCCCAGCACTTTGGGAGGCCGAGGTGGGTGAATAACTTGAGGTCAGGAGACCAGCCTGGCCAACATGGTGAAACCCCGTCTCTACTAAAAAAAAATGCAAAAATTAGCCAGGTGTGGTGGCATGTGCCTGCAATCCCAGCTACTTGGGAGGCTGAGGCAGGAGAATCACTTGAACCCCGGAGGAGGAGAGGTGGAGGTTGCAGTGAGCCGAGATAGCACCAATGCACTCCAGCCTACGTGACAGAGCAAGACTCTTGTCTCAAAAAAAAAAAAAGCAAGACTTGACAGGGAGTAGGTTGAGATGAAGATAGCTAACGTCCAACTTTTCATCGGCCCTGCAGCAAAGGTATGTTCAAAGCATAGTGGCCATGGAGACCAGTGGCTACCTTCCCAGCTCTGTGCTTCCTCAGCCTCTCTCAAGATGAGGCAGGCAGGTTCTCACCCATTCCTTTACCTCCTCTTTCCCCAGCTGGGGCCACTACCCCCTCCTCCAGGAAGCCTTCCAGGCCCATCCAGATGGAAACTGGCCACTGGGCCTTTGGACCTGGCAGAATACTCATTGGCTTTCACCTGCTCCCTGGCATGACATTCCAGGACCCAATCACACCTCACTATGCAAATGTGGCCATCTGACTCCTCACCCAAACTCCACAAAAGTGCCAAAAAGGACCTCCATTTAAGAACCATAAACTACATTTGAAGAGGTATTTTTTCATCCAAATAGTTAAAAGTCCTTTTGCTTTAAAGGGTTCACTTTTCAGGAGAGGCTAGAAGGGGCCCTTCAGGATGGGACTTAATACTGATTATGTGCCAGGCAATGCTCAGTACTTTGTACCTTCAATCAAATTTAAGCTGCACAGTAACCCTGAAATTATATGACAAATCAGAAAACTGTGGTGCAGAATTACCGTATGATGCGGCAATTCCATTTACGGGCACACACCCAAGAGTTGAAGGCAGGGACTTGAATAGATATTTGCACACTCATGTTCATAGCAGCATTATTTACAATAGCCAAAAGGTGGAAGCAGCCCATGTATCTATCAATCAATGGATGAATGGATAAACAGAATATGGTCTATATATACGATGAAATATTATCCATAAAAAAAAGGAAATTCTGACACAGGCTATCACATAGGTGAACTTGGGGCCATTCTGCAATGTCATAAGCATATATATTTACATGAGGTTCCTAGAACAGTCAAATCCATAGAAACAACTATAATAGAATAGGGGCCACCAGGGGCTAGAGAAAGGTGGGAATGGGGAGTTAGTGTTTAATGGCAACAGTTTAGGGATGATGATCAGTTAGGGATGATGATAAAGTTCTGGAAGTGGACCACGGTGATGACTGTACAACAATGCGAATACACAATGCCACTGAACTGCCCACTTAATAATAGTTCGAGTGGTAAAATTTGTGTTATGTATGCTACCACTATAAAATAAAGAAGAAAGAGCCGGGCGCGGTGGCTCACGCCTGTAATCCCAGCACTCTGGGAGGCCAAGGCAGGCAGATCACAAGGTCAGGAGTTCGAGACCAGCCTGGCCAATATGGTGAAACCCCGTCTCTACTAAAAATACAAAAATTAGCCGGGTGTGGTGGTGGACACCTGTAGTCTCAGCTACTCAGAAGGCTGAGGCAGGAGAATCGCTTGAACCCGGGAGGTGGAGGTTGTAGTGAGCCAAGATCGGGCCACTGCACTCCAGCCTGGGAGATAGAGCGAGACCCTGTCTCAAAAAAAATAATAAAAATAAAAACAAATAAATAAAGAAGAAAGAAAACTGTGGCTCCGAGAAATGAAAAGTCACTTGCCCAGCTAGCAAGCCATGAAGATAGAACTCAAACATCCTATGGTCAAATCCGGAGTCTAAATTCTAAAATACACCAGACTCATCTACCAAATTCTTCTGCACACATCTCTCTCTTGGGTGGACACTCCCTTCTCCTGCCCACCCCATGGGTGAAATCCACCCCAGGGTAAAATTTGAGCCGGCTTTCAAGGGTCAGCTCACATAGGACCTATTGGCTGAAGCCTCTCTTGGCTCTCCCAGGCAGATTTTAAAGATTTCTCTTCTCTGTTCCACTGGAACCTTAGTACAGCAATCTTCACATTTCATTTTCATCTTTTCTTTGTAGGTCTTCCCAATAGACAAGAAGTTTTTTGCAAAGAGGACCTTATCTGTACTTCTAATGCCCAGATCAGCACCTGCCAGATGGCCAATAAATGTCAGCTGAATGGATGAATGGATGAATAAATGAATAAATGAACGGATGAAGGAATGAATAGGTGAATGAATAAACGAACAGGGTTTTCTTAGCAGCAGAAACCACAACACTAATTCACTTTGTTTAAACAAACCAAAGGCTGTGATGGTGCCATGAAGGTGACCACATGCTTTCTCCTTGACACCCCTCCATCAGCCCACATCACTGCAGCCTCAGGTGTCTAGCATAATACTCTCCATTCTCAGCTCTGGGAGGGGCCATCTCATCGCTGTTACATCCAAAACATCCAAAAGCAAGGACAAAGTCACCTTGAATCCAGTGCACTTAAGGGAACCACACTTAGTGTTGCGGGATTTAGGAGGACGAGAGAGATCTCGGGTTGAAACAGGAGAATTTTTATATAAAATTAAAAAAAAATAAGTTTTCCTGTATTAAGCTAACTTGTCCCAAAGGCAGCAAAGGCATGGCCCAGACCCAAAAAAGTCTTAATAATATTATCTAATACGCTCCTAAAAACTCTCGCAGCACTCCCTCAACATAAAAAAAAAAAAAAAAAAAAATTTCCTTTGTTTTATAAAATTTATAAATTCCTGTTCTCTATAACTAGTAACTTCAAGTATTCTGTTTTATCTAAAAAATACAACAAAAGTCATAAAAAGCCTAAATAAGCCTAAACTACAGCTGCCTGGGCACCATAATAAAGGTTATAAAATAAGCCTTTGCCCAGGCAAACCTAAATAACAAACATCTAGGTTGCTTGGCAACAGTCATATACAATCCTGTCTTTGTCCTGCCTCAATATCCCTGCTTTCGCACCACTATGAGCTTATTTCAAGCTAGCCCACCCCCTTTTATAAAATATATATAAATGTCAAGTACTGTCTTTGTTCCAGGCCCAGTCTTTTAAACGTAAGTCAGCTGGGCCTGAGTACACTCAGTAAAAATTCTCCTGTTTCAACCCAAGGTCTCTCTCGTCCTCCTAAATCCTGCAACATTAGCACCTGAAGTTCCTATAAGAGAGGGCCCAGGCGCTGTGGCTCACGCCTATAATCCCAGCACTTTGGGAGGCCAAGACGGGCGGATCACAAGGTCAGGAGATGGAGACCATCCTGGCTAAAACGGTGAAACCCCATCTCTACTAAAAATACAAAAAATTAGCCGGGCATGTTGGCGGGCACCTGTAGTCCCAGCTACTTGGGAGGCTGAGGCAGGAGAATGGCGTGAACCCAGGAGGCGGAGCTTGCAGTGAGCTGAGATGGCGCCACCGCACTCCAGCCTGGGGGACAGAGCGAGACTCTGTCTCAAAACAAAAAAAAACAAAAACAAAAACAAAAAAAGAGAGGGCCCAGGAACATACCCAGCAGGATTAAGTGCTGGCCCCGGAGCCAGATGACCATCATCTGAGTCCTCATTCAGCCTCATACTAGTTGGGTAAGTCCCTCAGCCTCTCCCTTCTGCGATGCTCTCATGGGTAAAGTAGGCGACATTTCCCACCCTATCTTACAGAGTGAGGGTATAGCATCCAAGGAGGGAGCAGCTGTGAGCAATGGTTCCTGCAAACTACAAATGTAGAAGGAAACTATTCTGATTCCTCTGCCCTCTGGAGATCAGGAGGGAATCTCCATCAGCGGCAGGAATGGACTGGCCCTGGAGATGGTCCATATCATGGCTGAGAGTGCCTGGACCCCGCAGGCTGTGTGCTGTCAGAAGGGTGACACTGGAGGAAGAGGCTAACAGGGCCTCTGCCAAGTTCCCTCCCCAGCATGGAACCACCTATCTGCCCACCCCATCAGGAAGCAGAAAGAAGAAGGCTCACAAAAGGGAGCAAAACAGGATTTACTCTCAGCCATGCGGTGAGATCAGAGCAAATCTCGAGGAGCGGTGCCAGGCTCAAGGGAATGGAGGTAGCCATTCCAGCCAGCCACAAATGGTGAGCCCTAGAGGGAGGGCTCAAGGGTCCTCAGTGGGGAGAGCTAAGAGGGCTGCCTTTCTGGGGACCCCTGGTTGCAGGTACTCATTCTCATCTCTGCAAACATCTTTGCACTTGCCACACCAGATGAGCCAGTGCAGAGTAGGGAAAACACACCCAAACCAAGTTCTCACATCACAGGTCAAGATAAATGTGACTAGGGGTCAGTGAATGAGTACACGGGCCTCAAAATAAAGCCTAAAATTAAAGCCACAATGACACAGCACCTAACACCCACTCGCATGGCTATAATCAAAACGACAGACAATAGCAAGTGTTGGCAAGGATGCGAAGAAACCGGGGCCCTCCCACACTGCTGGTGGGAGTGTAAAATAGCACAACCACTTTGGGAAACAGTCTGACTGTTGCTCAGAAAGTTAAATATATTTGCCAGTAACATGGCCAAAAAAAAAATTAAACATAGAATGACCACATGACCCCACAATTCCACTCCTCGGTATATACCCAAGAGAACAGAAAACACACGCCCACGCAAATGCTTGCCCACAAATGTACATTATTCATGCACAATAGCCAAAACAGTGGACACAACCCAAATGCCATCCATCGATGAATGGGCAAACAAAATGTGGTCTACTCATAAATGTAATATTATTCGACCATAAAAAGTCATGAAGTATTGATACATATTACAACTTGGATAAACCTTGAAAACATTATGCTAAGGGAAAGAAGCCAGCTATAAAAGGCCACATATTGTATTATTCCATTTATATGAAATGTCCAGAACAGGCAACGCTATAGAAATGTAGTGGTTGCCATGGGCTAGGGGTGCAAGGGGAGAGGTGGGGAATGGGGAGCAGCTGATAATTGGTAGGGTTTCTTTTTGGGGTGGTAAGAATGTTCTGATATTAGATGGTAGTGATGCTTCCACAATTCTGTGAATATACTAAAAAGCACTGAGTTATACACTTTCAGAGAGTGAATCTGAGGGTATACAAATCATATCTAAATTTTTTTAAGATTTTTTATTTTTATTTATTTATTTTTTTGAGACAGGGTCTTGCTCTATTACCCATGCTGGAGTGCAGTAGTAGAATCAAAAATTTTTAGAGTCAGTATACTCATGTAAGCTAACATAAATGAGAAAGAGAGAGAGCGAGAGAAAGAAAGGAAAGGAGGAAGTGGGAAGGGGAAAAGAGGGGAGAGGAGTGGAGGGAGGGGAGGGGAGGGGAGGGAGATACTCTTACTCAGAAATTTTCTTTCTTTGAAAATCCCTTATGACATTTCTAAGAAGAAGCAAGAATAGTGTGACCTTTGCAAATTACCTTAAAGACAAAGAGGAGAAGAAAGAGCCAAGCTAATACATGAAGAGGGAAAACAACCAGAAAAAATGACATTTCAGACACAATCATGGACAGAAATCCTACAAGTCAGTAGGGGCCACCTTTACCTGCCAGGGGGACCACAAAAATAGGGGATTTCTGTCAAGAAGGCAGGAATGTTCAGCAGAACACAGCTTCTGAATCATCTGACTCTCTCAGAACCAAGACAAAACAGTTCAAATGCCTACAAGCCACAGGACCCAGGAAATACCGCAGAGTGGACACTTTCCCCCTCTACATAAAAGAACCTATTTCTTTTCTATGCATCAGCTTCTCCAGTCCATCTTTCATTAAAAGGACTTGCCATGGAATGAAAACTCATATTTCAGGACTAAGATGGACAACAGGCCTTCTCCAGCTCTTCTCTGAAAAGTGAGCTTTTCGGTAGAGAACGAGCTTCCTTCACAAGAAGGGCACTCCCGCTGGGTGTGAGCCAAACGCACATGCACGACACTTGCGCAGCTAAGAATACGCACAGTGGGGAAAAGGCACAGAAGCAGCCCCCGTCCTGCCCGAGTGCCACATCCCTTTCTGGGCTTTCATTCCCCCACCCCCACCGCCTGCAAAATGAAAGAAAGATTGCAATAAACAAGGTGTAAGTCTCAAACCTGCTCTTCACCTGGAGCTTGTAATCAGGTGTCAGGCTCCCATCCACCCACAAGGAACAGAGAGATTTTGGTGTTGAAGCTTCAACCTGCCCTGCGAGCCAATCTTTATTTCAAAGTACTTTGTGCTGTAAGCTAACGGGAAAAAATGATCAAATGCCTCAAATCTCCCGTAAGCAGGGACTGTGCCTGGGGGGAAAGGTGCTCACCAAGGTGGGGGCACATCGGGTGTCTCCTGGTGCTTTCTGCTGGCACTAACATTCTAAAACATGAAGCATTAAGTACAGCAACATGGATCTTCCTTTTTTAACATGGAAAATACGTTTTCATAGAGCAGGAGGGAAAAGAACTCTCTAAAAAACAGAGCTGAATAGGCTTAGCAAGAAAAGAAATTCAGGAGATGGAGAGGAGGAGCTCTAAAACATCCACAAAAAAATAAACCATTTCATAGCAATGCTGACCATTTTAATTGATTCTCGACGACAGAAGAACACAAGAAAAGGTAGATGATGTAATGCGATGGCTGCTGAAGGCAAAAGTCACAAAACAAATTTAGCCCTTCGAATACCACAGTAGCCACGGGTCAATATAAAAAGCTTCAACGGTCAGGAGCAAAACTGGGGTGAAGGGGCTACTCCCCCATACATGTAATTTGTCCAAGCCCTGCCATAGCCACCACCTCCCTGGATCCTCAAAGCAACCCTATTATGCAAGACATGCTGATCCAGGTGCATCTGACGATTCAGAAAACCAGGACCAAGCCGTGGGGCACCGAGCCTGAGCTAATAAGCAGCAGAGTCGACCCTGGCACGAAGGTCTCCCAGCTCCATGAAGATGCATCATCAAGAAGGTTGGGCCTCAAATTCTTTCCATTACACTTCATGTTTCTCCCTGGATTATCTCCATAAAGGAGAAAAACAATACCCAGAACACAATTCCAACTCTGAGAAATTGTCTGATCTTCCTCCTTGTCTCTGCCCCTCAAAAAAAAAAAAAAAAAAAAGAGGCCAGGTGCGGTGGCTCTTGCCTGTAATCCCAGCACTTTGGGAGGCCGAGGCGGGTGGATCACAAGGTCAGGAGATCGAGACCATCCTGGCTAAAACAGTGAAACCCCATCTCTACTAAAAATACAAAATATTAGTTGGGCGTGGTGGCGGGCGCCTGTAGTCCCAGCTACTTGGGAGGCTGAGGCAGGAGAATGGCGTGAACCTGGGAGGCGGAGCTTGCAGTGAGCTGAGATCAAGCCACTGCATTCCAGCCTAGGCAACGGAGGGAGACTCTGTATCCAAAAAAAAAGAAAAGAAAAGAAAAATGCCATCTGCCCGTGGTGTTTCCCAAGCAGACATGGGAGGTGCTGAGCCTAATGAACCTCATAAAAGCCCACGCCAAAGCGATTCAGAGAAATGCAAAAGATGAGTGCCAGGCAAGGGCAAGGCAACCTCGGAGCAGCCTACGTGACAGAAATCAGCTCAATCTGGCCCCGCATGGAAGAAGGCTCCCGGGCCTCCCAGAAGAAGGATTAAGTTCAGTTGATGAATGCATGGCATCAGTTACTCCTCTTGATTGCTCTCCAAATCCCCCTCTGGGATGCAAGGGGAGATCTAGGGCATCAACCCAGGGCTTCTGTAGGAGAGAAGAGACACCCAATATACCACCGTCTTGGTGAGCATCTTCCATGCTGGGTGCAGCCTCCCACTTAGTAGGAGACGTATGATATCTGATCATTTTCTGCCTATATATTACAGAAAAAGTACTTTTAAATAACAGGTGGATGGAAGGGCAGGATAAAACTTGAACACCAAAATCTTTCTGTTCTTCCAGGATGGATAGGAGCCCTGTACCTGAGGGCAAACTCAAGGTGGGTGCTGTGTCTGGGATTGTTGTAAAGCACCTGTCACAAGGCTGGGCACAAAGCAGCTTTCATGAGCAGGCTGTCTAACTGCTACAAAACAAACGTTCCTCTCGCATTCTAGGATATGCAAGGGCCATTGGCCCAGAGCTTGGATTGGAATCCCAGCCCTCGCACTTGCAGGCTCTGTGGCTTCAGGCAAGTCATTTCACTTCTCTGGACTGCTCATTACTTCATTTATAACAGGAGGATAAGCCTATCTATCTTCGGGGTTGATGGAAGGATTAGAAATGGTGTATGCAGGGCTTGCGTCCCACAGATTCCCGATAAATGATATCAATTATCTGCTCCCTCCAAACTCCTCACTTTCTTCTAACCATCTCTTGTGAAAAGGACAGAATCACACAACTCCTACCCATGACTCCCGGCAGGTCTGTGGAGAGGTCCAGAGAGCAACTGCTAGGGTCATCCCCTTCCCGAGCTCACTGGAGGACAAGAGGACTCAACACGTGTCCTTGTGTCCTTTAGAGTGACAGATGCCTGGGTTTGCCTAGGACAGCCCTGGTTTGCACTGCTGTCCTGCAATCATTTTTAGTAGGATATAGAAGTGTATTCGTTTGGACAAGAACCTAAACGTTCATCCTACAAAGAGGGCTGAAGCCCCATCTAACTGTGCAAAGTGACACAACAACACGCCACCAATGCTGTGCCCAAGCTGTGGCTTTCTGCCCAGTTTCCATTTAAAACTCTGAAGCTAAAGTTGCACTTCCTCCAAAAGATTAGGTCCTCCCTCACTGGGCTCAGAGTTAGCTCCAAAATATCTGTCAAGGCCTCAGGGACAGTTTCCTCATTCAACTCTCTCCTTGCTTTAAGGATGGACCCATCCTACCTGCTTTTTCATCCCCTGTGATTTCTGCAGCTAATGAGCTAAGGTACTAAATAAATAAATAACAGTAATTAAAAAAAAAACAAACTCCCAGCTGAAGCAAAAAGGCATGAGATATGCCTGTCCACACAAAGAAGCTGCTCGCCTCTGCCAGAACTGGCTAATAATGGGTCCTCCCTTTGCTTTCAGTTCTGCTGGGTCCATACTATCCCTTGGTTTGACACTACAAAAGAGGAAGGAGCCACCAGCCACACCCGGCTGGAGAGAAGAGAGCTCTGCCCTCTGCCAGGCCTCTCCCACGCTGCACTGCTGGGCATGGTAGGCCCTACATGACTAAATGCTTCCTTAGCCGAAACACCCACTGGGGAAGAATTTGTCACCAATACTTCCAGCAGCACGACCCTGCAGCCCTGCCTGGAAGCTCAGCAAACTGCAAGGCAGCGGGGAAGAGGGCAGAGGTCTGGTTCAGCGAGGAATGCAACCCCCCTAGCAGACAATGCAAGGAATCCACCATGAAAAACGGAGGGGCTTGAATTCAACAGCACAGCAATGGCCACTTATAAAGTTGGCCTCATTTGAATGCCAAAAAAGGCTGAAAATTCAAAGATAGCAAGAGTTATTGATTTGACGGGCTGTTTTCTGGGAACACTGCTTTACATCTGCAGGGCCAGATGTGTTGTCAAGAAAATCAGGCTCCAAATTCTCCAGAGATTATTTGGAGGAGGAAAAAAAAAATAGCGAAAAGTAAAATTTTTATTTTCTTGCATAAGAAGTCTTCTTACAGGATTATAAGCCCTATAAGCTACATTATACCTTTTTTTTTAAGATGGGGTCTCACTGTCTCCCAGACTGAAGTGCAGTGGCACAATCATAGCTCACTGCACCCTCAAACTCTGGGGCTCAAGCAATCCTCCTACCTCAGCCTCCCAAGCAGCTAGGACTACAGGTATGTGTCACCACGCCCAGCTAATTTTTTATTTTTATTTTTAGTTATTGATTGATTGATTGATTGATTGATTTTGGTAGAGACAAGGCTTCACTTTGCTGCCCAGGCTGGTCTTGAACTCCTGGCGCCTTCAAGTGATCCTCCCACCTCAATCTCCCAAAGTGCTGGGATTACAGGCATAAGTCACCATGCCCAGCCAATAAGAAAGCTTCTTATACATCGTTGTTTTTCCTGCTATGTTCAAAACGCAAACTCATGTACATAGGCTTGAAGTTGAAACAATCCTTGAGACTTCTTCCTGATCTCACTAAGTGACAGTGAAGTGAGATAACCCATCTGGAATCAGGTGGCATGCAACTGCATCTTTGGTATATGAAAGATGAACAGATGAATGGTCAATTGATAGATTAGATAAACAATAGATATATACAGATAGATTAGAAAGATGATAGATTAATGATAGATTAGGATAAGTAAAACAGATAAGTGATAATCAATAGATATAGAGACGATGGATTAAATAGAGATGATAGACCATAGGTACAGACAGATGTCATATCAAGATAGATATAGACCAGATAGATATATATCAATATATAGATAGATTAGATAAATGATAGGTAGGTAGGGAAATAGATAGATGGTAGATTTGGTAGACGATCATTTCGTAAGCTTCTGGAGGCCACCTGGCTATAGAATTCACCTATCCCAGGTCATGCTAGATAGATAAATATATATTAATAGATAGATAGAGATAGATGATAAAAAGATAAAGATGGATACAGACAGGTGTGAGAGAGAGAGAGAGGGAGATCTTTTCACACTTGTTCCAAAGGTGTCACAATGATTACTTTCAAATAGTATGGCACAAAAAAACTCACTTTTTCCATAGTCGTAAGACATAAGAATTGATTGTCTCCACTTTACACATGTGGAAATAGCCATCTAGAAACACATTAGGATGATCACGCTCAGACAGAAAGCACTAGAAAGGGAAGTTAAACTTAGATCTGATTCTTGGAGCGCTCCCATCCTGTCCTGTTGAGTTACTTACAATCCCATCCTCTGAAGCCTGGTCCAATAAACCGTGCCCAGCTGTGGGAGCGGGGCTGGGAAGGAGGTGAATGGCTGCCTTAAGAGTCCATGATTCTATGTTATTATCAGGCCCTTTTGATTTTTGTCTCACAGGCTCCCCACAAGGAAAGATTCCAGTCCTGACCTATCATTAGAGAGTGATTAGGTCATAAACACTACAGATTCAACCTAAAGACAGTAGGGTTTTCTCAGGGAAACCAGCACAGCAGGTGGCCACAGGCTGGGGACAGCAGTCCACATTCCAGTTCCCCTCTGCCCCCGGCACCCACCCTGTCCCACCAGCCAGCCCTGCTCTTGCTCATCACCACTTACTCCAAGTCCTAACCAGTGCCCTTTTAGGGAATTAGCCAAGTAAAACCTTCCCGAACACCAAGGACAGCAACTGAAGGAGGAGGCTCTTTCTGGTGACAATTAGCTCAGCCCCTCCATGGTTAAGCTTCTGGGGAGCATCTGGCTGTAGACTCCACCCTGGCCAGATAGCAACAGTGTGATCCCACTCCCTTCGTGAAGAGGACAGGACAAAGCAGGGAGCAGAGGGCAGCTCTGGGTTTCGGAAAATCTTGGCAGACATTCATTCGGTTTCAACAGAAGTCCAACTATCAGAACAAGCACTGGGATCCATGATTCTTAATCCCAGCTATCACCTTGAGGCTTTCAAAACGACCAATGCCAGGCCCACCTAGAACAATTAAGTCAGAAGGTCTGGTCTCTGCATTTTGTTACAACTCCCCAGGGGATTCTAATGTGCAGTCAAGGTTTTTAAACCACTGCCCTAGTTCATTGCAAAATTCTCTTAACTGGACAGCAGCCTCAGCCACCGCGACCCAACCCCCAGCAACATCCTCTCTGTCATTAGGGGGAACACTTAGTCATATTCAAAGAAAGCTACCTCCCAAATGGGTTAACCAGAAAGAACTCTAATTTCTACTCACTGTCACTCCCCTTTATCATTACCATGGCAGTTAAGACGCTCTAAAAGCAAGGAATTTAAGCAAATGGCTTCACCCAACAATCACGGAGAGTCAAAGACAGAACCCTCAAAACCTAAAGAAATCAGTAATCACTTCTTAAGAAGAGAGAAAGGTCAGCTTGGGGAGGAAGAGGAAAAAAAAAGGGAGAAACAGCCCTTAATGGGTGACTTGGGGTCAGAGCCATGGATGGTTAAGTCAGAAAACACAAATCCCTTGGCCACCCACAGTCAATCTTCCCTTTAAAACTAATGTACCGGCCGGGCACAGTGGGACATGCCTGTAATCCCAGCACTTTGGGAGGCCGAGGCGGGTGGATCACCTGAGGTCAGGAGTTCGTGACCAGCCTGACTAACATGGTGAAACCCCATCTCTACTAAATACAAAAAAAATTAGCTGGGCATGTTGGTGCATGCCTGTAATCCAAGCTACTTGAGAGGCTGAGACAGGAGAATGGCTTGTACCTGGGAGGTGGAGGTTGCAGTGAGCCAAGACTGCGCCATTGCACTCTAGCCTGGGCAACAAGAGCAAAACTCCGTCTTAATAAAAAAAAAAAAACAAAAAAAAAAAAACTAATGTACCAAACAGGCACAGTGGCTCACGCCTGTAATCCCAGCACTTTGGGAGGCCAAGGCAGGAGGATCAACGGAGGCCAAGAGTTCATGACCAGCCTGGGCAACATAGCAAGACCCCATCTCTACTAACAAGTAAAAAATTAGCCGGGTGTAGTGGTGCACACCTACAGTCCCAACTACTGGGACAAGAGGATTGTTTCAACCTAGAAGTTCAAAGCCGCAGTGAGCTATGATCGCAACACTGCACTACAGCCTGGGTGATAGAGTGAGACACCGTTTCTAAAAAATAAATAAATAAAACTCTCTGCACCATTAATTTTTTTAAAAAGGGCAGAATGCTCACCTATTATGGGCTGTCATAAAAAGCTAAGAAAACCAACCCAAACCTAGGCAGGGAAAATGAAACAGGTGCTCTACCCTGGTTCCTGTCTTGAACAGAGAGAGGGATATTAAACGAAACTACTAAAAACTTACAGTGTGGTTAGGTGTTTTCTTAAGCGACTCCGTGGGTATATGCCTGCTTACTAAACACCCTTTCCCCTACAACTCAACACGGAGGCTACACCAGGACCAATCGCATTGCAAGCTTTGCAGGGGAGGTGGGCAGAGGGGGAGGCAGTGCCAGGATGGGTTGGTTTCCATCCTGTGCTTCCCCAAGCTCTG
Source organism: Homo sapiens (assembly GCF_000001405.40). Classification (NCBI taxonomy): domain Eukaryota; kingdom Metazoa; phylum Chordata; class Mammalia; order Primates; family Hominidae; genus Homo; species Homo sapiens. The sequence goes on along the minus strand of NC_000008.11, from coordinate 26,591,796 downwards.
GGATTCTCCAGAGGCAGAGGGGCTGCCATGGGGGGATGACAAAGAGAAAGCGGAGAGGATCTGGACTCCCCCACAGCCCACCTGCCACCCACCATTCCAACCAGAGCAGTTCTGCATTCATCAGTCTCATATCTCAGGTGGAGGGGGTTCCACGCAAGGTTTCACATGAGAAAGGGTTGCCCCGGGACAACAATGCTAAAGCTATCATGAGTAGAAGGAGTAACGGGTCTGGCTCCCATCAGACTCATTGGGCAGCTTCTCTGGCTGCCCCCACAGCCAGCTCCAGGCATGCAGGGGCCTTAGGAAAATGGAGAGGCCACGATCGCTGTCCTCAGAAGTCTCTGCCCAACTCACTCAGCCAGGACATAGGACAAGGGCACACTTAGACACATGTGTGTCGTGGAAGCTTTCATCTAGCAATAAGGAACCCTGAGACCCGACCACTGAATGCCTGACCCTCACATCCAAAGGTCAGGCAGAACTTGCTGGAGCCTAGCATTCCCATGGGCCCCACCTCCACTCCCGGTTCCAGCTGTCAATCAGGCCAGCAGGATCGACAGGAAGTTCCCAATAGTCTGTGTGACCCAGCTTTAGGGCAAGTCAGAGTCTAGGCTCTGGGAAACCCCCAGTGCTGTGACTCTCCATGTAAAACACCCATAGGCAGAGTAGGAACTGGGATGAGGGCACCTGAAGGGGTGGAAGATCACCACCCCAGTGAGTCAGGCTCATTTCCAGCACTGTAACTGCCAGCTCCCAGGGCCAGGTGGGGGCAAGAAACCCTGGGACAGTATGATAACTGCCACAATGTCCACGAAACAGAGTCTAGACACCCACTTGGGGATGCCCTTGCTTCTGGAAGGGCCTAGAAGTTCCTAACCCCCACAGGCCTACCCAGCCTACCTGGCTAGCCCAACCCAATGACTCCCTTCACAAGAAAAGCATTCGGTAAAGTGTGCGTGCTGGACCTTTGGGAAGAGCTGTGCTGTCTCTGAGGATGCTCCGCCATCCTTCCCCTGTACCGCACCAGGCATTAGGAGATCCCTCCGCTCTGCTCAGTGCCAGGCATTAGATCGGCCCAAACTATGCCAAGGGGGTGGATGGATTCTTCCAGTCCAGCCGTTCAAGGCCGAGATTCACGCAGTGACACCTGAGGGTGGATGGATTCTTCCAGTCCAGCCGTTCAAGGCCGAGATTCACGCAGTGACACCTGAGGGTGGATGGATTCTTCCAGTCCAGCCGTTCAAGGCCGAGATTCACGCAGTGACACCTGAGGGTGGATGGATTCTTCCAGTCCAGCCGTTCAAGGCCGAGATTCACGCAGTGACACCTGAGGGTGGATGGATTCTTCCAGTCCAGCCGTTCAAGGCCGAGATTCACGCAGTGACACCTGAGTGGACCCAGGCTCCCGGCATCTGCTTGCAGAGGGCACCCGTGTCCTTAGGAGAAATGTGTGACCTCAACCATGTGGAGACTGAGGGGACAAGGGGAGGAGCACAGAGAACCAGCCCACACCAATGGCCCATTGGATAACGTGGCTTTCTAATCGCCAGGCCACAGGCAGATTTTGTGGCAACAACTTTGGTCCTGGACTTTGAAACTTGGGTCTGATGTGGTCGGGCGTTTTTGTAAACACTTTCTAACCCGAGTCAAATGAGTGCTGCAAAGGGAATAATCAAAGTATCAATTACAGACACATCCATATTACAGTGTGTGCATGCGTTCACACGTGTGTACTCGCCATAAGGAGGGAGCAACCCACATGCCACATGGATGAACAAATGACAAGCCGTGGATGTACCGCAGTGACATTCAGGAGCCACGTCCCTTCAGGAAGCCACCTCACCTTCCTCCCAGCCCTCCTGCCTCCATGGGGAGGCTCAGTAGGAAGAGCCGGGACAAGCCCAAGGCACTGGGGGAATGACTGCTGGGTCCACTGTGGTGCTGGGACCATGTGATTTCTCCATGTTGTGACCCTCTGTACTTGGAGAGCAGGCTTTCTCGCAAGAGGACCAATGAGAGAGCTGCTGTTCCCACCCTCTTCTGAAGAACAGCCCAGACAGAGGGAGCTGTCCCATCCACAACCACAGGCCATGCCTGGGCTCTCGGCTTCCTCTTTCTGCCACCCTCCCCCACCATGACCAGATCTGACCACAGGGACTCAGGGAGCTGGGGCTGCAGAGGGAGCCACTGCTGAGCAAGCGACAGCTTCCATCAGGGTGAACACAGTCCACGTCGGATACCTAAACCCTCCTCCCTCCTTGTGACACTAAGTCTCTTGGCATCACTCAGAGGAAGCAGGATATCAAGTATCGTCAGTGTATTCAGTCATTCATTCATTCACTCACTCATTCATTCACCCATGGGCATTAACAGAGTGCCTCTGAGGAGTGAGGCTGCCCAGGCGGCAGGAAATAGGAAAATGTAAGAGACAGAGGGGCCTTGATTGAACCACACGCAAGGCTGAATGCCACCTGGGCTGTGGGATAAAAGCCCAACGTTTGCGAAGAGGCCACACAGCAGCCACAGATCACAGGAGATCAGTGAATGGGAAGCACCCAGGCTGGGCCACCAAGGGTGATGAAGCTTCTAGAAGCAGGGAAAGAAAGGGAGGGCATCCCTGGCTGAGATGACAATGCAAGTCTGGGCTGGGGCAGCAGGAATAGGCCGCGTCGTGGAGGGTTCTGACACTTGGGCTGATTCTCTGAGCAAGAGGGAGTCACTGAAGGCTTCAGAGGAAGAAGGCGGCACAATGAAAGCTGCACCAGAAAAACAGCCTGGCGAGAGGCAGGAGGTGGGGGACAGACAGTAAGACTCCTCAGAGGACAGGGCCAAAATCCAGGAAGAGGTGACAAAAGTCAAATCTGTGTGGGTAAGGGAATGAGTGCAAGAGGTAACACAGAGATGAAAGCAACTCAAGGCAGCACGAGGACATGAAGATGCTAGGATGACTCTGCAGATACCGCCAGCACAACCTCCAGCGAGCCCTCTCCAGGACTGGGCACCGGAAAAGCAGCAAGGAGCAGACAGGGAGTCCAACTGGGGACAGTTGGATGGAGGTGCCTGATGCACATCCAGGGAGCCACAGCCAGGGGAGAAGTGACAAGGCTGGTACTCAGGAGGGAGGGCCCCTTCCAGCCCTGCGGCAGCAGCACCTCCCCTCCTCCTCCCTGCTAGAGTCCAGTCCCCATCTCTGCTGTGCGGTGCTACCCAGGGACCAGGAAGCCTGCTGGGTATGTTGTGCCTGAGGGTGCACCTCCTCTAGAGAGAGCCTGGAGTTCAGGTGAGCAGAAATGACATTCAGAGCAGTGGTTCCCAAGCCCTGGAGATCCAGAGTGTGCAGATCCGGCATGCACCCCTGAAAGTCATGCTTTCAAAAAGCTCCCCAAGCACCAGATTCGAATACAGAGTCACAGACCCCACCAGCAGATTTGCTACTTTAACCAGGTAAGGTGGGACCCAGGAAGTGTAATGTTTCAAGATGCCGCCCCCAGAAGCAACACACAAAGCACACAGTCCGCCAGCCACGCCTAGACAGCGCCTGCTCTCAGTGAATACTCAGGTCAAGCCCTACGGCAGCTCAGCCTGTTTCTCCGGCCATGCGGGGGAGAGTAGAGCTCAGTGTACAAGAGATGGGAGGGTGTCAGTACCCAGCAAGGATGGAATGACAATAGCTACCACATGGGAGTGCTCACTACTGGGCAGATGCTGTTGTGATGCCACCACAGTCCACCTTTGTCAAAACTTGCCCCATTTTGCAGATGAGGCCACTGAGGCTGAGAGCAAAGGTGGCCCCAGGGCAAGCGGTGAGGCCAGAGCTACAGGTGTATGTTCCACACCTGGCCACCTGCACCGACGCACAGGGTAAGTGTTGGCAAGTCGTGTCTGTCCTTCCGGCCTCAGTCTTCCCCTCTATAAAATAGAGGTAACTGTTCCCAGCTGCTTCCTAGAAACTCTGAGATCCTGAACTCAAATGACCATGAAGGCCCTGGGAAGTCCGTAGGGTTTTCCCCAAGCAGCAATGCGGCCGCCCCCGCAACCCCTCAGCCGGTCTGGATGCCGCCTGCAGGGTATGTCTGCAGTCTCTGCCCACCCACCACTGGGTGGAAAGGGCAAAGGGCGTTCCCCCTGCTCCACACTGAGTCCGCCTCATAAAGATCTCATTGTGTGATTCTCAATAGCAGGCTCTGTTTAATGGCAATAATATTATCTTCTGCTGCTGACATGCCATCTCCTTTTTTAAACCGAGAATATTTGGCTGTGTTTTCCTCTACATGCGGCGCCATTTCAGACAGAAAGGAGTCTCCAGGGCCTGTGACCTGGGAAACGCAGAGCCAGCAGGGAGGCAGGCGAGGATTTACCCGTGAGGGCAGGTGACATGGTGACATGGTCTGGAGAAGGCCAGAAAGCCAGGAGGGTGGAGTGCCCAGGGGCGGGGTGGCGGGGAGTTGGGAGGAAGAGGGAGATTTTTGTACCAATTCACTTCAATTTTTTATTTCAGCAAGCAGCAGTGGGCCTGTGAAGTTTTCAAAGTGCCCCAGGCATTTCTTTCTGGACTCAATATATTAAGTCAAAGAAAGTAGCAGGTCTTAGGTGCCAATGAAGTGGCATTAAGCTATTTCTCTTTGCAAGGCCTCCTTCTCTGTAAAGCAAATCCCAGCCACTCACTCACTTAAAGCAATGCAGAACGTCTGGTCAGCAAACAGAAAAAGGATAAAAATTCCTCAGTTCCTCACCTGTATTATTACCATTCCCTCCCCCGGGGAAAGGCAGGCTAGTAGAAATTCTACAGAGGTCAGTAAACATAGGTGGTTATTTGCAAAAGTAGTTAGTACTTTTCTCAGGCTATAAAAGCAATGGCATTTGGGGGTCACAATGCTAACCATACACTGCCCCCTCTGATGACTTTTATTCCTTGAGGTTCGCTCATTGGATGCCCCACTCTATAGCCAGATCGCATCACACAGCCTCCGTGCAAATGCCATAGCATTCTGGCCAAGGAAGCAGAGCAGGCGGTCAGACTCCTCACTCCCCTTTCCGGACCACCTGCCCATAAGGCCATCTGCTGACTCTTCTGAGCTCCCTGGGCCAGGTGCTGCACTCAGAGGGGGATGTCCCTCGTCCCTAAACAGAAGGAACCCATCTGGATGAATGGAAAAAAGGCCACAGCCTCTGAGGGGGAAGACGAAAGAGAAATTCGGGGTGGTGGCAAGAAGGTGATGCTCCTGTGGTGGGGAAGGGAAGGCAGGAAAGAGTCAAAAACAAGAACAAGAGTGGGGGCCTAAGCACGGGGCGAGCGTGTGGAGGGAAGAGGCAGACCCAGGAATGCAGGACAGGAGATGGTGGGCTGAGGGATTCTTTCCAGCAAGTGTGAGAGAAAACAGGGACTTTCTGTATCTGCTGAGCAACATGTACTTGATGAGAGGCAAAATCTCTCTGAGTTTCAGTGAATGAGTTTCAGTGAATGGCCAAATGTAGGGGGCTGGAAAGGACTTCCAGGGTCATGTAGCACAAATCCCTCACTGGAGACACACAGCTAGAACACAGAGTAGGGTAGTGACTCAAGGTCACACGGCAAGTCAGTGTCAGAAGGGGGCCAGCACTCCAGACTCCTAACTCCTGGCTGGGGGCATTTCCCTCTCCAATGATAGATGACACTGACCATTCACTCGAGAATTTTTTTGTTTGTTTTTTTTTGAGACGGAGTCTCACTCTATTGCTCAGGATAGAGTGCAGTGGTGCAATCTCAGCTCCCTGCAACCTCCGCCTCCCAGGTTCAAAGATTCTCCTGCCTCAGCCTCCCAAGTAGCTGGGACTCCAGGAGCATGCCACCATGCCTAGCTAATTTTTGTATTTGTAGTAGATTCGCCATATTGGCCAGGCTAGTCTCAAATTCCTGACCTCAAGTGATCCACCCACCTCAGGCTCCCAAAGTGCTGGAATTACAGGCATGAACCATGGTGCCCAGCCAGAGAAATATTGTTTTTAATGGCTTATTGACTGTCTGTGACCAATCCAGGGGCCTGCAGGGTCTCCCTGTGAACTCCAAACTGAGGCAGATGATCACCCTGACTTGGCCTTCCCGGCTGACACCCGAATAGTCTAAGCTTCTCCAAGTTCAAGTGTTTCTCCACAGTCCGCCCTGGAGGAGAGGCAGAAACGCCCACAGGTGCCAGTGATTCCCCAGCAAATGACAAGGTGCAGGCTCTGCTCTCCCTAGGTGTGCATGAAATCTCCCCCCGACATCCCTGGAAAATGGCACCCACTAGGTTAAAGGGCAACATGTACAGCAAGACACAAGTCGCAAGGCTTACACTTGGAGGCTTTTCTCAGTGGTGCCAAGAAAGCTGAAACAGGAGAGAGCTGTTCCTGATGCTTCAGACCCTGAGGGCCAGGACAGAGAGAACGCCAGAGGATGAGTTGTGATTTAAAATGCGGGGCAACTCAGACTAGGAGGGGATGGCAGGGCAACATTCCTCTAGCTCAGGCAAGATAGAAAAGAAGCTTCCAGATAGACCCCAAAGCCACAAGCAAAAAGACCACCACTCGGAAAAATAACCAGTAAGAAAGGTTTTTCTATAGCAGAAACAGCTAAGTTCTTTCTACTTAGACCCTCTTCTGAACTGAACTGCTATCTTTTCATATATGACAGACTCCACGTTGACTGTCACTCTTGGATGCAATCTGTTTTTTAAAATATGTATCTGACGGGCCACTATGCAGCTTGCCCACCTCCTCAAAAACAAAATGACATTTTTCAAAAGGACAATCAGTGGGCATGCTGGAATCTAGCAGTTCACAAGCAAACTCTTAATATTATGTGTGCTGTGTCACAGTGCTGTGAATACAGTTCAGATTTAGTTAAACAAAAAGCACAAAGCGGCCAGGCACGGTGGCTCATGCCTGTAATCCCAGCACTTTGGGAGGCCGAGGCAGGCAGATCACCTGAGGTGGGGAGTTCGAGACCAGCCTGACTAACATGGAAGACCCCCGTCTCTACTAAAAATACAAAATTAGCCAAGCGTGGGGGTGCATGCCTGTAGTCCCGGCTACTCGGGTGGCTGAGCCAGGAGAATCACTTGAACCGGGGAGGCAGAGGTTGCAGTGAGCCCAGATTGCACCATTGCACTCCAGCCTGGGCAACAAGAGAGAAACTCTGTCTCAAAAAAAAAAAAAAAAAAAAAAAGCACAAAGCCCTTGGAGCAATACGTAAGGGGCACCCAGCTGTGGGTGTCAGCAATTTTCATATCTAAAAGACAATTACCTGTGGGTCCCCCTCCAGACAGGGCTGCCCAATTCCTTTTATGTTAAACTCAGCCTAGAGAGTATCGTCTCCATTTGATTTTCATATCAGAGGAACAGGAGTTCCTGCTTCAGCATTTCATTTGTTGCAGCCCATCCTCATTCTAAAAAGAAGCACTCTTAGGAATTTTTCTGAAAATCTCAATCAAATACTTATGCTCAATGGCTTAAAGTTGGTGGCATTGAAGATGACTTCAAATGCCGTGTTTTCAAAACCAAATCACATTCTAGGGTCAAGGAAGACAAAAGTCCACATGGAGAGAAAGCAAGAAGTCATTCATCTTACCAAACTCCTTAGAACCATATTCTCTAGTTCAATGGGAGAACTTAAAATTTGACAGAAAATGAGCATAAATAAATAAGACAAATGGTTAACACATCCTCACCCCCTTATTTGGTAGATTGAACTGTGGCTCAGGACAGCAAGTTTTAGAAGGAGAGAATCAAACAATAGACTTATTTGCAAACTCTCACACTTCCTAAGCACTACAATGATGATTTTTAAGCTTCTTACTGATCATAGTGGTTCCCCCAGCCAGGGCCGCCTTGGTTCCTTGGAAGAAATCATCAGCAGACGTCATTCCCTGATCAGGCATCTGGAAACGAGTGTGGACGTCAATTCCTCCGGGGATCACCATCCGGGAGTGGGCCTCGATGGTCTTCACTCCTCCTGGCACAATCAGATTTTCTCCTATTTGCCTAAATAAACAGGGTTGGTGATAAGGGTTGTAAATGAAATGTGGACTCAAATGGGATCTGACAGCTACTTTCACTAACCTATAAACTATCCTCCGCTCTGTGCCGTGGGCTTTTCAGATCATTGTTACGATTCATAATAAAACACTATATACTCCTACCCCCCAGCAAGAGGCAATGCAGAGTATACTAGAAAGCAAAAGTTAAATAAGGCACCAGAGGCCCCACTCAAAGACGTTTTGTTCCCAAGAAACCCCCTAAGATCAAATGATAACAAGGCCCCAAGATATTTCTAAGAACTGTCATTAAACTTTCTTTACAGCACTTGCAATTGAGCTAATTATCCTATAGCAATTTTCTCCAGACCTGGCCGTACTTTCCAAACATTTATTTTTATCATATCCTTTTCACCAGAAGGAAAATAGGGGTGGAAGGGTGAGGTAGAACAAATCAAAGCAAAAAAAAAAAAAAAGTGAACACTATGATTGCAATGATTTAAAATTTTGGAAGCGTGTGTTTAGTTATTCAGATAATGAAAAAGCTAACAGCTGAAATATAATTTTAAAAGGCAGAAAAATGAATATTCATTATGTTGGGAGACATGATTCATTTCCAACTTTTAAAAAATATTTTTATATCTTTCTACCAATTTTTTAAAAGGAATATTAATCTAGGAGAAGTTGATAAAGTTCTAGAACAAATCAGTGATGAGTAAAAACAGCACACAGGCCTGCACACTTCTGGGCCAGTGTCATTCTACCAGACCAGATCGTGCCATCTTATAATTGGGGGAAAATGGAACATCAAAGTCATGGCATTTGAGAGCCTGGAGCTGAGACTGTCACAGCAAACACACATGGAGAAAACATTAAACGTGGAAATGTTAAAATCTATTTTAGGTTCATAAATCTGGGTGTGAGCTCCCAGGCAACAGTCACAGCCACTCCAGTTTTCCACTCCTCTGGACCGGTTTACAGCTATCCCTTGATGAATGCTGCTTATTTAAAAGCTGTCACTGGCTGCAGTGTTTGTCTTCAAACAGATGTGCTATTTCTCCAGAGCCCCGGGAGCTACCCCAGTAGAAAGGGCAGGCAGATACTGGGATGAACTCAGCTTCCTTAACCCTCTGGCGTCCAAAAATACCCAAACTCAGGAACTGCCCTGTTGCTTCTCCTTTGTAACATTAACACAATAAACACAAGGGCAGTCTTATTTGCACTAGTTGCCACTTAGAATAAAACCTAAAATTCCCTCAGGATTTAGGCAGTAATTTGTCTGTATTACTTAGTAATTAACTTGGTATCTTTCTTTGGCCCCTCCAACTTGGATTCTTGATGAAGAAAGCAGATGTGCTGTCTCAATAGAGGAGACTGTCTTTCACGTTTGCGTCCTTTGGGCAATCCAACCCAAACAATGACATTCTAGGCAAAACTTTAATATATTCAACATATCACAAACCAAGTATTTGAGCTGGCAACAGAAAGATATCATATCACCTCAGTTAAAAATAGTAAATTACATAATACCTAATGCAACGGGTGTACATTAATTGTTGCTTTGAATTCCCTAAATTTGAGTTTTCAAATTCACTAATTACCACCAATCAAAACCAGTTTAAAACAGATACTAAGTTGGTCACTCTCTGATGTTCCTGAAGTTTGATACTTTGGATGCGAATGGTATCTAATACTTGGGAAGTCTGGAAAGTGTTCAAATACATCTGTATATCATGAGTTACACTTACTTGATCAACCCATCTTCCATGTATATGTCTGCATAGAACGACTGGTCATCATTAACAATTTTACCTCCTTTGATCAGAAGACGATCGCTCTGAAACAAAGAGGCAGTAAGGTCACAACGCGTAACTGACCTATGAGAAACAGGTGCTAAGATATGTGAGCTAAGGATACATTTTCACTGTTCAAAAGTGATGTTCAAAATAAGCCCATTTTGGAAAGGTTCAGTGACAAAGGTAAGCCTGTATGTGGCAACCTATTCATCACCTGATGAGTCAGAACACACAGGGACAGCTTATCCTAGATAAACGAACCATCTCTTTCAATTAGACCTTGGACTCCAAAGAAAAAAAAAAAGCAGTGAAAATTATTTCATATAAAGAAGATAGGGCCGGGCACGGTGGCTCATGCCTGTAATCCCAGCACTTTGGGAGGCCAAGATGGGCGGATCACCTGAGGTCAGGAGTTTGAGACCAGCCTGGCCAACATGGTGAAACCCCATCTCTATAAAAAATACAAAAAATGGGCTGGGCATGGTGGTGGGCGCCTGTAATCCCAGCTACTCGGGAGGCTGAGGCAGGAGAATTGCTTGAAGCAGCAGGCGGAGGTTGTAGTGAACCGAGATCACGTCACTGCACCCCAGCCTGGGTTACACAGCAAGACTCCAACTCAAAAAAAAAAAAAGAAGATAGTACTTTTTAAAATGGCTTTTGGCTAAACCTCAATTTAAAAACAAACAAACAACAACAAAAAAAACCACCTACATATAGGAAAGCCATGTCTTGGAAAGACTGTGTCAAGCAAGCACAATTGACCAAAAAGTCTGCTGTCACGGGATATACCACACAAATACACTGGGTTCAACCATAGCAAGGTTTCCATTCAATATGTCCTTTATATTTGCATTTATCTTTGAGGTAAATCACAGCAAGTATAGCAAAAAGACTACAAAAAATACGCCATTGATGCCATTTTAACTAGGCTGTTAAGAAAAAGGTAAACTCCCACGAATAAGTATCTGAGATAGCAAATTCTAAGATGCAATGCACTACAGATTGCTGATGCACTTATATTTTAACCGGTGATATTTATGCTAAAAAATAAAGGACAAGCAGCAGATAAAGTCTGAGAATGTGACAGAAATGCTACATTATGACTCATCGTTATTGCAAATGCTGCTGATGGAAGGAATGCTGGCATCGAGTGTTCAGTAAATATGCACCTGTATTATACAGAATGGGCTTAAACCTGGCAAGCTGAACCATACATTGCCCTTTTAATATGCAACACATTTCAAAGAATGACATTCTTTTGGCAATAGTTAACTCAAAATTCAGTTACAAAACAATATTCTCAGCAAGTGCTACCTCTCTTTAGCAGCTACCAAGAAAAGGAAATCATAGAAAATCTTTAAAAAAGAGATAAGCTACTAGAGAGCAAGGAAAAAAGATAATTTTACACATAAATACACACACCTTGGTTCAGAAAGTATTTATTGTCTCTCTAACATACTGAAAACCAATAAGATCATTTTAATTTTGTACACTGCAGGGTCCCTGATCCTCACGTAGACTTTGGAAAGTCAAAGGAGAATAGCCAACAATAATTCCTGCACCTGTATAAGGTAAGTGTAAAGACCTTTACAAAGCCGTGCACATCATGACATCAGAGCCTCGAAAGAAATCTGTGAGGTAGATGAGGCCAGGTTCTATTCCCATGACACATAAGGAAACTGAGGCTCAGAGAGGTTAGGCCACTTGCCCAGGTCACTCAAATCAGTGCACTTGTCCTCTGTCTACAATGACCTCCACTTCTCTCCCAGATCTCTAAGCTTCCATGGAATAAATATCACCTGGAAGGCAAGGAGAGGCCTCCCCCTTCACCTCCTGCCTCCACAGTCACTGTGGTACCTGCCCCAGCCATCACCGCGAATATCCCGAGCCAACATGATGCCATGAAAAAAAGTGAAACACCACACCCCCGTTCACTCTAGTGCCTTCCAGAAGGCTCTTACATAAGAGGCTGCCAGTGGTGAGGGAGGGAGGAATACCATGCTATAGGTCCTATGATAATGCAACCAGATTTTTTAAAGGGTGTGGGGGGGGGGGCGCTCTTTAAAAAAAAAAAAAAAAAAAAAAGTCTTGTTGATCGTTTGCTTTTAATTTTTTTTTCTCCCCACACTGTCAAAATGAAGCTGCCTTGTTCATTCACGAAGACAGCAAATTATTTGAGGCTTGCTGCAAATCTGCTTTCCATCCTCCCTCCCCAGAGTCACCACTCCTTCCTCCTGCACAGTGAACACACAAGGGTGGGTGCCCCGTGCCCGGCCCTTTGGGATCTTGGGTCTTTTGCCTTCAAGAAGAAGCTAGCGCCCTTCTTCAGATCATCCTAGAAAATCCTCCGAGCACACGCCCCCTCCCCTATGCATTTGCTCCCCTTCTCTCTCCCGCGGATGGGTGTGCCCTTGTGCACGGAGAGGAAGCCGGGGTGCCCATGGCTAAAGGGAAAACCAGAACCAAAGAGCGTCCTTATATCCAGCCCTAAAAACACATCCTGACTGCTTTAAAAGGCTCTTTCGATCTCTGCCTCAGTCCTAGGTTCTACCCGGGAATCAGCTGGCCGGTTGCAATTGCACATCCTTATATAACAATGAATTTCCCTGGTGTTCCCCCCTCCCTGGGATTTCACTGGGGATGGAAAGAATAGGACGAACGAATTTTTCCAGGAAAAGATGGGGAGAGGGAGGGAGCAGGGGAGAGGTGGGAGCAAGACTGGTGCTGATCTCTGAGGCATCGCTAATTCACGGCACAGACGTTTTCCCCGTGGTTTGCAAACCAACAAGTCCAGGCCCCAGCACTGCGCCGAGCCCTCCGGCCGCCGCGATCATTGTCTGGCCGGGGCCGGGCCATCTGCTCCCGCGTCGCGCAGCGCCATTAGCGCCCGGCCGCTCGCCGCGGTCCCCGCGCCCACCCTGCAGTCCGCTTTGTATGCACCAACACGGACGCCTCCTGAGCGGCAGAAGGGGCGGAAAAGAGACGTGAAAAAGAGCCCGAATCCCCGCCAGGGCCCCAGCCCCGAACTACAGGGCGAGAAAACCGGGGGGGGGGCACCCAAAACCGGTTCCTGGCCAACAAGAAGCCCCCGCCTTGCCCCCCGCCTTCCTCCTCTGCTCATCACCTCGTCCCTGTTTTTCCTTCCCGTTTCCACACCATTCCGGTACACCCTGCCCTTTTCAGCATCCCTCTGCTGTCATTACGCCTTAGGGCTCAAACCCGCTCCTTTTTCCAAGGACCCGGAGAAGGCTCCAGAAAGCCCTTTTTGGGTGGGGGCGGAAGACCCGGGGAGGATCCAAGTCCCCATCTCCCCATCGCTGCTGGAGGAGTCCAGCCTCGCAGCACGCAGCCCAGAGAACAATATCCGAGCTCCAGGCATGCATATTCAATCTGGCATCCATTTGCTTGCACCCCGCGGGCCGACGCTGCAGCATCTCTCACTGACAATAAAAGATAGACCGGGTCTGGCGCGTTACCTAAGGCTACCTTCGTGCACTCGCGCTCCTGTTTAATGCCTTGCAAACGATGCGACTTCTAATCCTGGATCACTGCATCTCCCACAACCACCACCACCATCACCATCGCCTCCGTTAGCAACAGAAAGGAAAAAAAAAGTTCGGTCCCTCTCCTTTCCCCTCCTTTTTAAAAATTCCTTAGACCTTCTGTGCTACAAAAGGTGGCTGGCCGACCGCAGATTTCCCAAGTACCAAACTCACCGTGATGCGTGGAATATTTTTCTTCCCCTGATAAGACATCTCTCTCCTGGGAAAAAATTAATTTCAAGAGGGCAGCTTTAAGGCAAAAACTGCCGGGAAGGGGACTTGGGTTTTTTTTGTTTTGTTTTGTTTTTTTCCTTTGCAAGATTGAAAAGGGTGCAACCGCTTCGCTGGTCTTGCTATTAGGAAATTTCAAGAACGTAACGGATGAATGCAATCCTCTGTCTCTCTTTCTTCCTCTCCTCCAACACAGCCCCAGCTAGGGCGGAAAAAAAAGAGAGAGAGAGAGAGAGAGAGAGAAGGAGAGAGAGAAACAGGAGGGAAGGGGGTGGAAATAAACTACAGCAATAAAAGCCTCGGTTCAAGTCGGCCACCGTGGCGCATGCGCCGCCAGCCACTCCCTTTCCTCTCAGGCAAAAGCCATCCGCTTCGAGAGAGACGAGCAGCGATTGGCCGCGATCCTGGGATATGCAAATTTAGGCCGGTGGGGCGGGGCGCGGCGCGAGAGCGCGAAATGCGGCAGTGAACGGCCGGGGGCGGCAGGCGGCGCGAGCGCCCGCGCTGGGAGCGCGCCTTTCGCGCGCTTTCTTCGGGCCGGGGCGGTGGGGACCGGGTTTGGCGGCGGCCCCAGGCGCGGCCTGGGCCACGCGGGGACAATGGAGGGGTGGTCGTCGCGGCCGGGGGGAGGGGCGGCACCCCGAGACGGCGGGGCTTCGGGGCCGCACGCACTCGCCTGCGCGCGCCCCGGTCCCTGCCCGCCTGCGCGCCAATCCGCGGAGGCCGCCGCGGCAGCCCCGCGTGGGGTGACTGCGCCGAGCCAATGGCTTCGCTGGCGGCGAGCGCGCGACTGCACCGCCGGCCGGCGCCGCGCAGCCCGGGAGGGCTCCCGGGCCCTCCTCCCCCGCCGTTGCTGGCGCTGAACTCGCCTGGCCCCCGCCCTGGCGCGGCTGAGGACTGGAACGGCGGCGGGCGGGAACCCGGCGGGGAGGGCCCGGCCACGCCCGGCCCCGGAGAGGGCGGCTGCTTCCCGGGAGCGTCCGGGCCCGGCTCCTGGGGGCGGGGAATGGGCGCGGGCCGGGGGGAGGCTGCAGAGACGGGATCTGGCCCGCGTGGAGGCGCCGGGCTGCAGGAAATGAGAGCCCTGAGGAAACCCTTCCAACTCCGAGCCGGGAAGGAGGCATCCGGGGAAGGCTGCGGGGTATGGGAAACCCCGCCCTGAAACATCCTTTTGTGCCTTCCGGCCGCGAGGAACTTAGTAGGGCGGAGGAATGGGGAGCAGCCGCAGCCCGCCGAGGCCGATGTGGCGCGATCTGCGCTCTGTGCGCCCGCTTTACAGTCACGCCCACCTCGGCTCCCTGAGGGGTGCGTGGGGGCGCAGCGCATTTCGCTGGTGCCTGCAGCGCTGTCGGGGGCAGCTGCTGCGATCCCAGCGCCCCGGGGTCCTGAGGGTTTACAGTGCCAGTGGATGGGACCCACACCGCACCGTGGGGCGGAGAGGAGGAGATGAGCTGTGGAGGAGCAAGAAAGGAAGAGTTTATATCCCACAGGAAAGGGAAACTGAGTCTTGGGGAAAACCTACTGAATCGGAGTTAAAATCAAGAGTGTCCTGACTGCCCAGGCAGAGCCTTGTCACTTCAAACGGCACTCAAGGCCCCTTCGTGGTCCTAGCAATTGAGCAGGCCTGGGACCCCTTAGCTTTGCCTGTCCAAGCCATGCTGGGATGCTCTAACTTCAGGGTCCGTGGGAAAGAAAAACGCTGATCCAGTTGATCCTCAGGAATCTACCGAGGCCAACCCCCGTGGGAGGTTGCCCTGGCAGGTACAATAACTAAAACATCTGGACCAGCCCTCGTAGCGCTCGGGCTTCTCTGCTTGAGGTCGAAGGATACATAGAATCCCTACGTAATCATGGGCTGGGGGGTGGGGGAAGAAAGAGTATGTAATTGGCTCACACCTGCTCAGCAAAGCTTAGCTAGATAAATACGGAATAATTCGAGCTGCTGTGGGCCTGACTTCCAATCTTTCTGCCCTTCACCACCTTAGCCACTTTAGGGGAATGTCTGTCCTTCCAGACTCAGAGAAGGTGTAAAATTCTCCTTTTCACTCCTATATCTCTAAAAATCTGAAGTCCCAGAAAGTAGCCGTAGGGCACGCACAAAGTTTCACCGATGGTTAATTCATCCAAGTTCAATTTAGCTGTGCATCTGAAAGAGAAAGTGAAGCACTTCCCCCTCCAGCAATCTGATATGCCGCAAGCAAGGTGAGATGATGTCGGCAAGTATTGCTGTCAACCGGTAATGGTTAAAGTCACGAGTCTGAGAAAGCTTAAAATACGCCTTTCTACTTGGCCTCTCTCTACTTGTGAAAAACCAACAGTCAGTCCCAGCTTTGCGGAGGACAGGGCAGTGGAGAGGAGTGTCCTATTAGCTCACAAAAAAACTACTTGGCAAGGGAGTAAATAAAGAGACTCAAATTAATTTAAAACAAAGTAACCTATAATTATATTGTTTGTATTCTTGTTGTATTCCCTACCCCCGTCCCTGTTGTTTGAGCGTAATGGGTTTAAATATATCTTGTTATTTACCAGTTTACCATAGAATCGTTTGTTTTGTAATAAAAGCTTCCAAGAGCTTGTGTCTGTCTCATTGGCTTCAATTGTATAGCCATTGCTATGAGGTTCTTAGTCCATAATAACTGACGTTTCCACTCGTAAATATCCAAAAATGTAAGGTATAAACTGATTTGTCTGTTCTGACTAGAGCCTAAGAGAGTATTTGGCACATAAAAGATACCAAACAAATGGTTTAAATTGACCGAGGAAGAGAACTGTCTGCAACCTGCATTTCTTACCATATTTACCATTCAGCGCAATGAGGAAAAGTAAAAAAGGGCCGAGGAGAATCTTCCACCTGCTTTGCACTGATGAAGGTGAAAAAAAAAACAAAAAACCACAGGTAAACAGGCCTCACACTTTTACTTCAGAGATCCTTGTAAAAATAAATGAGAGGCTGGGCACAGTGGCTCACACCTGTAATCCCGCACTTTGGGATGCCAAGGCAGGCAGATCAGTTGAGCCCAAGAGTTGGAGACCAGCCTCAGCAACATGGAGAAACCCCGTCTCTACAAAAAATACAAATATTAGAGACTAGGCTGGCCAACATGGTGAAACCCCGTCTGCACTAAAAATGCAAAAATCAGACGGGCATGGTGGCTGGGGCCGGTAATCCCAGCCATTCGGGAGGCTGAGGCAGGAGAATCACTTGAATCCGGGAGGCGGAGGTTGCAGTGAGCCAAGATAGCGCCACTGCACTTCAGCCTGGGCAACAAGAGCGAAACTCCATCTCAAAAAAACAAAAACAAACAAAATAAATTAGCTGAGTGTGGTGGTGGGCACCTGTGGTCCCAGCTACTGGGGGCAGGGGAAGGTTGGGGCTGAGGCAGAAAGATCAGTTGAGGCTGGGAGGCTGAGGCTGTAATAAGCCATGATCGTGCCACTGCACTCCAGCTTGGGTGACAGAGTGAGACCTTGTCTAAATAAATAAATAAATGTTTCTTATACTTTCTGTAGAAAAACACTCAATGAAAATTTCCTGTAAAATTATGAATTATTATTTGTGAATCTAATATTCGTACCCTTTGTCAGGCATGACTTTTCTGAATTTTTAAACATTAAATTCATGCCAAACATGAGAAAGCAATGTAAAATTGCCTGTTCCGCAATCACAGCCCCTTCCCAAACCTCCACTTTCCCATACTTTTCTCCCAGCACCATAAAAGAGCCAGATGCAGTAACTAAATTAGACAATGGTTTAGTGAAATGGTAACATCCCGGGCATTCTGCATGGTGTGCAGGAAGGGAGGATCTGCCTGAGCAGATCCATGAGTGGGAAGAATGCATTTTAACCAGGTGCTGTATCAGAGTCTGATCCCTGTCTTTTCCGCAGCTTCAACTCCCCTCCCTGGACACCTACTCTGTCCCCATGCTCAATGGGTGCACGCACACAGTGTCAGAGCAAACTTCTCACTGCCCCTGAAAACAGTGTGCCCTCCCTAATCTACATCTTGCCCTAAGCCGTTCTTTTCCCCTCCTTCCCTCTGAAACAACTGAAATGTTACCATGTCTATGAAGTTTTCCCCATCCTACCCCCACAGCCTTAAGCACTCCTTCCTGTGTTCAGCTCTGCTATAACACCATCACTCTATAATGACTTGCACATTTCTTCCATCAGGCCTTGACTCCTAGAAGCAAAAAGCCCCCTCTTCTCCCAGCTACCAGCACACTGCCTTGTCTCTGGCAGGTGCCCTTAACATTTTGTGCATAAATAAGTGCCATCATTGCTATGACGAGGACAAAGGTTCTTCCACCAAGGTGAGTTTTAATGTCAAAAAAAAAAAAAAATCCCCAATGCAAGCAAGCCTTTCCCTTAGGACTATCACTTTTTTTTTTTTTTTTTTTTTGAGGTGGAGTCTCACTCTGTCGCCCAGGCTGGAGTGCAGTTGCATGATCTTTGCTCACTGCAACCTCTGCCTCCCAGGTTCAAGTGATTCTCCTGCCTCAGCCTCCCGAGTAGCTGGGATTACAGGTGCCCACCACCACGCCCAGGTAATTTTTTTTTTTTTTTTTTTTTGAGACAGTCTTGCTCTGTTGCCCCAGGCTGTAGTGCAGTGGCGCAATCTCGGCTCACTGCAAGCTCCGCCTTCTGGGTTCATGCCATTCTCCTGCCTCAGCCTCTGAGTAGCTGGGACTACAGGTGCCTACCACCACGCCCAGCTAATTTTTTGTATTTTTTAGTAGAGACAGGGTTTCACCGTGTTTGCCAGGATGGTCTCGATCTCCTGACCTCGTGATCCACCCACCTCAGCCCCCCAAAGTGCTGGGATTACAGGCGTGAGCCACCGCGCCCGGCCACGCCCAGGTACTTTTTGTATTATTAGTAGAGATGGGGGTTTCACCATATTGGCCAGGCTGGTCTCAAACTCCTGACCTCAGGATCTGCCTGCCTCGGCCTCCCAAAGTTCTGGGATTACAGGCGTGAGCCACCACACCCAGTCAGGAATATCACTTTGCCGGGCCTTCCTTCTTGGCAGCCTCCCCTTCTCCAAGCCCCTGAAACTCCAGGAAGACCTAATGTTATTATTAACAGCTTATTATTCTCTGCGGGGCTGTAGCTGCCTAGATTTTAAGCTCCGCCTCCACTAACAAAACTGCTGTGTATCAGCAAGCCTGGTAGAACACGGAGACAGCACCCAATCCTAAAATGAAGGTCGAAGTCATACAAGGTGTCTCTAGTAATTTTTTCTCAATTTCTGAAACTGTCCTTTACTCCATCCTCCCATTATTCTTCGTACATCCCTGTGTGATCCCATTCATCGCAGTAAACCACCTACACAATACAATCCTCACCGACACCATAACTAGGTGAGTGTGATTTTTCTTCCATTCAAGGTTTGAGCTCACAGGGAAGAAAAACTCTTTCAAAAGTCTTACTCATTCCTGACCAGGCGCAGTAGCTCATGCCTGTAATCCCAACACCTGGGAGGCTGAAGTGGGCGGATCACCTGAGATCAGGAGTTCGAGACCATCCTGGCCAACATGGAGAAACCCCATCTCTACTAAAAATACAAAAACTAGCTGGGCGTGGTAGGGGACGCCTGTAATCCCAGCTACTCAGGAGGCTGAGGCTGGAAAATCACTTGAACCTGGGAAACGGAGGTTGCAGTGAGCCGAGATTGCGTCACTGCACTCCAGCTTGGGTGAAAGGGCGAGATTCCTTCTCAAAAACAAACAAAAAAGTCTTACTCATTCCTTATCCTTACAGAGGGCCTGACAAGGCTGGGGGCTCAAGCAGGACTGAATGCAGGGAGGGAGGTATGAGTGGAGGCACCCAGCCAGCCCTTTGCACATGTTTGCATCATCCAAACTGCAGGGAAGTGGGGCTGGGGAGATGCAGACATAACTCCAGTGCCTCGGGCGGCTGTGCTGCTCTCAGTTCCTCAGCATCTGCCCGGAACGTGTTCCCTCCCTGACTAGCCCACTGCTGCTCTTGGTTTCATGTTCCCCTTTGGGGAGCTAGAGTAGCCATTTCTGCTTCTGTGGCGCCCTGGGTCTCTGCGTTAGTGCAATGTTCAGAATTTCACAGAGTAGGGGAACTCCAGAGCAGAAACTGCTGACAAAACAGAGCCCAGAGGTGGCAAAGAAAATCCCCAATGCCCAGAGTGCTGCAATTGGATGCCAAGGGCTGTGGCCTCTAACACAGCCTGCAGAGAAGGTTGAAATGAATGCGGCAGTAAAGAGAAGGTACTGGAATCCTTCTTTGCCAAAACAAAGGGCATTGACTAGGACACTTGAGCTGGAAGTGATGCCTTCTTCACTGCAGATGGAATCAGGCAATGACGATCGTTTTCTTTGTGTGTGTAGCTCTGAAGGGTCAGAGACTGCAGATTGGATCGGAACCTGCCCACTGCCTTCCCCTGTGGCTGCATCCTTTTAGCAGCAGTGACAGTGGTGACAAATGAGGGTCAGCAGTGACTGGCCCTCCGAAACAGACGCTGCTTTGGCTAGAACTGTACAGACTGCCGGCCAGCATGGGGGCTCTGCTAGGATTCTGAGGACACATCCTCCCTGCAGGAAGACAAGAAGCTCATCTGTCCAAATCCTGCTGGACAAGAGGGCACAGAGGAAGCATGCACTTCACAGAATCTAGTCGACTCGGGCTTTCTCTTATCCCCAGTTAGCGCACACACCTCCTGAAGAACTCCTGCAATGCCCACCCTGCACCTCATTCTCTGGGTGGCTACAGATGTTCCCTGGGGTCTTTCTATCCCTGATGGGGACAAAGGGCACCTAGCTCAGCCATCGTGCCTCAGGCCTGCCCTCTGGTGGCGAACAAAGAGTGTGCACGTGGTCCCCTGCGTGCTGGTCTCCAAGCCAGGGCAGGGCCTTGGAGATCACTTGTTTCCGTTGGTGTGCCCAAGTACTCCCCTCCATCAGAATCACCCTGGGCCCCAGCTCAGACATCCTGAACAGAATATCCGGAGGTAAGGTCCAGGAAGGTTTTTAAACTAGTCTACTTCTGGACACTTAGCGACAGATCCAGCCCACTCCACCCTCTATTTATAGAAGGAGGAAAACATGGACTAGGAGGAAGGGCTCACTCCCTACCTAGTGAGGGGTCCACTCACCACAGGGCATCACTGGTCTGCTCTTTGTCCAGGGGGAACATTATGAAAGAGTGGTAAATATTATCCCTCTCATTCCACTTGTCTGCCTTCTGGAAACAGTACAATCTTCTAAAATACTGTTATGTTGTCAGTGAGGAGGAAATTAACATGTATTGAGCACCTACCATGCTCTAAGCATAGCACTGAGTGCTTTAAATACATCTGCTTTAATCTTCTCCAAAATCCTACTGGGTAAATCTTCAGATCCTCATTTTATAGACGAGGAGAGAAAAGCACAAAGAAACCTCTTGTTCCAGGCCCAGATTCTAATTTGGGTCTGTGTGACCCCAAAGCCCAAGGGGCTAGTTCTTTTTTTTTTTTTTTTTTTTTTTCCTTTTCTAAGACTGAGTCTCACTCTGTTGTCCAGACTGGAGTGCAGTGGCGTGATCTCAACTCACTGCAACCTCTGCCTCCTGGGTTCAAGTGATTCTCATGCCTCAGCCTCTCAAGTAGCTGGGATTACAGGTGCCCACCACACCTGGCTAATTTTTGTATTTTTAGTAGAGATGGGGTTTCACTATGTTGGCCAGGCTGGTCTCGAACTCCTGACCTCGTGATCTGCCCACCTCAGCCTCCCAGTGTTGGGATTACAGGCATGAGCCCCCGCGCCTGGCCAAGGCTAGTTCTTTTAATGGTAAGGTACTTGTTTAGTAGAAACTGGGACCCACCTTGTGCAAGAGGTAGGCACAGGTGATCGGCTGTCTTTCTTTACTCCTTCCACTGTCCCCAGTCCACATTCCTTAGATGTTTCCCCTTCTCCCGAAATCAATTCTCCATCTCTTTCTTTCCTCATAACCCAGTGTAACTCAGTTTCACTCAGTGGCTCTGGCCCTCCCCTCATAGGAAACATGACAGACGAACATAAAGGTTTAAATGAATGATAAATGCTCAGTGTGCTACTCCTCTGCTAAAAAGAGAAGACCCTGGTTAGTAGAATTTCAGACACCAAGCCAGGCTGCTTGCATAAATAAAATGCAAACCGTTTATCAAGTCTGCTGCGTGTGATCTTGCCCTTCTTTTTTAAATTTTTTACTTTTATTTTTAGTAGAGACAAGAGTCTCACTATGTTACCCATGTTGGTCTCAAACTCCTGGCCTCAACTGATCCTCCTAAAGTGCTCAGATTACAGGTGTGAGCCACCGCGCCCGACTGATCTTACCCTTCTATTCCTTTCCAGCTTCATCCTGTGTTACGTCCCCAAGCTCTCTCATGCCATAGCACACTGATGTCCTTCCTTTCCCTGCAATGGCCCTTTGTGGCTGCTGTTCTCTCTTCTCCCATCTCTCCTTCTTGCCCATGCATCCCTGCTTCAGGGAGGCCCTCCATGACCTCCCTCCTGATGCCAGCCCATGTACTCCTACTCTTCCTTGTCTCAGCACTATCTCTTTAATAGCAACAATTATAATTTGGAAGTATTTTTGTGCATTTGTTTACTTGAGTATTTCCAGTCTGTCTCTACTTCTCAATTGCAAAGCCCCTAAACCACCTAGTCCTCCACTCCACCTTACAGTGACCGCACAACACTCAACAAACAAGAGTTAAATGACAAATGAACAGGAGAACCTTTCTAAAGATACCTGTTCTTCAGCCCAGGTGACCGAGGCTTCATCTTCCACCTGTTGCCTCCCAGATATGCACCTGCCATTCTCTAATCCTGATTCATCCCAGGCTTTGGGTTTTTCTTTGGTTTTTTTTTGTTTTTGTTTTTGTTTTTTTTTTGGAGATAGGGTCTTGCCCTGTCACCCAGGCTAGAGTGCCGTGGCATGAGCATAGCTCACTGCAGCCTCAAACTCCTAGGCTCAAGCGATCTGCCTCAGCCTCCCACATAACTGGGACTACAGGCATGCATCACCATGCCTGGCTAAGTCTTTTTATCTTTTGTGTAGACAGGGTCTTGCTATGTTGCCCAAGCTGGTCTGGAACTCTTGGGCTCAAGCAATCCTCCTGTCTCGGCCTCCCAAAGCAGTGGGATTACAGTTGGGGGCCCTCACGCCTAGACTTCACCCCAGGCTTTTAAAAGACCAGATGGTGAGGATTCACCTGACTGGATGAGGTCTCATGGCCTAGGTTCTAATGATCCAAGGCAGAGCGAGCAGATTCCTTTTCTACTGGGATCTGTCCTTGGGAAGCATCAAGCCTCACATTCACAAAGCTCAGCTGTGCCTGGAGGTCCAATCATGATAACTGCAGCCGGGTTCCTCTTTTCAATCCCGCACTTCAGGCTTGTACTCACCACAGCCAGAAAATACCGCAGATCTCCCTCAACTGGGCCCTCCTTGATTCAGAATCTGTGTCGATTCTGAAAACGGCCAAGGAAAAGGGGTAACTATGAACTCTGAAAGTGTAAATAACATTTCAGGAGTTTTCATCTCTTAAAAGAATCCGCCATGATCAATGTACTGAAAACTGCTCACTCATCCAAAAACACGCCATGGTTCTTGGCCATTTGTCCATTTCGGTTCCCTAGAGGACACTTTGGGGCAATTTATTAGCTTAGTCTGTGAATGCTTGAAAGTAGTCCATTTGGATATTGTAAAGATTTAACAAAATTCTGACCTTTCCTGTAAATAAATTGGTCCTCTTTCTGCCCTCCTTACTCCCCCACCCTGTTTGTTTTCAAGGAGTGAGAATTTATTACTGACCTTGTGTGCCAGCTCTCAGGAGACCAAGGGGGATCAGGAGATGTTTACAAGTTCCCCATACACAGTCCCCCTCTTGTAGTACAACGCTGTAGAAAGAGAGGTCACAGGTGAATGGCACGTGATGCTTTACCAATGCTTTACCAGCTCCAGGCAAACTGTGCCCCTCTACCTAGGCTTGGGCTGGGGGCTCTCCACCCCCACAGTGTCATCAACCCAACGACTGGTCTCCCTCCAGCTTCTGGGCACTTCCACTGTCTTGAGGAACCAGACAGAATTCTTCCTATCTTCCTATCAAGCAGATAAGGAAATCATTGAAAGAATAAACAGCCGAATGCAGTTGTGCTGTTAGTAACCATCAGTCTCATTTGTGGGCTTTAAACTAAATTCTACATCTGTGGGCAGTGTGTAACTCCTGTGGGCACTGCCAAACCAGTGGAGGAATGAGTGCCTGCATATGTCCCTCGGGGCTCAGGAGTTCTCTCTGTTTCTTCAGAGAATTAGAAATGGAGGTAGGATAGTAAAAAGACCACTTTAAAGGGACAGGGCACTGATGGAAGAAAATAACACTGGAGCCTGGAGAGACTAAGTGGGAATTGATGCCCTTCATCTCTTCTTCTCCCCATCTAAGGCCACTACCTCACCGGGGGCACCATCTTCGCATTCCCTGTGCGTGCCGGGCTGTTTGCAGCTCCACACTTGTGCTCACATGCCTGCCTCTCCCAGCATGCCCAGGCCCTCTTGGACCCCTCACACCATCACTCCTCTGTGCAACCATTCCTGAGCCCTCAGGTCCAGCTGACCACTCCTTCTCTTATGCCCCCACTGGGGGCTGTACAGACTCTTGGCAGAGTGCCAAAACAGTCTCCTGGACTATTTCCTTATACAGTGTCTCCTTCTCTTAGACAGTAAGCATCTTGAAGACAGAGACTATACTTTCTCTCTCCTCATCACCCACCGTAAGGCCTTGCCTGTAATAGGCAAACAAATTCTGAAAGGATGGATGGATGGATGGATAGTAGATGGGTGGGGTGGATGGATGAATGGATAGTTGGGTGGGCAGATGGATGGATGGATGGGCAGATGTATGTATGTATGTTCATATGGATGGATGAATAGGTGGATGGATGTGTGGTGGGTGGATGGATGGATGGGTAGGTGGATAAATGAATGGGTGGTGGATGGATAGATGGATGATGGATGGATGGATTCTTGGGTAGATGGACAGACAGATGATGTGTGGATGGATGGGTGGATGGATGGATGGATGGATGGATGGGCAGATGTATGTATGTATGTTTGTATGGATGGATGGATAAGTGGATGGGTGGATGGATGGATGGATGGATGTGTGGGTGGACAAATGGATGGATGGATGGCTGAGTGGGTAGGTGGATAGATGGATGGGTGGGTGGATGAATAATGGATGATGGATGAATAGATGGATAGACAGATGACGGGTGGATGGATGGAAAAGTGAATGGGTGGAAGAGTGGATGGAATAGATGTATGATGGCAGGATGGATGCTCAGGTAGATGGATAGACAGATGATGGGTGAATGGATGGATAGATGGGTGGGTAGGCGGGTGCACAATGGATAGATGAATAAACCCATTACACAAATGTCCCCATTATAAAATACAGCCCAAACACTGGGACTTGAGTCTAACATAGACTCACTGGGACTTGAGTCTAAAATAACCTTCCAAAGCATGAAATTTACAACCAGGTCCTGTCTTAGGCCTCGTCCATTTAGTTAAAGTTTCTAGAAGGACTGTGGGTGTCTTCTTTTCCATTCTCTTTCTTCTCATCATCTACTCCTTTCCCTCCTGTCAAGCCTGTGAGAGGTTTGCCTTAAGGCTGTTGTCAGTGTCCTTCCTGCCCTTCAGTCCTATGAGCCCCACCGCTTTGTCAACCACACTCTGTTCAGTTTGTAATCAAGTCCAAAGAGGAC
Source organism: Homo sapiens (assembly GCF_000001405.40). Lineage (NCBI taxonomy): Eukaryota > Metazoa > Chordata > Mammalia > Primates > Hominidae > Homo > Homo sapiens. The sequence continues at coordinate 26,566,479 of NC_000008.11, read as the reverse complement.
ATGCATGCCACAAAGCCCTATAGTCCAAGAGTTAGTATTAGGTATTTACTCTTTGAGCATTTACTCAGCATTTCACAGTAAGCAACGGGATAATTCCCTCAGGTTTCCAATTCCCTCCTTTCTCCTGCAGGGCCCCTTTAGGGAGGGGGATCCCGTGATTTTTTTGTATCTGAGCCCAGGCCCCTTCCAAGAGTCATCAACCAGAGCCTGTTCATACCCCGGGTCCTCCTCTAAGATCTGTCTGACTTCTCTGTACTCCATCTGCCCACCCTGCAAGGTCATTTCCAGACCATCACTTTCTCAGCAGCTTGCAGAAGCCCTGCCCTTCTGTGTACCCTCATCTCTGTCTCCAAGACACTTCTGCACATTTATTCAGGACATAATCAGCTGGGTCCTTCCATGTCTATCTGGCACTGAGATGTAGCAGAGGCCACTAGCTCTTCATGAAATCCAGGCTCTCCTCTTCTTCTAGGACACACAACTGGACTACATTTCCCACCCTCATCGGCAGTGAGATGTGACAGAGTTCTAGCCAACGCAGTGCATCTCTTCAAGGCCTAGGACATAGACAATTCCCTCTTCCTCCTCCAGGCTTTTTCTCCAAGCTGACGGGATGATGATTGCCCAGACAACCTTGGGAGCTGTGTGTTGAAGATGTTAGAACCACCAGCAGTTTGACTTTCCAGTTAATTGCATGGAGCGGGGACCCTGTACCTTTCTCTGCCCACTCAACAGAAACACCCACCTTGAACTATTATGTGATATACAAATAAACTCCTTTTGTGCTCGAGTCATTATACATAGTGGAGTCTATTTATCATAGCAGCAGTATTCTTTCTACCACAACTCCTAACTTAATCCTGTTTGAATTTAAAATTTGTGTGAAATACACACATACCCTCAGTTCCTTCACTTTGCTGACCCATGACCTTGGCCTGCCCTTATCTTTAGCCATTCACTCCAAGGGCTATCTGAGCCCTCATCCCCTAACCACATCATCAAGATGTGATGAGTCAACCTCTTCATTCACAGCTGGGCCCCCATGGTCCATTTCCTGGACTACTCTCACCAGCAGCATCATTCTGCTACTCTTACCCTGCAACCTCCCAATCCTGGGGCAGCCCTAAAATTCACTATTCCCTAACCACTTCTGTGGGAGCAGCCACAGAACACTCATACTGCATTAAAGATTGGGACAAAAAGAAGTCATGATATCAAAAAGACACCTGCACTCCTATGTTTATTGCAGCACAAGTCACAGTTGCACAAATATGGAACCAGCCTAAGTGCCCACTGACCAATGAGTGGATGAAGAAAATGTGGTACATATACACCTTGGAATACTACTCAGCCATAAAACAGAATGATAAAGAATGATATAATATCTTTTGCAGTAATTCGGGTGGAGCTGGAAGCCATTATTCTAAGTGAAGTAACACAAGAGTGGAAAACTAAACACTGTATGTTCTCACTTATAAGAGGGAGCTAAGCTATGAATACACAAAGGCATACAGAGTGATATAATGGACTTTGGAGACTCAGAAGAAGGAGGGTGGGAATGGGGCTAGGCATAAAAAAAAACTACACATTAGGTACAATGTACACTCCTTGGGTGATGGGTGCACTAAAATCTCAGACTTCACCACTATACAATTCATCTATGTAACCAAAAACCACTTGTATCCCAAAAGCTATTGAAATTTTTTAAAAAAAAAATTCTTTTAAAAAGAAACTGGGACAGATCACTCCAGAAGAGCTTCCCCTGAAGACTTCCCACTGGTCCTTGATCTGGCCACCCTCTCACACCTCTCAGCAGCTGTCACCACCTTTGCCATGCTTCCTGGGTCATCCTCAATCGTGTTCTCATGAGCTCAGTCTGGCTGGAGAGCCCAGTGCTGAATGAGGAATCACAAATGGAATAAGGATTTGTAGCAGAGCATCACACACACCCCTCTTTTCTCCTTCCCTAGGTCTCACAGGAAGACGTCAGCCCATTCAAGGATTATTCCCAAATCCATGCTGTTTCCCACCCCGGCCTGCTCCCAAATCTCAAAGTCTTCCTCTCCACCTCTCAGTCCCTTGAGCTTGGAAAACTCCTCCAGCCGTTCCCATCTCCCTGGCCCTGTGCTCCTCACCACGATTGCCCTGCCTTGCTGTTCCTACATGGTTAAGCTTCAGGAATGGGTAGCGTACACTCCTGGCCTCCACTTCCTCAACTTCCACTCCCATTTGCTTCTCAACCCACTACAGTTGGCCTCTTCGCCTGACTCCATTAGAAAAGCTTGGGCAAACAGCATGCTAATTGGAAGCTAATGCGCACTTTGTGATCTTTATTTTAACTGAGCTCATTGTGATACTTAACATTATTGCCTCTACCTTTTTTCTTCCAAATTCCCCTCCCTCGCTTCTGTGATGCCTTTTTTTCTGGCTCTTTTCACGCTTTTATGACTCTTCTTTCTAAACATTCATTGAGTTCCTCTTACCCAGTCTTAAATATCAATGATCCCTTAGGTTGTCTCCTAAGCCTCTTTCTCTGTCATGGTTTCAACAACTAACTAAACGTTTCTAACTTCCAAAGCTTTATTCCTGACTCTTTCCACACTTCATTCATTCATTCATTCATTCATTCACTCATCCAGCAAGGTTACATTAAGTGCCTTCTATGTGCCAAGGGATATGATAGTAAAAAAACCTACAACACCTCTGCCCTCATGGAAGTTACCTTCTACAAGGGGGTAGCCATTTAATTAATGGGGAAAGAAACAAATACAAAGGATAACTTCAGATTGCAGTCAGTGCCATCAAGGAAATAAGCAGAGGATAGAGAGGTGGAAAGGCACTTTAGACAGAGTGGTCTAGGAAGGTCTAGGAAGGGGAGCTGACATTTAGGTAGAGATTTAGTCCCAAGAGCAAAAATCTGACTTTGCCTCTGGAGGGAAAATTCTGGACTTAGCCTCAGGCAGCAGAGTTCTAGACTTAGCCTCTGGAGGAAGTAGCAGAACGTGGTGTCTGGGAGCTAAGTTCAGGACTTCATGTCTGGAAAAAGATATTGGGGCTTCAATTCAATTTTTGCAGCAAAGTTTCTGACTCAATGTGTTAATTAAAAGGGAAGACTTAGTCTTTGGACAAAGATGAGAAGGAGGAAGCCATCTGGGAGAAGAGAGTTTATGTAAGAGAAAACAAAAACATGGGAAGACTGAGATTAGGATGAGGTGGAATGTTTTGGGAACAGAAAGGAGTCTAGTGTGACTGGAGAACTGTGAGCAAGAGAGAGTGATAGACATGAGCGTGGCCCTTTAAAAACAGTGCCACAAATTCTTTGGCATCCTCCTAATGAAAGGTGGGGTCTACATGCCCTCCCTTTGAATTCGGGTGGGCTTCTGGCTGCTTTAACAAGTAGAGTATGACAGAAGAGATGCCTTCCAAGGACAGGTCACAGAAAGCATGGTCTGAGTTCAGACACAGGTGTGGGAAATCCAGCTACCCTAACGCCACCATGCTGTAAAGAAGCTGAAGCCATGTAGAGACCAATATAGGAATTCCAGCAGAGTCCCCCCAAGCCCAGCCTTCCTGCCATGGTGCCAAGGTGACAGACGTATGAGTGAGAAAGATTCTGGAGGACTCCACCCCGGTTGTTCAAGTCACCCAAAGCCATTCAAGTTTTCCCAGATACGGCCCTAGACATCGTGGAGCAGAGACAACATATCCCTGCTCTACTGTGTTCAAATCCCTGATCCACAGGATCCATGAGCACAGTAAGAGTGTTGTTGGTCTTTGCCACTATATTTTGGGGCTATTTGTTACACAGTAACATCTGCTTTGTACAACCGAAGTTAAAGCAGCAGGCAGGGACCACATCTACAGGACTGTGGGCCATGGAAACAGATTCGGATTTTATTCTGTCTTTAAAACGAAACCATTTAAGCATTCTAATCGGGAACAACAAAATCTGACCAATACTTTTTATATATTATTCCAGCTGTAGTGTGGTGGTGCAAGGGTCAAACAGAGGCAACCAGTAAGAAGGTGAGAGTGGATTGTGGCTAGGACCAGGGCAAGGGCACTTGAGATAAATGGACAGATGTGTCATTTATGTTGGAGGCAATAATAACAGCTACCACTTTTGCAGCAATTACTGGGCCAGGCATTGTTCTCAGTGCTTTGCAAGTATTAACTCTGGTTAAGCCTCATAATACATTTAATCCTCACAACAACTCTGTGAGGTAGAGTGGAAACAAAGTGAGATTAAGGAACTTTCCCCAGGACCCAAAACTCACACGTGGCAGAGCCAGGAATCAAGCCCTGCAGTCTGACCAGTGTGTGTCCTTCCTCTTATCCACTCTTGTTTCTGCTGCCAATAAAAGTCACTAATAGATTGGATGTGGAGTAAGTAGGAGAAAACTATCAAGTGTGAACTCTAGATTGGGGGATTGAATCAAGGTGAATGGTGGTATGTAAATAAAACTATAATATCAAGTGTGAACTCTAGATTTGGAAATTGATTCAAAGTTGAATGGTGGTATATTAACGCAGGGGTCCCCAACCCCTGGGCTGCAGACCAGTACCCGTCCATGGCCTATTAGGAACTGGGCCTCACAGTAGGAGGTGAGCAGCAAGTGAGCCAGCATTACCGCCTGAGCTCCACCTCCTGTCAGATCAGCCAGCCAGTAGATCTTCATAGGAGCTCGAACCCTACTGTGAACTGCACATGGGAGGGATATAGGTTGCATGCTCTTTACGAGAATCTGACGAAGGCCCTGATGATCTGAGGTGGGACAGTTTCATCCCAAAACCATGCCCCAGTCCCTCTTTCCATGGAAGAATGGTCTTCTATGAAACTGGTCCATGGTGCCAAAAAAGTTGGGGACTGCTGTATTAATGGATGTAAGAAAGACCAAGTGAGTAGCGGGGTGAAGTGGGGGTGTGGGATTATGGGGGAGCTGATCAGGATTTCCACTCGGTTAGGGGGATGGTTTCCATTGGGGCCATGGTAATTTGAGATGCCTTTAAGATATCCAAGTGGAAATAATAAGGCACTCAAGTGAGAAGTTGGGGCTTAAGATGTGAATTTAGGAACATCCACTCATGGATGGTAATTAAGTCAAATAATTCTACGACACCAGCTGAGGAGGAGGTAAAGATGGAGAGGAGAGGGTCAGTCCTGATACCTCTGATTCAACTAAAGAAAGGGTGGTCTGCAAAGAAGACTCAGGAGTGGCCAGAGAGAGGCAGAGTAGCATGTATTGGACACCAAGAATGGAGAGTACTTCAAGAAAGCAGGAGTGGTTGTCTGAGGCTGCTGAGAGGCAACTGGATATAACCACTCCCACATCCGATGGGCATCAACTCAGAAATGCCCAATGACCAACCCTAGTAGAGTCTTGCATTTCTCATACTCACCCCCCTCCCATCCCTCCCCCTGCTTCTTTCAAGGCTGCTGACGGCAGGTAGAGGGTGAGATAATGGATGTGGCAGCAACTGTGTAGTGTAAGGTACCATTAATAACTGTGGACAGCTGCTCTCTTACAACTTCCCTTCCCCTAGCTCAATTTAAATTCTTCTTTAGACTTGGAGGCCTGACAAACACTCATCATATGATTAATGATGTTTCTTTCCTTTCTGGTTGGAAAATGGGTGGAACCAGCACTTTGTAACTGCTGGTGATTATACTTACATAGATCATACTAATGTCCACATGCACCTTTACTAAAAGGATAAAATTATACATATTGCAAAGACAGAGGATGTTAGTGATTGGAAAATACCAGTAGGATATCTCCCTCTGCCCAAAAATGATGGCTGCTTACTGTTTTAATGCTTCTATTAAAGCATAGAGATGAACCTGGTTCAAGTGAGATATTGGGTATCACCAAGACCCATTATTTCTGCTTGGGAGAGAGGAAGCCCTCAAATCCTTCACCTAGAATTTCTCATGGGGTGCAGCCCACAGAGCCTGGCTGTGAGCTGTGAGCTGTGAGCTGTGGACAAACTCATTTATGTCTGCCTTCAACATCGAGTAAATGGAGGTCCAGACCTTCCCAGACCTGCAGATAGGTGCATCCCACCAGCAGAGGGCTGCAATCATTGTAATAAAAGCTAAATGTTATCTTAAATAGAGAATAAAGTGAAAATAAATCCTTTGATTGGGCTCTGTCTAAAAGTATTCTAAGGCTTGTCTTATTCCTCATTCTGTAAATAATCCATGGAAGGCCTGACCTGGAGAATGGAAATATACCCTGTTTTGTGAAAGTTCTAAACATGCAGCCCCTGCCACCCAGGTTCAGGCAGAGTGAGCTGCCAAGGCCGTCGGGAATGGTCGCGTCTGCTCCTGATTAATTATTACACCCTGTCTTCTGCTAAACCAACTCTGCTTAGCATATCTGCATTATTTCTTTTAACAGATTATCTCCCATGGACTAGCCATGGCAGAGCTGGGATGTGAGGCAAAGGAAAGTGGAGGAAGGACTTTTGTGCAATGTTTCAGCTCAGCATAATGAGATGGGAACGTGGTCTCCAGGTGTGGTTGATGAGTTTAGGAATGAGCAGTGGGATTACTGAGACATCACAGGGGGCTCCTCCCTGCAACCCTGACTTCCTACTGAAACTTGTGAATTTAATGCAAGCCAGAGTATAAAAGATCTTGGGGTAGTTAGAGGGAACCTTGAGAAGCATGACTTCAAAGCAAGAAACCATCAAGGAAAAGATCAATAGAGCTGATGATATAGAAAATTTAAATGTCTTAATATACATAACATTTAAAAGTAGACGATAAATTAAGAAACAAATATTTGAAACCTACGAGTTAATATCCTTAATTGTTTATGAATCATAAAGATGAACATTCCAAATTACTTAAAGAACTAAGAAAAGCACATGAACCAGCCACTCATAAAAAAAGAAATTAAATGCTCAATAAATACAAGAAAATATGTTTAACTTTACTAAAGGACAATTTTTAAAAATTGAGATCTTATATTTTAGATGTTAAATAGATGGAGGCTGAAAAGATTGAAAATACTGTACTAAGTATTAACCAAAGTGTGAAGCAATGGGCTCTCTCATTTCTTTCGCAAGAATGTAAATTGGTACAATCTTTGTGGAAGGAAATATGATTAAAATTTTTAATGTGCATAATTCTTGATACAGAAGTTTCTTTTCTATAAATTTATTGTAAGGAAATAATGGGCAAATATTCATGTTTATGAATGTTCTTCATAGCACTACTAGAAATAGTTTAGGCCGGACGTGGTGGCTCACACCTGTAATCCTAGCACTTTGGGAGGCGGAGGCGAGTGGGTTGCCTGAGCTCAGGAGTTCGAGACCAGCCTGGGCAACACGGTGAAACCCCAACTCTACTAAAATACAAAAAATTAGCCAGGCGTGGTGGCGTGCGCTTGTAGTCCCAGTTACTCAAGAGGCTGAGGCCAGAGAATTTCTTGAACCCGGGAGGCAGAGGTTGCAGCGAGCTGAGATGGCGCCACTGCACTCCAGTCTGGGAGACAGAGCGAGACTCCGTCTCAAAAAATAAATAAATAAATAAATAGTTTTAAAAATAGTAAAAACAATGGAGAATTGTTTAAATTCATGTTTTATCTAACCATATAACTATTAATTTTTTAATGTGTGCAACATAGTATTAAATACAAAGAGCAAGATACAACAGAGTTTATACATTAGGATCCCATCTTTTTAAATTAATAGACTTTATTTTTTAGAGCAGTTTAGGTTTACAGAAAAAGAGCAGAAAGTAACAAGATTCCCATATATCCCTTTCTCCCTCCACCACAAGGCAAACACTGTTTCTCCTATTACTAATATATTAACATCTTGCATTAGTGTGATACATATGTTACAAGTGATGAGCCAATATAGTTACATTATTATTCACTGAAGTCCACAGTTTACATTAGGGCTCACTCTTGGGAGTTTGTATATTCCATGGTTTTAAAAAGGTAATAAGATGTATCCACCACCACAGTATCTTGTAGAAGAGTTTCACTGTCCTAAAAATCCCCTGTGCTCTACCTACTATTGCTCTCTTCCACTCACCCCTTCCCCAAGCCCATGGTAAACACTGATCTTTTTAGTGACTCCTTTGCCAGAATGTCATAGAGTTGGAATCACATTATGTAGCCTTTTCAGATAGGCTTCTTTCAATCAGCAATAAATACTTAAGGTTCCTTCATTTCTTTTAATGGCTTGTAGCTCATTTCTTTTTATCACCTAGTAATATTCCAGTGTCTGAATGTACCACAGGTTGTTTATCCATTCACCTACTCATGGACATCTTGGTAGATTTCTAGTTCTTGCAATCATGAATAAAGCTGCTATAAACATTTCTGTAGAGATTTTTGTTAGAAATAAGTTTTCATCTCCTTTGAATAAATACCAAGGAGTATGATTGCAGGATCATATGGTAAGATAATATTTAGTTTTGTAATGTACTGCCAAACTGTCTTCCAAAGTGGCTGTACCATTTTGCATCCTCACCAGCAATGAATGAGAGTTCCTGTTGCTCCACATCCTCACAAGCATTTGGTGTTAGGATGTAGAGCGACAGGAACTCTCCATTGCTGGTGAGGATGAAATGAGATGCCACTACACATGAAAATCCAGGATGAATGTTGGCCATCCTAACAGGTGTGTAGTGGTATCTCATTGTTGCTGGGTTTGTTTGTTTGTTTGTTTGTTTTAGAAAAAGTCTTCTTTGTCACCCAGGCTGGAGTGCAGTGGTGTGATCTTGGCTCACTACAACCTCCACTTTCCAGGTTCAAATGATTCACATGCCTCAGGCTCCTGAGTAGCTGGGATTATAGGCATGTACCACAATGCCTGGCTTTTTTTTTTTTTTTTTTTGTATTTTTAGTAGAGACAGGGTTTTGCCATGTTGGCCAGGCTGGTCTCAAACTCCTGGCCTCAAATGATCCACCTAGCTCGGCTCCCAAAGTTCTGGGATTACAGGCATAAGCCACCATGCCTGTTCTAATTGTTGTTTTACTTTGCAATTCCCTGATGACATATGACACAGAGAACCTTTTCACATGCTTATTTGCCGTGAGTACATCTTCTTTGGTGAGGTGTCTCTTAAGATCTTTGGCCCACTTTTCTATTGGGTGTTTGTTTTCTTGTTGTTGGGTTTTAAGAGTTCTTTGTACATTTTGGATAACAGTTCTTTACCATATGTGTGTCTTTTGCAATTTTTTTCCTCCCAGTCTCTGGCTTATCTTTTCATTCTCTTGACTGTGTCTTTCACAGAGCAGAAGTTTTTTACTTTTGAAGTCCAGCTTATCAATTATTTTTTTCATGGACCATGCTTTTGGTGTTGTATCTAAAAAGTCATCTTCTATGTTATATTCTAGGAGTTTTATAGATTTCCATTTTCCATTTAGGTCTATGATGTATTCTGAGTTAATTTTCCTGAAAGATGTGAGGTCTGTGTCTAGATTTATGTTTTTGCATGGGGTTGGCCAGTTGTTCCAGCATCATTTGTTGAAAAGGCTGTATTTTCAACACTGAATTGTCCTTGTTCCTTTATCAAGGATATGTCAACTATATCTGTGTGGGTCCCCTTCTGGGCTCTCTGCTCTCTTCCCTTGATCTGTTTATCTACCACACTGTCTTGGCAACTGTAGCCTTATAGTAAGTTTTGAAGTCAGATGGTATCTAATTTGTTTTTCTCCTTCAATTTCATGTTGCCCATTCTGAACTCCTTTGCTTCTCCATATAAACTTTAGATTCAGTTTGTTGATGTCTACTAACAACTTGCTGGCATTTTGATTGTATCTAATGTGTGGATCAAACCGGGAAGATCATGACAATCCATCTATCTATGAACACAAAAAATCTTTCTGTACATATATACATATTGTTAGATTTATAACTAAGTATTTTTTGTACACAATAGTATGTTTTTAATATAAATTCTAATTGTTCATTGCTGGTATATACAAAAGCAGCTGACTTTTGTATAATAACCTTATATCCTACAATCTTGATATAATCATTTAATAGTTCCAGGAGATTTTAATGTTGTTGATTCTTCGGGATTTATTACATAGACAATTACATATAAAAATGTGTGTGCATGTATGTGTGTATATACTATATATATATACTATATATATATACTATATATATATACTATATATATACTATATATATAGTATATATATACTATATATATACTATATATATTATATAAATACTATATATACTATAGTATATATATACTATATATATTATATAAATACTATATATACTATATATAGTATATATATAGTATATATAATATATATAGTATATACTATATATAGTATATACTATATATAGTATATACTATATATAGTATATATAATATATATAGTATATATATACTATATATAATTTATATAGTATATACTATATATAGTATATACATAATTTATATATACTATAAACTATATATATACTTATATATATATTTATATATATAATATATACTATATATTTATATATACTATATATACTATATATAATATATAATACATGTATATGTATATATAGTATATGTGTATATATGCTAATATATATAACTACCTATACAAGTACTACATATACAAGTATATATATAATTTTTTTTTCACTGTCACCCAGGCTGACAATCATGGCTCACTGCAACCTCTGTCTCCCAGGCTCAAGCAATCTTTCCAACTCATCCTCCCTTGTAGCTGGGACTACAGGTGCACGCCCCCCAACCAAGCTAATTTTTTGTATTTTTTTGTAGAGATGAGGTTTCCCCATGTTGCCCAGGCTGGTCTCAAACTCCTTGACTCAAGCTATCCACCTGCCTCGGCCTCTAGGATTACAGGCATGAGCCACTGCACCAAGCCTTTCCATATATTTAGATCTTCTTTGATTTTGTGCATAGGGAATTGTAGATTTCCTCATACAGATCTTATACATATTCTGTTAGATTTATATCTAATTTTTTTGGTGTTAACATAAACAATAGTATGTTTTTAATGTAAATTCTAATTGTTCATTGCTGGTATATAGAAAACCAATTGGCTTTTGTACAATAACCTCATATCCTACAATCTTGATATAATCATTTACTAGTTCCAGGAGTTTTTATTGTAGTTGATTCTTTGGGATTTATTTCATAGGCAGTGATGTCATATGCAAACAAAGTTTTATTTCTTCCTTCCTAATCTATATACCTTTTTTTTCTTTTCTTGCTTCTTGTATTACCTAGGATTTCAGTGCAATGTTAAATACAAGTGCTGAGAAGGGAAATCATTGGCCTTTTCCTATTGTTAGCAGGAAAGTTTATGGTTTCTCACCATAAATATGATGTTAGCCATTTTTGCAGATCTTCTTTATCAAGTTGAGAAAGTTTCCCTATATACTTAGCTTTCTATCTATCACTAATAGATGTTGAATTTTGTCGATAGTTTTACTGCATCTATTGGTATAATCATGTGATCTTTTTTTCTTCTTTAGCGTGCTGATGTGATTGTACTAATTGATTTTGAATGTTGAACCACTCTTGTAAACCTGGAGTAAATCCCACTGGTTCTAATGTAGAAACTCTTTGTATACATTGTTGCATTTTATTTGTTAATATTTTTGAGGATTTTGACATTTATATTCATTAGAGATACTGGTCTATGGATTTCTTTTCTTATAATGCCTTTGTCTGGTTTTGGTATTAGGGTAATTTTGGCCTCATAGAATGAATTAGGAGGTATCCCCACTGCTTCTGTTTTCTGGAAAAGATTATAGAGAATTGGTATGATTTACTCCTTAATTATTTGGTAGATCAAGATGGATAAAAGGCTTAAATGTAAAACCCAAAACTATAAAACCCTGGAATACAACCTATACAACACCATTCTGGACATAGGAACGGGCAAAGATTTCATGACGAAGATGCCAAAAGCAAACACAACAAAAGCAAAAATTGACATATGGGATGGAATTAAACTTAAGAGTTTCTGCAGAGCAAAAGAAACTATCAACAGAGTAAACAGACAACTTACAGAATGGGAAAAAATATTTGCAAACTACGCATCTGGCAAAAGTCTAATACACAGCATCTATAAAGAACTTAAACAAATTTACAAAAAAAAAAACCATTAAAAACTGGGCAAAGGACATGAACAGACACTTTTCAAAAGAAGACATACAGGCAGCCAAAAAGCATGTGAAAAAAAGCTCAGTATCTCTGATCACTAGAGAAATGCAAATTAAAACCACAATGAGATACCATCTCACATCAGTCAGAATGGCTATTATTAAAAAGCCAAAAAATGGCCAGGCACGGTAGCTCATGCCTGTAATCCTAGCACTTTGGGAGGCCAAGGCGGGTGGATCACGAGGTCAGGAGTTCAAGACCAGCCTGGCCAAGATGGTGAAACCCCATCCCTACTAAAAATACAAAAATTAGCTGGGTGTGGTGGGGGGCATGTGTAACCCCAGCTACTCAGAGGCTGAGGCAGAGAATTGCTTGAACCCGGAAAGCAGAGGTTGCAGAGATCGTGCCACTGCACTCCAGCATGGGTGGCAGAGTGAGACTCCGTCTCAAAAAAAAAAAAAAAAAAGCCCAAAAATAACAGGTACTGATGAGGTTGCAGAGAAAATGGAACACTTGTGCACTGTTGGTGGGAGTATAAATTAGTTTAATTACTGTGGAAAGTAGTGTGGTCATTCCTCAAAGAACTAAAAATAGAACTACCATTCGACCCAGCAATCCCACTACTGGGTATATACCCAAAGGAATATAAATTGTTCTACCATAAAGACACATGCATGTGTATATTCGTTGCAGCACTATTCAAAATAGCAAAGACCTGGAATCAACCTAAATGACCACTGTACATTGGATAAAGACAATGTGGTGTATATATACCATGGAATACCATGCAGTCATAAAAAAGAACGAGATCATGTCCTTTGCAAGAACATAGATGAAGCTGGAAGACATCATCCTCAGCAAACTAACAGAGGAACAGAAAACCAAATATTGCATATTCCCACTTATAAGTGGGAGCTAAGTGATGAAAACACATGGACACAAAGAGGGGAACCACAGACACTGTGGCCTACTTAAGGATGGAGGGTGGGAGGAGGGAGAGGATCAGAAAAAAATAAGTATTGGGTACTAGGCTTAGTACCTGGGTGATGAAATAATCTGTACAACAAACCCCCCACGACATAAGTTTACCTATATAACAAACCTGGACATGTACCCCTGAACCTAAAATAAAAGTTTAAAAAATTATTTGGTTGAATTCACCAGTGAATGAATCTGGGCCTGGTGCTTTCGGTTTTGGAAGGTTATTTTCTATTGTATTTCTTTAATAGCAATAGGTCTATTCCGATTATCTATTTCTTCTTGTGTGAGTTTAGGTAGATTGTGAATTTCAAAGAATTGGCCAATATCATTTACATTATCAAATTTGTGGACATAGAGTTGTTCATAATCTTCCTTTATTACCCTTTTCATGTCCATGGGATCAGCAGTGATGGCCTGTCTTTCATTTCTGATATTAGTAACTTGTGTCTTCTCTCTTCTTTTCTTAGCCTAGCTAGAGTTATATCAAATGCTATGGTTTGAATGTTTGTCCCTTCTCACATGAAACTTCATCCGCAGTGCAGCAGTGTTGAGAGGTAGAATCTTTGGAAGGTGACTGGGTCATGAGGGCTCTGCACTCATGAATGGATTAATTCATTCACAGATTAACCAATTAATGGGTTATTGAGGGAGTGGGCTACTTATCACAAGAGCGGGTCTGTTATGAAAGCCAGTTTGGCAGTCTCTTGTAAGCACTCTCACATGTGATGCCCTGCACCTCCTCAGAACTCTGCAGAGAAGACCCACCGGCCAGAAGGCCCGCACCAGAAATAGCACATGGACTTTGGACTTCCCAGCCTCCAGACCTGTAGGAAATAACTTTCCTTTCTTTATAAATTACCCAGTCTCAGGTACTCATTTATAGCAACAGTAAATGGACTGAGACATCAATTGTACTGATCTTTTCAAAGAATCAGCTTTTGGTTTTATTTTCTCTTTTGATTTCCTGTTTTCAATGCCATTGATTTCTGCTCTAATTATTATTATTTCTTTTCTTCTGTTTACTTTGAATTTAATTTGCTCTTCTTTGTCTAGTCTCCTAAAGTGGAAGTTTAGATTATTGATATTAGATATTTCTTCTTTTCTAATATATGCGTTTAATGGTATAAATCTCTCATTAAGCACTGTTTTTGCTGCGGTCCACAAATTTTGATAAGTTGTATTTTCATCTTCTCATAGTTAAAAAATATTTTTAAAATTTCTTTTGAGATGTCTTCCTTGGCCCATGTGCTATTCAAACATATATTGTTTAGGCTGTGTGCTGTGGCTCACACCTGTAATCCCAATGTTTTGGGAGGCTGAGACAGGAGGATTGCTTGAGCCTAAGTGTTTAAGACCAGCATTGGCAACATAGTCAGACCGCGTCTCTATAAAAAATTTAAAAATTAGCCAGGCATGGTAGCATGCCTCTGTGGTCCCAGCTACTCAGGAGACTGAGGCAGGAAAATTGCTTGAGCCCAGGAGTTCAAGGATGCCATAAGCTATGATTATGCCACTACACTCCAGCCTGAGAGATAGAGCAAGACCTCATTTCTAAAAATAAAATACAATAAAAGTATATTCTTAAAATATTTGGGGATTTTCCAGCTATCTTCCTGTTACTGATTTCTAGTTTAAGTTCATTGTGGTCTGAGAGCTTACTTTGTATGATTTTTATTCTTTTAAATGTGTTAAGGGTGTGTTTTATGGCCTGGAATGGTGAATGTTCCATGTCCCATGTAAGCTTGAGAAGAATGTGAATTCTACTGTTGCTGGGTGATGTATAATATAAATTTCAATTAGATCCATTTAGTTGATGGTGTTAGTTCTGTTATGTCCTTACTGATTTTCTGTCTGCTGGATCTGTCAGTTACTGACAGAGGGGTGTTGAAGTCTATAACTATACTGGCAGATTTGTTTATATCTCCTTGAAATTCTATCAGTTTTTGCCTCATGTATTTTGATGCTCTGTTGTTAGGCACATATACAGTAAAGATTGTTATATCTTCTTGGAGAATTGACTTCTTTATCATTACGTTGTGCCCCTCTTTATCCCTGATAATTTTCCTAGCTCTGAAGTCTACTTTGTCATAAATTAATATACCTATTCTAACTTTCCTTTGATTTCTGTTAGCATGGTGTGATAGTAGATTGGGGCTGTCAACTTGACTGGATTAAAAGATACTCAGATAGCTGGTAAAGGATCAATTATTCTCAGCGCGTCAGTAGGCACTGAGACCATCCCTCTTCTGCTCAAAGGGTTTGGCTTTTGATTAGAATAATTGGGTTGTCCCAGGTATGTCTATGAAGGTGTATCTGGGGGAGATTAGTGTGTGAGTCAGTGGACAAAGTGGGGAAGATCCAGATGTAATGTGAGTGGGCACCATCCAACTGACTGGGGGCCTGGATGGAAGGCAGAGGAAGGGTAAACTCTCTCACTTCCAGAGGCAAGATATCCATTTTCTCCTGCCCTTGGGTGTCAGAACTCTGAGTTCTCCAGCTCTTGCGCTCTGGGACTTACACCAGACCCCCTCTCCCCACCAGCTCTCAGGCCTTTGGTTCAGCCTGAGAGTTATACCATAGGCATCCTTGCATCTGAGGCCTTCAGACTTGCACTGAGCCAGCTACCAGCTTCCCTGGTTCTCCAGCTTGCAGACAGTCTATCATGGGAATTCTCAGCCTTCATAACAGAGTGAGCTAATTCCTCTAATAAGCCACTTGTCATCTATCAGTCTATCTATCTCCCATCAGTCTGCATTTCTGGAGAACCCTGACTAAAAGACATAACATATCTTTCTCCATCCTTTTAATCTATCTGTATTTTTATATTTAGGGTGGGTTTCTTGTACACAGCATATAGTTACATCTATTTTGCTTTAATTCACTCTGACAATCTCTATCTCTAAACTGGTGTATTTACCATTAAGATTTAAGTGATTATTGATAGTTGGATTAATATCTTCTATGCTTGTTACTATTTTATATTTTTGTCCTTGTTCTTCGTTTCTTTCTTGTCTTTCATTCTTTTTCTGCCTTCTGTCATTTTAATTGATTACTTTATGTAACTCCATTTTCTCACCTCTCAAAAAATCAATTATGTCCCTTTTTAGCTTTTTCTGGTCATTGCCCTTGAGTTTGCAGTATACACTTACAACAAGTCCATGTTCAAATTACACTATACCACTTCATCGCAGGTGATGCACATACCTTACAGCAGAGTATTCCCAATGCTCCCATCCCTTGTAATGTTACTTTTCCTTATTTAATTTACCCATAAGCTATAACTACCTAATACATTATTGTTGTTTCTATTGTTATTTTGGACAAACAGGTATCTGTTGGGTCAATTAAGAATCTTAAAAATACTTTATTTACTTTATTTTACCTTGATTTATTTCTCTCTAACACTCTTCCTTTCTTTAAGTAGATCCAACTCTCTTTTTATGTCATTTTCCTTCTCTCTGAAGATTTTTTTTTTAACATTTCTTGCAATGTCACCAGTGACAAATTCTCTCAACATTTATTTGTCTGAGAAAGTCTTTATTTATCATTCAGTTTTAAAGGACAATCTTGCTGGATACAAAATTCTACATTGGTGTTTTTGTTCTTTCAGCACGAAATCTTTCACTTCACTCTCTTCTTGCTTGTATGGGTCTCAAGAGAAATCCGGTATAACACTATCCTTGCTCCTCTATATATAAAGTGCTTTTTACTTCTGACTTCTTTCAAGGTTTTCTTTCTGTCTTTGATTTTCTGCAGCTTGAATGTGATATGCCCAGGGATAGATTTTTGTAGTACTGATCCTGCTTGGTGTTCTCTGAGCTTCCTGTACCTGTGGTATGCTATCATTAATTTTGAGAAATTCGCAGTCATTATGGCTTCCAGTATGTCCCCTGTCCCTTTCTGTCTTTCTGCTCCCTCTGATATCACCTTTATACATATATTAAATCTTTGGTAATTTTCTCGTATTTCTTGGATATTCTGTTCCGTCATTTTCATTGTTTTCTCTCTCTTCATTTCCATTTTGGAAGTTTCTACTGACATTTCTTCAAGCTCGCTGATTCTTTCTTTGGCTGGGTCCTGCCTCTTGATCAATCAAATAAAAGGCATTCTTCATTTCTAGTATAGTGTTTTCTTTATTTCTAGCATATCCTTTTGATTATTATTATTATTATTATTATTATTAACTTAATTTTTTTGAGACAGTCTTCCCTCTGTCACCTGGGCTGGAGTGCAGTGGCATGATCTCAGCTCACTGCAGCCTCCGCCTCCTGGGTTCAAGTGATTCTCTTGCCTCAGCCTCCCGAGTAACTGGGATTACAGGCACCTGCCACCATCCCTAGCTAATTTTTGTATTTTTAGTAGGGACGGGGCTTCCCCATGTTGGTCAGGCTGGTCTCAAACTCCTGATCTCAAATGATCTGCCCGCCTCAGCTTCCCAAAGTGCTGGGATTATAGGCGTGAGCCACTGCGCCCGGCCTATTTTTTATTTGGTTTGGTTTTGTTTTTGAGATGAGGTCTCACTCTGTCACCCAGGCTGGAATGCAGTGGCGCAATCACAGCTCACTGCAGCCTTGACCACCAGGCTCAAGTGATTCTCCTGCCTCAGCCTCCCAAGTAGCTGGGACCACAGGCATGCACTACCATGTCTGGTGACTTTTTTTTTTTAAGAGAGGAGGTCTCACTATAGTGCTTAGGCTGGTCTTGGATTCCTGAGTTCAAACAATGTTCCTGCCTCAGACTCCCAAAGTGCTGGGATTACAGACATAAGCCACCACACATGGCCTGAATATTATTATTATTATTATTACTATTATTATTACTGTTAGGAGTTTAGGAGTGGAGGTTTAATAGGTAAAAAAATAGGAAAACAGCTCTCTGTCTACTGTGAGAGAGGGGACTTCTGAGAGGAAAAGGCCTTGATTATTGTCTTTTAATCCACACAAAGTATAAGTCATTTATTTCTCTTCTAGCCCTGGGCTCAGTATATAGACGGCTTCTCTTCACCCTTTGGGTTAACAATTTTCTCCAGGTTGCTTCTGAAATTATGATAAAGCTCAGCATAGAAAGCCCTCAGTTCAAGCACGGTGTCCCCGATCTCCCCATAGGTGCCTCATCTTGCCTGTGCACCAAGGCCTGGTAATAATCCATTACATGAATTTCCTTGGAGGCCTTGGCCACAGCATCTCCATGTTCTGAGAAGTACTTGGACGTGGTTGTCTGGAACCACTTTGGTCTTGACTGCCTTTATCCTCTCCAGCACCTTCTCCCGGAGTGATATCCCAAAATAATGTCCATCCTCAATCTTGGGGATCAGATGCTGGATCCATGTGATCACCAGAATGCATTTCTCTTTGAGAGTCCAGACTTCTGTCTTATCCAGGGGAACAGGAAAAGGACCTTCTCATGCCAGGGAGACTTCTTTCTCCTCCTGCTTATCTGTTTCCAACTCATCATCCTTGGATAGAGGGTCTGGGATGGGGATTTCAGTGGCACTCAGAGGGAGGTCAGATCAGCCACATTGAAGGACTCCTTTTGCAAGAGCTGATTCAGATATATGACTTTCTGTGGCAAGAATCTGTAGGGGAATTCCTCAGCCTCCTGGAAAAGATTTTGCCTGAAGACCTCCGCCTGCTTGCAGGCCTTCCCGCTCAGATGCACTCCACAAGGCTGGGCCATGCTGCTCCAGGTGCTACATCTCTGGTCTCCTGGCTAGTCCTGATTCTTTATTAAAGTCCCCATCTCTCTGCTTATATTATGCATCTGTTCTTGCATGTTTTTCACTTTTGTCCATTAGAGGCCTTAACACGTTAAATAGTTATTTTAAATTCCTGTCAGCAATCCAAAATCTCTACAATATCTGGGTCTGGTTATGATGCTTGTTCTGTCTCCTCAAATTGTTTTTTGTCTTTCAATTTGCCGTGTAATTTTTTGTTGAAGGGTGGATACAATGTACTGAGTAAAAGGAATCTGCATCTTGCTGCTGCAGTGGGCTTCTGCTCCAGTAAGCAATTTTTTTTTTTTCAATCAGGGTCTCTCTCTGTCAACCAGGCTGGAGTGCAGTGGCACAATCTTGGCTCACTGCAACCTCCACCTCCTGGGTTCAAGCAGTTTTCTTGCCTCAGCCACCCGAGTAGCTGGGATTACAGGTGTGTGCCACCACACCCGGCTAATTTTTGCATTTTTAGTAGAGACAGGATTTCGCCACATTGCCCAGGCTGGCCTCCAACTCCTTGGCTCAAGCAATCCACCCACTTCGACCTCCCAAAGTGCTGGCATTACAGGCATGAGCCACCGCTCCTGGCCTCTAGTAAGCTTTGATTCTGTGTATGGGCTTGTCTCACCAATTGCAGGTGAAGTGTCTTGCCTTGTGACCTCAATCATCTGACTGATAAAGAGTTGTTGATTTTCAGTTTCTGCAGGATTTTTCTTTTCTTTTTTTTTTTTTTTTTTTTTTTTTTTTTTGAGACTGAGTCTCCCTCAGTCGCCCAGGCTGGGAGTGCAGTGGCGCGATCTCGGCTCACTGCAAGCTCCGCCTCTCGGGTTCACGCCATTCGCCTGCCTCAGCCTCCTGAGTAGCTGGGACTACAGGTGCCCGCCACCACGCCCGGCTAATTTTTTTTGAATTTTTAGTAGAGACGAGGTTTCACCGTGTGAGCCAGGATGGTCTCGATTTACTGACCTCGTGATCCACCCGTCTCGGCCTCCCAAAGTGCTGGGATTACAGGCGTGAGCCACCACGCCCGGCCTCTGCAGGATTTTTCTTGTTGTGAGAATAAAAGTCTAGCATCTCAGATAAGAAACTAGAAGCTTTCTCACTGAATCCCAATTATGTAACATTTATGTTACATACAATTATGTGTATATACACACAATAAATATAAAGGTGTCTAATTTATTTTTAAAAGACTCTAGAAAGATATACACCAAAATGCTAATATTTTTGATATTTGTTGAGCAGATGGTGTAATCATCTATGTAGAAGGTCTAAAACAATCAACAAAAAAACTGGAACTGATAAGCAATTGTAGCAAAGTTGCAAGATACAAGGTTAATATACAAAAGTCCATTGCTTTCCTGTATAGCAACAATGAATAAGTGGGATTTATAATTAAAAACACAATACAATTTACATGAGCACCCACGAAATGAAATCTTTAGGTATAAGTCTAACAAACACATCCAAGATCTATGTAAGGAAACCTACAATTTTTTTGATGAACAAAATCAAAGAAGAGCTAAATAAATGAAGAAATATTCCCAAGTTCATGGATTGGAAGACAATATTGTCAAGATGTCAGTTCTTCCCAACTGGATCTATACATTCGACACAATCAAAATCCCAATCAAAATGCCAGCAAATTGTTTGTGGATATCAACAAATGAAATCTAAAGTTTATATGAAAAGCCAAAAGACCCAGAATAGGCAACGTGAAATTGAAGGAGTAGAACAAGTCAGATACTTCCTGACTTCAAGATTTACTATAAAGCTATGGTTGTCAAGACAAACAGATCAAGGGAAGAAAACAGAGAGCCCAGAAAGAAACACACATAAATATAGTCGAATTATCTTTGATAAAGGAGCAGGGAAATTCAATGCTGAGATTATTTTTTTTTTTTGAGATGGAGTCTCACTCTGTTGCTCAGGCTGGAGTGCAGTGGCATAATCTCAGCTCACTGCAACCTCTGCCTCCCGGGTTCAAGTGATTCTCCTGCCTCAGCCTCCCAAGTAGCTGGGATCACAGGTGCATGCCACCATGCCCAGCTAATTTTTTGTATTTTTAGTAGAGATGGGGTTTCACCATGTTGGCCAGGATGATCTTGAACTCCAGACCACGTTAGCCAGGCTAGTTTGGAGGTCCTGACCTCAAGTGATCTGCCCACCTGCTTCCCAAAGTGCCGAGATTACAGGCGTGAGCCACTGCGCCTCGCTAAGACACTTTTTAAATTCCCTTTTGATACCTTCTTTGAGCCAATGGTTGTTCTGGAGTGTGTTTTGTTTCCACATATTTGTGAATTTTCCTGTTTTCTTGCTGTTATAGGTTAGTAGTTACATTTCATTGTGGTTGAAAAAGGTACTTAGAATTATTTTGAACGTCTTAAATTTGTTAAGACTCATTTTGTGGCCTAATATGTGATCTATCCCAGAGAATGTTTTGTGTGTGCCTGAGAAAAATGTGCATACTTCTGCTGTTGGATAAGAAGTTCTGCATATGGTGGTTAGGTCCATCTTTTCCATAGTGTTGTTCAAGTCAGTGTTTCTTTATTGATTTTCTGTCTGGATGTTCTATCACTTATTGTTAAGTGAGGTATCAAAGTCCCCTACTATTAATGTATTGCTGTCAATTCCTGTCCTCAGATCTGTCAATATTTGCTTTATATATTCAGGTGCTCTGATGTTGAGTGTGTATATGATTGTTATATTGTTATATTTTCCTGTAGAACTGACCTTTTTATCACTATAAAATGATCTTCCTTGTGTCTACAGACAGTTTTAGACCTAAAGTCTATTTTGTCTGATATAAGTATAGCCCCCTCTGGTTTCTTTTGGTTACTATTTGCATAAAATATCCTTTTCTATCCCTTTACTGTCAACCTACATGTGTCTTTAATTCTAAAGTGTATCTATTCATTTTGTACACTTTGTATTAAAATTCACAGAAAAGCTGTCTTCTCAAAAGGACTTTTAGAAGTAAAATGATAACATCACGTCCAAGTGACACATGTACTTATATCCATCAGATTGGCGGTGGAGAGGAACTGGAAGAAATGGAGGATTCTAGACCAGAACAATATAGATGATACTTTCAGATATAACCGTTGTTACATGTGTAGCTTATTCAATACTACTGTGTATATAGTAGACGAACTTAAGTCCTTATATGAAACATCTAGTCTGTCCAGGTGTTTAGAAGTGCACAAAGTATATTAAACGTAGTGGTAATAAAGAACACACTTTGTAAATATCCTTTTGTAAAATTCATATGAAATATTGTCTTTTGGAAATTGAATGATCACACCACTTCTCTGAGCAGTACACATTACTATATTCATGCTGGTTCAGGGAGAAAGGAGGAGAAGGAATTCCAAAGGGTTTGATACCAGTGTGTGTATGGTGAGGCACAATTGGCTACTGTCCCTTATGTCCATGCATTGTCTTTTACTTGGCTATGTTTATACCATACATAAAGGACAAGCAAGTCCTGATTTAAAACATCTAGTCCTTCTAGATGTTAAAGAGGTCGCCAGCATATGACAAAAGTAGGGTTAGTAAACTAATACATTGAGTCTGTTTTGTGTTAAAATTCATAGAAAAGACTGTTCTTTTGTTTGTGAAAATCCCTGCTAAGTACTATAGATGCTTATATCTGTCCATTGGGTTGACAGAAGTAGGAAGGAAAAAGGTTCTAGGCTAGAATGTTCCTATTTAAAAGATACTTTCAGGCTGGGTACAGGGCTCATGCCTGTAATCCTAGCACTTTGGAAGGCCAAGGCAGGTGGATCACCTGAGGTCAGGAGTTCAAGACCAGCCCGGCCTGAAAGTATCTTTTAAATAGGAACACCCTGAGCAAACAATGTATGATAAAAAGTAGAGCTAGTGGCCAGGCGCGGTGGCTCACGCCTGTAATCCCAGCACTTTGGGAGGCCGAGGTGGGCAGATCACCTGAAGTCGGTAGTTCGAGACAAGCCTGACCAACATGGTGAAACACTGTCTCTACTAAAAATATAAAATTAGCTGGGCGTGGTGGCACATGCCTGTAATCCCAGCTACTTGGGAGGCTGAAGCAGGAGAATCGCTTGAACCCTGGAGGCAGAGGTTGTAGTGAGCCAAGGTCCTGCCATTGCACTCCAGCCTGGGCAACAAGAGCAAAACTCCATCTCAAAAAAAAAAAAACCAAGGTAGAGCCAGTGAATTAGCCAATTCATAAATATCTTCTTATAATTGATACAAAAAATGAAGCTTGGATACAGAATTGTTAACCTATCCCTGAGCAGTGTATATCAGGACTTGTTAGGTAGGCAGCAGAGGAGCAGAAGGAAGTGTGAAGGGAGAGATGTATGCAGATGTGTTCATATTTACATTTTGACTGTAGCCAACTGACGTATGTGCATCTCTTTGGCTGAACTGCAAGAGTAAATTGAGTAATTCAATGGAAATATACCTCCTTGCTAACATTTGAATGGTATAGATCTGATAATGAATTATCTTAGACACTATACTTGGTGTACTCTGTTGCTTTATGTTTCAGTTTAAATTGAACATTAAGGAAATGCAGTATTTTAATTGGAATTCTGCCAATACCTTTATCTAGAGGAGCGTTGCCATTTTTGTCTTCTATGAAATTTTTGTCCCAAAAGAGGTGGGATTATACTTTTTTCTAACAGATTGAGCTGGTGTCATGTATTTTTAGTTATCAAAATATTCATATCACTTTGGAATTTTAAATTGGTAAATATTCATGATGTGTGAAAAAGCATGATACATACATACTGTATGCTCTCAATCCAATAAAACTGGATGTTGTGTCTAAACACACACAGGACCTAGAAGGACACAGCAAACTGTAAGCTGCTTGTGATTGTGGACAACTTTGTTCTTTGCTTCTTGTGTTTTTCACTTTCCTATAATGCATGTATTAACTTTTTAAAAATAAAAGTTAGGCCAGGTGTGGTAGCTCACTCCTGTAATCCCAACACTTTATGAGGATGAGGCAGAAGGATCACCTGAAGCCAGAGTTTAAAACATACCTGAGAAACAGAGTGAGACCCCATCTCTACAAAAAAATTAAAAATTGTAATAGTTGGGCACAGTGGTACATGCCTGTAGCCCGAACTACTCAGAAGGCAGAGGCAGGAAGACAACTTGAGCCCACGAGGTTGAGGTTCCAGTGACCTATGATCATGCCACTACACTCCAGCCTGGGCAACAGAGCAAGACTGCCACCTCAAAAAAAAAAAATTTTTTTAATATGGGAATTTTTAAAAACCTGGAAACAATAAATAAAGTGTATCTATTATAGACAGCATATGACTTGATCTTGTTTTTTATACATTCAGTCACTCTATACCTTTTGTGGGTTTTTTGTTGTTTTGTTTTTGAAACAAGGTCACTCAGACTGTCACCCAGACTAGAGTTCAGTTGCTAGCTTGGCTCACTGCAGCCTCAACCTCCCAGCCTCAAGCGATTCTCCCACCTCAGCCTTCCTAGTAGCTAGGACTGCAGACATGCACAACCACACCTGGCTAATTTTTAAAATTTTTTTGTAGATATGGGGTTTCCCTATGTTAAAGACATAGTTTGAGCCCAGACTGGTCTCAAACTCCTGGGCTCAAGCAATCTTCCCACCTGGGCCTCCCAGATTGTTGGGATTACAGGCATTAGCCACCACACCCAGCCTCTACACCTTTTGATTGGTGAGATTAATCCATTTACATTTAAGTAATTATTAATGAGGATTTACCATTGCCATTTTGTTAATTATTTTCTATTTGTCTTGCATTGTTTTAACTCTTGTTTTCTCGCTGTCTTTGTTGTTTGATGATTTTTGTAGTAATATGCTTTGATTTTTCATCTCTTGTGTATCTGTTACAGGTTTTTTTCTTTGCTATTAGATAAAGGCTTGTGTAAAATATCTTACAGTTTTTAACCTTCTATTTTAAGTTCAAATGTATAAAAAAACACTACCATTTTACTCCCCCACACAAGCACTTTGTATTCTTGTAGACAAAGAATGCTTCTTTTTATATCATATATCCATTAGCGACATTTTCTCTATTAACTTTTACATTGGGGTTAAAAGTAATTTACATACCATCTTTACAGTGTTACATGAATCTGTCTGCATCTATATATTTACCTTTCCCTGTGTGATTTATGCTTTCATATGCTTATGTGTGTGTGTTGCTGTTTAGGATAATTTTATTTCAATTTGAAGAAGTCTCTGAAGCATTGTTTGTTTCAGATAGAAGAAACAAAAAGACATGACAAGTAAATGATAAGTAAGTTAGGTCTAGTGGTAATGAACTCCTCATTTTTGTTTGTTTGAGAAAAACTATCTCTCCATCAATTTTAAAGGATAATTTTGCCTGGCATAGTACTCCTGATTAAAAGTTGTGTTTTGTTCAATATTTAGAACATATCATCCAACTGTCTCCTAGTCTGCGAAGTTTCTGCCAAGAAATCCACTAATATTCTTACAGAAATTCTCTTAAAAATGACAAATCACTTTTCTCTTGCTGCTTTGAAAATTCTTTATTTGTCCTTAACTTTCGACAACTTGAATAAAATGTGTCTTGGTGTGCAGAAGATTCCCAACATGGTGTTTTGACTTAAGATTTTTTGACTTTATGATGGGTTTATCTGGACTTAACTCCATCACAAATTGAGGAGCATCTGGACTTATGATGGTTCAACTTACAATTTTTTGACTTCCTGATGGCTTTATTGGGTATTAAATATATTTCCTTTTTTTTTTTTTTTTGAGACAGAGTCTCACTCTGTCACCAAAGCTGGAGTGCAATGGCATGATCTCAGCCCACTGCAACCTCTGCCTCCCGGGTTCAAGCAATTCTCCTGCCTCAGCCTCCTGAGTAGCTGGGATTACAGGCATGTGCCACCATGCCTAGGTAATTTTGTATTTTTAGTAGAGAAAGGATTTCACCATGTTAGCCAGGCTGGTCTCGAACTCCCAACTTCAGGTGATCTGCCTGCCTTGGCCTCCCAAAGTGCTAGGATTACAGGTGTGAGCCACCATGCCTGGCCTAAATATATTTTCAACTTACAATATGTTCAACTTACAATGGGTTTATCAGGACATCCATTGTTAAGGAGCACTTGTAGTCTTCCGTGGTTGATCCTATTTGGGGATCTTTGAGATTCAGAAATCTGGATGTCCATTTCCCTCCAACAATCTGTGGAAAGTTTTCAGCCATTATTTATTTAAATGAGCTTTCTACCCCTTTCTCTCTTCTCCTTCTAGAACTCTTATAATATGTGCATTGGTTCACTTAATGGTGTCCTATAAATCCTGTAGTCTTTTTTCACTTTTTTCATTTTTTTATCCTCTGACTAAATAGTATTAAATGGCCTGTCTTCAAGTTTACCGATTTTTTTTTCTTATGCTTGATCAAGTCTACTGTTGAAGCTGTTTACTGAATTTCTCATTTCATTCATTGCACTCTTCAGCCCCAGAATTTCTGAGGTTTTAAGATTATTTTATCTCTTTGTTGAACTTCCCATTATGTTTGTGCATTGTTTTCCTGATTTAATTGGGTTGTCTACTTGTGTTCTCTTGTAGCTCACTAAGCTTCCTTAAAACAATTATTTTGATTTCCCTGTCAGGCAATTTGTAGATTTTCATTGCTTTAGGGTCAGTTATTGAAAAATTATTGTGTCCTTTTGGTGGTTTTATGTTTCCTTGATTTTTTGTTTGTTTGTTTCTTATAGCCATATGTTGGTGTTGGTGTCTATGCACTTGTGGAAACAGTCACTTCTTCCAGACTTAAGACTGGCTTCAGTGGGGAAAGACCTACACCTGCAGGTGGGTGTGAGGGTGTTGGCTGGGTGGAGTGTAGCGATCCTACTCTGGCAGGGCGGGGAAGGTAGCAATAGTTCTGCCTTCAGGAAGGGCATGGTGGTGTAGTTTCCATGGAGCTCTGTCTGCTGAGGTCAGACAAAAATTAGCCGGACGTGGTGGTGCATCCCTGTAGTCCCAGCTACTCGGGAGGCTGAGGCAGGAGAATCACTTGAACCCAGGAGGCAGAGGTTGCAGTGAGCTAAGATCACACCACTGTACTCCAGCCTAGGCAACAGAGTGAGACTCTGTCTATAAATAAATAAATAACACTTTCAAATTAGAGCCTTTATTACATGTGTACCATTTATTCAACGTTACTGTGTATGTAGTGGAAAACTTAGGCACTATTTGAAAAATCTAGTCTTTCTAGATGTTTAAAAGTGCACAACGTATGCTAAAAGTAGAGGGCTACAGTAACACCGTTTAAATATTTTTTTGTTATCTCACAGGAGTGGTTGAATTTGGGAAAGGAATTGTGAAACTGGATGTTTTGATGCTGACTATTCACTGGGTGGTGCTGGGCAGGGGGAGAGGGAACCATGCAGAGAGAAGGGTTCTGTACCCATAAGCTAAATTAGTTCAGATTGTCTAACCAATTGTTTTATATGTGCATTTTAGTTAATATTCCTGTGTATTAAAGGCTAAGCAAGTCCTAATGCCTAAAATATGTTAAAAGTAGAGGTAGCTAAGCAATTTAATGCAGAAACAGAAAACAAAATTCTGTGTGTTCTCACTTATTAGTGGGAGCTAAACATTGAGTACAAGTGGACATAAAGATGGGAACAACAGACACTGGGAACTACTAGAAGGGGGAGGGATGGAGGGGAGCAAGTGCTGAAAAACATTGTTGGATTCTATAGTGGTCCTTAGTGGCCAAGGTTGCAGAGGGCTGTTGATGTGATGAGGGTTGTTGGGGTCCTTGGTGTTAAAGGCTACTGGGGCCCAGTGGTCTTCTTTTATCTCACTGGGGGAATGTCATGCCCAAGAAAATCCCTCTTTGCAACAGGTCTGGCATGTAAATACACTCACTGCAGTGACTGTGCTGGTGTCTGAGGCATGGAACATGCACAGTAGCCACAGAGCTAGGCTCTGGAGCATGCACGTGATTGTGGGAAGGAGGTAGTGGCTTTGGCCCTGAAGGAGGGCAGGACACAGTGGTGGTTCTTACTCCTGTGGAAACATAATAGCAGCTCCTTCCTCAAGGCAGGAACATCTTTGTAGACTCCAGGAAGCTTCATTACACGGGCTCAACATCACTGAAGACCATGGGGAGAAAGCTGTTAGTGTTCCTTGGCAGTGATGAGGACCACTGAGGTCCTCCCGCTCCCTTTTTCCCCCACAGGGAGAGGTCATGCCAAGGGATCGCTCTTGGTACCTACCTATACCAGACTGAGGGAGGGGTAGCATAGGTTAAAATGCTTCCTACACTTTTCTATGTGGTCATCCTCAGTTTTCATGCTCCACTGGGTTACTATAGTTCCTTTATTGTACTCCAGAGCTCTCCCATAACTATTTTCATTGGCAAGTAGCTGTTTGTTCATTGTTTTTGTTGGGGAGATAAGCACTGGTGCCTCCTAGTCCACCATCTTGCTGACATCACTCCTCCTCAATAAGTATAAAATTTTTCTTAATTGACATTACAGTGAATCGATCTGACAGCTACCTCCTTTATCAAGTGACCAGAGTTAAGATGACAAGTAATGGGATAAATTGACATCCTGCACTTCATGATAGGATTCTCCCAGAAGATCCAGCATTGCTTCAGATATAGTCATGACAAAAATGTATAAATCATGAAGCAACATCGGATGATTCCAAACTGAGAGGCAGTCTACAAAATAACTGGCCTGTAGTTTTCATTAAGTGTTAAGGTTATATGAGCCAAGGAAAGATGAACGCTTCCAGATAGAAGGAAAAAATACACGACAAGTAAATGATAATCCTGACTTGAATGTTGGACCTACTAAAGAATGTTATTGGATAATTGGTGAAATTTGAACAAAATCTGGGGATTAGAGGGTAGTATTGTATCAATGTGAATTTTCTGATTTTGATGGTTTCACTTTGGTCATGAAGAAAAGTAATCTTGTCTTTTATGAAATATACACTGAAGTATTAAGGGGAAATGGGGCATCATATCTGCAACTTACTCTCGAATGAGAAAAAATATACAGTTGTGTGTGTGTGTGTGTGTGTGTAGAGAGAGAATGATAGTAAGGTCAATGCAGTAAAATGCCAACAATGCAGGAAACTAGGTGAAAGGTCTACAAAAATTCTGCATCATTTTTGTAACTTTTCTTTATATTTTAAATTTCTCCAAAAGATAGTTTTTAAAAAGCTTTAAAAGCACAAGCAATTTTTTTCTACACAATATTGGATAAATAATAGCAAACGTTATAGGTAGATATGACAAAAACTAGCAAATGACTGGAGTTTGGGACCCCATGCTGAATCATCCTGCAGCTCCTGAACTTGTCTTGATTTTGCAGCAAGCGAAGGCAGCCTTCCCAGAATAGGCTCCACTAAATAGGAACGTGGAGGGTCAAAGCCATTCCTCAGCTTCTCCCAGAACATTTGACTTTGATTTCATTACCCAAATATTTAGGCAGTAATAATGATAATGGCAGTAATAATATTACCTAACCAACTCTGTAGGAATTACCTATACTTCCTAATAGCCCTTTGACATTAATTTAGCCATAAACTAATCTATTTAAGTCACTCATCAGAAAATCAAATTTTTAAGGCTTTCTACTTAAAAAAAAAAATCCGTATTATTTACCATAACCTCCATTTATATACTTGTCAGTTGGGAAGGAAGTGTCAGATTCAGTAGACATTTTCTCACCTATTCCCAAATAGAGTCCCTCTGGTGGCCGAGTCAAGATGTAGCTCATTTGCATCACCCTCACCATTCTCTCACTGCCTTTCCCATCAATACAGCTGCAATTCAGAATCTTGCCCTTCATTATTTCTCTATAATTTGCAAATGTCTCTCTTTTGTCTCTGGTATGCTTCCTTAAGACTTACTTACAGATTCCTCTTCATTCAAACACAATTTATTCCCTTTCATAAATTCACTATTCATGTCATGCCCACCTAATAATTTACTGTTTTGTTTGTTTGTTTGTTTGTTTTTGAGATGGAGTCTCTCTCTGTCACCCAGGCTGGAGTGCAGTGGCATAATCTCGGCTCACTGCAACCTCCGCCTCCTGGGTTCAGGCGATTCTCCCTTTTCAGCCTCCTGAGTAGCTGAGATTACAGGTGTGTGCCACTACCCCTGGCTAATTTTTGTATTTTTAGTAGAGACGGCGTTTCACCATGTTAACCAGGCTGGTCTCGAACTCCTGACCTCAGGTGATCCAACCGCCTCAGCCTCCCAAAGTGCTAGGATTATAGGCATGAGCCACCATGCCTGGCCTATAATTTACTTTTTAAAAAACACATTATGAGCCAAACACAGTGGCTCATGCATGTAATCCCAGCACTTTGGGAGGCTGAGCCCAGAAGTTTGAGATAAGCCTGGGCAATATGCTGAAACCTCATCTCTACCAAAAATACAAAAATTAAGGTTGGGTGCATTGGCTCACACCTGTAATCCTAGCACTTTGGGAGGTCGAGGCAGGAGGATTACTTGAGCCCAGGAGTTCAAGACTAGCCTGGGCAACTTAGCAAGACTCTGTCTCTAGAAAAAAAAAAAAAAAGGAAAAAGATACAAAAATTAGCTGGGCATGGTGGCATGTACCTGTAGTGCCAGCCACTTGGAAGGCTGAGGCTGGAGGATCACCTGAGCCTGGGAAGTTGGGGCTGTGGTGAGCCATGATCACACCACTGCACTCCAGCCTGGGTGACAGAGTGAGACCCCATCTCAAACACACACACACACACACACACACACACACACACACACAACCCATAGAGAGCTTATAATTTTGATGGGAAGAAAGTCGTATTAATTTGTAACAATACTTTACAAGGACAACGCCACTGTTTGTTAACATGAGTTTCTGTTGTTGCCACAGAATATACTGCACTATGTCCTGGCACGTTCATTTCAAAGCAATGTCAGCAAATTAACAATATCATCTTGACCAGCTCATCTAAGTAGATAATAATTAGTTTGCATCCCAGTTCATAACACTGTTGCACATGCTCCCTACACTGAAAAAAAAAATATATATATATATATATATCAGTCTGTTTTGTATAAACGGGCCCAAACATAGCATGCTTTTCTGTTTATTGTTTCCACTGCAATCTCTGTACTTACGTTCCGTGAAATGAATTCAAGTTTCAAATGAGAGCAGAAAAAGGTCATGAAACATCAGAGTATGACCTCTATGGAAAATCTCTAGTTGGGTTTTTCTTATGTGCCAGCCCGTGCTCCAAAACTTTATATGTATGACATATTTAAATCCCCTAAACAATCCTCATGTTATGGACTGGATTTTCATGTTCCCCTAAAATTCACATGGCCAAATCTAATCCCTATTGTGATGGTATCTGGAGGTAGGGCCTTTGAGAGGTGATCAGGTCATGAGGGTGGGGCCCTCACACTGCAGTTAGTTCCCTTGTGAGAAGAGAACAAAGAGCTAATTCACACTCCTTCTGTCACACAAGGAGAAAAGAAGTACAAAGTCTGCAATGTGGAAGAAGTCCTTCAACAGAACCCAATCATGCTGGCACCCTGATCTCAGACTGCCATCCTCCAGAACTGTGAGAAATAAATATTTGTTGTTTAAGCCACCCAATCTATGACAATTTTTTATGGCAGCTTGGACTAAGACACATAATGATGTAGACACTGTTCTAACCCTAATTTAAGTGATGAGGAAACAGTCATAGAAATGCTGTAGCTAGATAAAATACAAGATTTGGGATGGTTGTGGTGGCTCATGCCTATAATCCCAGTGTTTTGGGAGGCTGAGGTGGGAAGATTACTTGAGGTCAGGAGTTAGAGACCAGCTTGGACAACATAGACCCCATCTCAACAAAACATAATAATAAAAATTAGCCTGGCATGGTGGCCGATGCCTGTAGTCCTAGCTACTTAGGAGGTTAAGGCAGGAGGATAACTTGAGCCCAGGAGTTCAAGGCTGCAGTGAGCTATGATTGTGCCACTGCATTCCAGCCTGGGTGAGAATGAGACCCTGTCTTAAATAATAATAATAATAATAAATAAAATAAAAAAATACAGTGTGTCCTATATTTTCATTTGATAAAAGTGGCAACCCTACATAGAAAAAATAAGTAAGTTGACCAAGGCCACACAGCCACACAGCTGTTAGCAGTGGTAACTGGCTCCAGAGCTCACAATTTTATCTTGGAAATCCTGTAAGAAGTAAATGAGAGGCAGGGCATGGTGGCTTATGCCTACAATCCTAGTATTTTGGGAGGGTAAGGGGGGTGGATCATTTGAGCCCAGGAGTTCGAGACCAGCCTGGACAACATTTCTACAAAATGTAGCCAAGTGTGGTGGTATGCCCCTGTAGTCCCAGCTACTTGGGAGGCCAAGGTGGGAGGATCACTTGAGCCTAGGAGATGGAGGCTCCAAGGAGCCAAGATGGCACTACTGCAATCCAGCATGAGTGACAGAACAAGACTCAGTCTCAAAAATAAAAAAAATATTAAGTGAAATAGTCCATATAAATGGCTTAGCACGGTGTCTGGTATCTAGGAAGGATTCACCCACTAGTTGTCACTAATAATTCCAATAACCAGTCTTGTTGTTGCTCATTGAACTCCTCTGTTCCTAAGATCTTCAATATCCTTAACAGCCCACTACCATTTCATTCCTTGGACCTTCAAAGCCCATGGACTTCCCAGCTTCTTCCCAATTCCTAACTCCTAAGCTCTTCCATTCCTCTCCTCCCACACTGTTACTCATTCTCACCAGACCTGCTTTTCAGTTGCATTAATTAAGACCCTCTTGTCACTAGGCTGTCACTGGGTTCCCCCATCAGTCCCTGCCACCGCAGCAGCACGTCACTTCTTGCAAGCCTCAATTCTTCTACCATCTTTTCTCCATCTGGGATCTCCAGGAGTCCTCTCAACCTCTTCACCTGAGAACATTTGACAGCTGTGGTCATTGACTTCACTCCCGATGCAGCCTTTTTGGCACCAGTGGTTTCTCTAATGCTGTGTGGCAATGTTTTGTCTCTAGTTTCTTGCCATCTCCTAAAATGCTTTTGCTAATCAATAAATGGAGCTGGGACAACTGGACATCCACAGGCAAAATAATGAAGTTAGACCCCTGTCTCATACCACATAGAAAAATTAACTCAAAATGGATCCAAAATCTACAGGTAAAAGCAAAAACTATGAAACATCCAGGAGAAAACACAGGGGTAAGTCTTTGTGACCTTGGAATAGGAAATACGCTCTTAAATAGGATACCAAAAGTACAAGCAACAAAAGAAAAGATAGATAAGTTACACTTTGTCAAAATTAAAAGCATTCATACGTCAAGGACACTATCAGGAAAGTGAAAAACAATCCACAGAGCAGGAGAAAAAAATAATATATATTAAGGATGTAGTATCCAGAATATATAAAGAACTCTTACAGCTCAACCACAAAATGGCAAATATTCCAACTTAAAAATGGGCAAAGAATTTTAATAGACAGTTCTCCAAAGAGATACAAATGACATAAGCACATGAAAAGATGCTCAATGGCATCAAGTCATCAGGGAAATACAAACCAAAGCCACAAGAGATACTGACTCATACCCAGTAGGATGGCTGGAATCAAAAAGACAGACAATAACAAGTGTAGACAAGGATGCGGCGAAGTTGGAAACCTCATACACTAACCCTCATACACTGCTGATGGGAATGTAAAGTAGTGCAGCCACTTTGGGAAACAGTTTGGCAGTTCCTCAAAAAATTAGGGATACCAAATAACCCAGGAATTTTACTCCTTGATACATAACTAAGAGAAATGGAAACATATGTTCACACAGATTCTACCATGAATATTCATAGCAGCATTATTCATAATAGCTAAAAAGTGGAAACAACCCAACTACCTGTCAACTGATGAATGAATTTAAAAACAGGTATTATATCCATACAATGGAATTTCATTCACCACGAAAAGGAACAAAGTACTGATACATGTTATAACACCAATGAAACTGGAAAACATTGTGCTGAGAGAAAGAAGCCAGTCACAAAAGACCACATAGTATATGTTTCCATGTATATAAAATGTGAAAATAGGCAAATCCATACAGATAGAAAGCAGATCAATGGTTGTCAGGGGCTAGGGGTGGAAGAAATGGATAGCGACTGTTTACTGGGTTTCTTTTGGGGATGATGCAAATGTTCTGAAAGTGGACAATGATAATGGGTGCACATCTTGTGAATATCCTAAAAGCCACTGAATTATACACTTTAAAGGGGCAAATTTTATGGTATGTGAAAAATATTTCAATAGTAAATACTTGTACCAAAGTTCATTCCTCTCCTGAAGTAGACCCTGCTACCACTTGCCCTTGGAAGAAACTCTGCCCCTCTTCTTTTACCTAAAAATTAACTCCACCAGACATAAAGTCCCTCAAATCCAACTCTGACCTCATCCCTGGGTTCACAGAAGTTCCCTGCCACAAGAGAAAGCCCTGATCATCCTCCAGCAACTGTGTCCTCCTCTGTACTTGAAGCCAATCCCTCCTTTCCTGTCAGGGAACCACACCTGCCTCCTATCTCTATCAGTCCTGCTCTCCCTTCTGGGGCCTTCCTCTCTCTACACAAACATGATCATGGCTTCCACATCTTACCAAAAGCAAAAGACCTTCAAAAGGCACAAGTGCCCTCCCTGTGCCCATATCCCTGGCAAACCACCTGTCTTCCCAAAGGACACCAAGATGAGTTTCCCCAAGTACCCACCACTCTCCCAACCTCACAGCACATGGCAGCTGCCACTCACCCGCCATCAAGCCTGCTCCCACCAAGACCGGCACCTAAGCCCAACCAGTGGTGTCCTTTCAGGTTTCATCCTACTTCATTTTTTTTCTGCCTTTAATACTGCTGACCATCATGTACCTCTTGAAATGCTGTTGTCTCTCTTCCCTGGCTTGACTTTTAAATATTCATTAACATAAAATCGCCCTTTATTAAGCACCTGCTAATACCAGGCCCTGTACTTTCACCAGTCCTCTGGGCCAGTGTGAACAATGCTGTGGAACAGAGGTTCTGTCTATTTGTCTTATGTGGCACTGGAGCCCAGATCAGTTACATCTAAGGCCCAGAATAAATGATTCATCCCAGCTCTAGATGGCTCCAACATCCATGTTCTTTCTACCACCTCGCACATTCTCCCTGACTGATCTCATCCACCTCATGGGTTCAGACACCACCTCCTTGCCAATGGCACCCTATCTCTATCTCCAGCCCTAAAATCTCTTCTGAGCTCACTTCCAGCTGGTTGCAGAGGTTGAGAGGTGATCTCTGCATACCCAGGAGTGTTACTGCTGGGCCTGTGGGAACTTCCATGAGCCCCCGAGCTGCCCTTCCACAGGGATTAATGCCCCTGTGTTCTCTTCAGACCTCCGTTGTGGGCCTCCTCAATTTCCTCTGCTGTTTCCTTATTTTGTTTTCTGTCCTTGCTATGGTCTGAATGTGTCCCCCAAAATTCATGTATTGAAAACCTAATCCCCAATGCAATAATGTTAAGAGGTGGGGGTTTTGGAGAGGTGCTTAGGTCATAGCAGCTGAGCTCCCTCATCACCTTTTTTTTTTTTTTTTCTTTGAGACGAGGTCTTGCTCTGTCACCCAGGCTGGAGTGCAGTGACACAATCAGGGCTCATTGCAGCCTCAAACTCCTCGGCTCAAACCGTCCTCGCACCTCAGCCTCCTGTGTAGCTGGGACTACAGGCCTGAGCCACCACACCTAACTGGGAAGTCATTCAGTAGCAAGACCTCCCTGTCAAGACCTAGCATATAAGGAACTGGTCATGATACCCACTTTGCAAAGGAGGTAGCAGATCTAAAAGAAATAGGTGATTTGCTAAAGCCACCATCTGGTATACCATAAGAGCTCACTATAACTGGTGAAACTCATCCTAATCTTCTGCACACCACATTCTCCAGTGACTTTCCAGGAAATCTCAAGAATGAAGTTTGAAAAACAGCATCGGAACGGTTTCCTCACAGAAGTACATCTTACGTAACTAAATGGCCAGAAGGAAGGACAAAGAAATGACTGGTGATCATGTTAAATTTTTTAAAGGGTCCTAAAAACAGTCCAGAGTCCTATTGGAAATTGAGGAATTTGTAGAATGTCTGCACATTTCTCTCTATGGTTCTAAGCCTGGATAACTTCATGCAGGCTTAATTCCTGAATGCTCCATGACAATTTCAAAGTCCACATCCAATTAAGATGTGACGGAAATGCCATGGACCAATTGAATGTTATCACAAGAAATCATATGTCAAAGATATACATTTGCTGGTGTGCTGTGATGAAGCTAAGACAGCCAAGACAACACAGTGACTACAGTGCTCAGCGTCACAGGGTGATCTCATGGGAGGAAGGTAAAACTGACCCTACTTGGAAATCCTGCTTTGCTAATTCTGTCACGTCACTGAAATTGGAGGAGATTTAGTGAACAGAGTTGTAGATGATAGTTGTTGGTTTTTTTTTCTTTTCAGTTAATTCTTTTCTTTCTTTCCTTTTTTTTTTTTTTTTTTTTTTGGAGACGGAGTTTCCCTCTTGTTGCCCAAGCTGGAGTGCAATGGCACGATCTCGGCTCACTGCAACCTCCACCTCCCGGGCTCAAGCAATTCTCCTGCCTCAGCCTTCCATGAAGCTGGGATTACAGGCACGGGCCACCATGCCCAGCTAGTTTTTTGTATTATTAGTAGAAACGAGGTTTCAGCATGTTAGCCAGGCTGGTCTCGAACTCCTGACCTCAGGTGATCCCCTCACCTCTGCCTCCCAAAGTGCTGAGATTACAGGTGTGAGCCACCGTGCCCGGCCCCAGTTAATTCTTTTCCAGCCATCTTCACCACCAGCTTTGGCACAATCATATGTCCTGTCAGAAATATAATTCATTTGTAAAAAAAAAAAAAAAAAAAAATTACGGTTAAAATTTAAAAATCCAGCAGTTGGATGGGCAGTTTTGGACTCCATTGGTTTTAGTGATGTGACTATAACTCTGAACATGCATCAAGTTTTTAAAAGAAAAATTATAGGCAGCACAGTGGCTCATGCCTATAATCCCAGCCCTTTGGTAGGCTGAGGCAGGAGGATCCCTTGAGCCCAGGAGTTTGAGACCAGCCTGGAGAACAAAATGAGGCCATGTCTCTACAAAAAATTAAAAAATGAGCCAGGTGTGGTGGTACACACCTATAGTCCCAGCTACTCAAGAAAATCACATGAGCCCAGGAGTTCAAGGCTGCAATGAGCTATGATCACATCACTGCACTGCAGCCTGGGAGACAGAGAGAGATCCTGTCTCTAAATATATATATAGATAGATAGATGATAGATAGATAGATAGATGATAGATAGATAGATAGATAGATAGATGATAGATAGATAGATAGATAGATAGATAGATAGATAGATAGATTTAAATTTATATATATATGAGGCCAGAATCTTATAACGATCTTAGGCCTACTATTGCCAGCTAGTAGTGCCATATGAATCATGCCTTTCTATTCTGTTTTTCTGATGCTTTGCCATCTGGGGCCTTGCCGATCCTGGAGAGACTGCACCTCCCAAGCTAACCAATTCCTAGAGATAGTAAAATGACTCTCCTGCAGGCATGTCTTTCATATGCAAACCAACTAATCCAGAGCTCACACTCCATCCTCCTCCTTCAGGAAGCTCTTAAACTCAGGGCCAATATCCACCTACCCTAATCACCCCAGGGTCAGGAACCAGACATTTAGGGACAGCCACTATGCTCCAGGGCCCATCAATGTTATCCAAACTGGCCTCCCTAAACCTGTTTACCCTTCCTCTCCTATTCCTTCCCTGAAACCACAATAAAGGCTCTTGGCCACCTATTTCCCTGCTCCCTCTGCCTCCTGCCCAACGTGGTGCTTCCCAGAGTGGCGCTGCACTGCTTTCAGTGCCTCCTGTTTCCAGGGATCTGTGAGTATTATTTCTTTCTTTTTTTTCTTTTTCTTTTCTTTTCTTTCTTTTTTTTTTTTAGACAGAGTCTCCCTTAGTCGCCAGGCTGGAGTGCAGTGGCGCGATCTTGGCTCACTGCAACCTCCACCCACCGGGTTCAAGCGATTCTCCTGCCTCAGCCTCCTGAGTAGCTGGGGCTACAGGCGCAAGTCACCATGCCCAGCTAATTTTTGTGATTTTAGTAGAGATGGGGTTTCACCATGTTGGCCAGGATGGTCTCGATCTCTTGACCTCGGGATCCACCCGCCTCAGCCTCCAAAAGTGCTGGGATTATAGGCATGAGCCACCGCGCCCGGCCCATTTCTTTCTTTATGACAGTCATTTACATATCTGTGTGTCTCACCATACCTGATCCCAGGTGCATTTTGAAACAATTGCCCATACTGGTCTGCCAGGGGCCCTGTCTCTCTATTCAACAGAAGTCACAACTCCTGGAAAGGGACCGTGCAGGAAGTGGGATTAGGGGCAGACAAGGAGAGGCAGAGGTGCCACCTCACCAGTGCTGTTCTAGCAGCTGATGCCAGGTTGCGTGAGGCAGTGTTCACAAATCTGGGTCAAAATGAGACACTGGGCATGGAGGCTTATGCCTGTAATCTCAGCACTTTGGGAGGTCGAGGAGAATCACTTGAGGCCAGGAGTTCAATACAAGGCTGGCCAACATGGTGAAACCTCGTCTCTACTAAAAAATACAAAAATTAGCTCTGTGCTGTGTCGCGTGCCTGTAATCCCAGCTACTCAGGAGTCTGAGGCAAGAGAATTGCTTGAGTCTGGGAAGCAGAGGTTGCAGTGAGTCCAGATCCCGCCACTATACTCCAGCCTGGGTGACAGAGCAAGACTCCATCTAAAAAAAAAAAAAAAAAGGATAAACAAATAAGAACCATACATTCAGTTTTTTATAAGGCCCAAATTATACATATTTTTTTAATTCTGGGATTAATTTCCCTTTATGATTTCAGTGCTAAGATGTTGTTTATTTTATGAAATAATATTGTGATAATTTTTTAATGTCTTTATTTGGCAACATAAAAAGTTGGCAACAGCCCCCCCAATTCATTTTTGAAATGTGCGTGTAAAAACCCAAACCAGAAATCTCTGCACCAGAAAATAAGAATTGGACAAGGACCTGGTGCTTGAAATGACCAATGTATGTTATCAGAGTGAGGCCAAAGACAATTTACACACTTTTCTGCCAAAAACATGGATTCCAAAGGGATTTCACCTGAATTGAAGATAAATACAAAGGAAAAAAATAAGCTTACGAAAAATTACTACACCACAAGGGATAGGACAGATCATCCTTAAAAAAATTTTCAGGAAATTATTTAGCATCTTCAATGAAGGGTAGGAAGATATCTCTAAAACAAAAATAAAATACCAGAGAATATAACTTATCACATCAATCCCTGATTTTAACAGCATATTGAGAAACAAAAAGAGTCACCAAGAGCTGACCTGCCAGTCACAGCAGGGTTGGGCATTCTCCTGTTGAACAGAAATGATTTCAGGGACCGTCAGCAGCAGCCAGGCCACTCTTGTCCAGGATGGACCAAGACAAAACTAGCCCACTCCCCAGTCATATTTAATAAAATCTGAATATTGGCTCAAGCCACAAAATGCCAAACTCCCCCATTCTAACTAATAGGAGTGATCACTGCTTCTTTGTCAACTACAGCATTAGCCTCAGTCTCATCTGCCCTGCTCTGCAGAAGATGCACTGAGATGCCCAGTCATAGGATTGTCCCCACTTTCTGATATCACCCAACCCAGAGGACACCCTCACTTCCTTGGGCCTCCAAAATCAACCAACCAAAGCCCAGATCCTTCTCATACCCTTGGACAGAGGCGCCCCATGGATCCCCCGTGGAACACACCAATGGGGGTCACTGCAACAAGGC